>NC_000008.11:20163132-20466163 GCF_000001405.40 Homo sapiens | reverse complement strand
GCTTTCCAGCATCTTCGAAGTGTGGTCAAGTAACTGAGTTCTGGCCAGAAGGACTGAGCAAAAGTGAAGCATCTCGTGCCACCTCCCAGGCAAGATTCTTCACGCTCCCTCCTTCTACAATGATAGATGAGAACAGCAATCCCAGAAGTAAGGTATCTGTTCCAAGAGTGGAGTCACAAGTTGAAATTTTGAGCTTTGGACAGCAGTTAATGTTACCCTAACTCATACAATCTCATTTAAAAGCACAGATGGAGGCTCAGGGTAGGACTTGGGAGAGTAAGTCGGGAACTTGAACCACTGAATGTGGTATGGAAAATGTATTAGCTCATTCTCATGCTGCTAATAAAGACATACCCAAGACTGGATAATTTAAAAAGGAAAGAGGTTTAATTGACTCACAGTTCAGCATGGCTGAGGAGCCCTCAGGAAACTTACAGTCATGGCAGAAGGGGAAGCAAACAAGTCCTTCTTCACATGGTGGCAGGAAGGAGAAGTATGAGAACCCAGCAAAGGAGGAAGCCCCTTTTAAAACAATGAGGTCTTGAGAGAACTTACTCACTATCATGAGAATAGCATGGGGGAAACCGCTTCCATGATTCAATTGCCTCCAACTGGGTCCATCCCATGACATGTGGGAATAATGAGAACTACAATTCAAGATGAGGTTTGGGTGGGGACACAGCCAAATCAAATCAGCAGAATAGCCAGATCACAAATCTGGGACCACACAGAACAAATTTAAGTTACAGCTCTACCACTTACCAGCATTTGATATGGATCAAGCTTCCATCACTATCTTCATCGTAATGCATAGGTTAGAGCCGGCTGACATAGACATTACCAACACCCCTGCCTACTCACAGGGACAAACAAGTGCAGAGGAAAGACCCCAGATACTGGTGTCAATTGGACTGATTTGAACACCATCTCTCTAGCACTCACACACCCAGCACAGAGCCTGTGCTGCTCTCCTCCCTTCCCTTCTATGCCCCTGCCTCTTTCCCAGCTGTGACTCAGCCTCAGGGTCCTCTGATAGGATAACTATGCCACCTCCTCCTTCTTTCTTGCTCCCTCTCTCAGGTGCCCAAGGGTATCCAAGTTAGGCATGAAGCAAGAAAGGATATTCCCAAGTTGTAAGAACAACTGTCCCTGTCTCCACTGGAGGATGGTGGCAGAATTTATGGGTTTAGTGGGTAGATTTAAGGTTTTCTGGCATTTTTTTCCCCACAATACAATCTGGAAAAAGTGAGAAATTGGCATTTTCTAAATAACTGTCTTTTTACATCCTCAGAACCAACCCTCCCAAGGCCTTCTACATACTTTATCTCACCTTCTCAATAACTCTCTGGAGAGGGTAGCAGAGTCTAGTCTCACGGATAAGAAAACCACTACTCAAGGCAAAGTGACTTGTCCAGGCTCACACTTCTAGGATTCAAGGCCAGACTCCTCCGGCTCTGGGATTCACATACTCATTTCTTAACAGACCCCTCCTACCCCCATCACCTCCTAGACATTTTGGAAAGAAAGCCTCCGGCCTCTTGTCACACTTTCATTCTCCCTTCCCCAGTGGACTGGACTTTCTTTGGTTTACACAAGAGCTTATCATGCCACCCACTCGCCTCCTTCCTATTCTTTGTTTCTCTTGGCTAATCCAGGTGACCTCAGGTGACCATGCAGTCCTCCAGGAACTAAGAGAGAAATATGGATATAT
Source organism: Homo sapiens (assembly GCF_000001405.40). Classification (NCBI taxonomy): domain Eukaryota; kingdom Metazoa; phylum Chordata; class Mammalia; order Primates; family Hominidae; genus Homo; species Homo sapiens. Next base: position 20,464,452 of record NC_000008.11, on the reverse strand, counting down.
CTGCTCACCCACCAGGGTTGGGACTAGGATGAGGCAAGAGATGCCCAGGGGGCAAAATGAAGGGAGGTGCTCCCTTCATCCCTGAGAGCAAAGCCCCCTTTCGATTTTGTGCCTTAGTGCCTCTCTTGCCTCATCCTAGTCCCAGCCCAGCCACCCACATCTCAATAATCACACCCTCTTAGCCCTAGAATTGCCCTTAAACGTTGTCCATCTAATGGTGCCTAAACTTTTCCAGCAGATAATCACTGTTATCAAACCAACATTTTCATGAAAGCCCAGTTACTCCAGTAACTAAACCCCCTGTTTGTGGTGTCCAACCAAACTCACCACTGAGTCAGAAGGAGCCCAGGCCTCCCCAGCCACTGCTGTGTCCACCCATCTCCCACCTCACTGAGAAGGCACTCAGCTCTCTCTCGCTGGAGCTTCTCACACAGAGGAGACACAGTTCCTTGGTGGAGAAGATCGAAGAGGCAGCCTCTGGGAGACAAGCAAGGGAATGAGGGAGGTGACCAGTGAGTTTATTCATATTTGTTGGAATATTCACTATGCATTGCCCTATGCCAGCTAACTTTCTGCCAGCCCCAAATCTCTTCCTTCTAAAGGCTTCTATCGGCCGGGTGTGGTGGCTTATGCCTGTAATCCCAGCACTTTGGGAGGCCAAGGTGGGCAGATCACCTGAGGTCAGGCGTTCGAGAACACCCTGGCCAACATGGTCAAACCCCATCTCTACCAAAAAATACAAAAATTAGCCAGGTGTGGTGGCAGACATCTGTAATCCCAGCTTCTCGGGAGGCTGAGGCAGGAGAATCACTTGAACCTTGGAGGTGGAGGTTGCAGTGAGCCAAGATTGCATCACTGCACTCCAGCCTGGGTGACAGGGTGAGACCCAGTCTCAAAAAAGTAATAATAAAATAAAATTTAAAAAATAAAGATTTCCATCCTTGCTGTGTTCTCCAAGAAGTGTGGTCATGGGAGACAACTGAATAGATTTCCATCATCTGCAAGGCTTACCCACCCAGCCCCCAAGAGACGCAGTCCTCCTCTGCCTCACCCCACTCTCCCCAGTGAAGTTCCCTCCCCAAAAGCTGCAAGTCAAACAGTGGGGGAAGCCACATAGTCTTGTTTTCTTTTTATTGTCATCATTATTGAGAAACTCTATTGTTACCTTATCTCCCAATTTATTTTAAAACCATTTGTGAAAGCATTTGAGCCGTCTGAGGCAGGAGAAACCCAATCCAGCCACAACAAATCGACTTTTGTCCTAACTGGCTCTGTGCTTTTCTGTTCAGGAAACATTGCTTTTTGTTTTGTCTTATTTTGTTTTTAATTGAGCTATGGGGGAAGAAGAACATGACTTAAAGAAGGTAAGCAATAAACTCGAGAGTCCAGGTCTGGGAATTCTAGTTCCAGCACTCTCTGCTTGCAGGGCTTCTGGGCAAAGCATTTCAACTCTCTCTGCCTCTGTTTTACCCTCCAGAAAAATGAGAGTAAGTTTCACTGTCCGGATGGTGGAGGAGCGGTCACAGTTAACACTCGCTGTGAACAAAAAAGCTTCATGGGGGGGATTAATTACTTGAGGAACTGGGACTGATAACGCACCTTGCTATGATGAACAGCCGCTTAGTCAGCACCTCTCCTGCCAACCAGAGACATCGAAGGCCCCAAGGTTAGCAGAGACCTTCGTTTGAAATCCAGGCTTTATGCAACCATGACCCCTGGTCAGGGGCAGTCATCTGGCCCCTGACAAGCAGACAGAAAAGGAAACATATTTATTAAGGTATGGTCCTCACTTCCCACTTCACTTACATTTTTTTTCATTCAGTCTTTTAGCATTATAATCTTCACTTTCTGGACGAGAACACTGAGATTCCAAGACATTACACAACTTCCCCATGGCTTCACATCTTCTTAATGACAGAATCAAACCCAAGACCTTCTCAAAAGCTTTTTAAAGTTTGAAGAATAACAATGTGTTGCAGAATAGGACACACCTGGTGCAGACTTCCGACTGCCTACTTTCCAGGAGTCCCTGGCTTTTGCTGTCCATGGTGCTAAACTTTCACCCTGTGAATGCCCCCTCTCTGCTAGCCCTTTCCGGGTCTTTTTACTATTCTCCTTCCAGGCTGGTTTTTACTTCACCAGTCCTGAGACCACCCTCCACCACGGACCTGTGCAGCCCTGGGGGTGGTGGGGTGCCTATTCTAGTCGCATCTGACTTCATGTCTTCTCCATGCACCAAAATCAAGGGAGAGGTATCTATGACTCTGAATAGCCACCAGAGAGCAAATCTGGGGCCGTTGGCCCTTTCTCCAATGCTGTCCTGAGGCTGTCTTGACCTGAAATGTCCATCTTGTCCTCCAGCCTGGCCAACTTCTCCTCTTTCAAGACCAGATTCCCAAAGCACGTCCTCCTGGAAGTCATCACAGGCCCACTTCCCACCGGTCCTAGGGTGCAGTCTCCTTGGGGTTCCTTTGACGCCCAGGACATGTCTCTTCTATGACACCTGGACCATCAGGAGAGAAGTAGGTACAATGAGCTGTTGTTCCCACTGAGATAGGGACTGCAGTTTGGTTTCTTTGTGTATAACCAGCATGTAAAAGGAAACGAACATTGCTGCCATGTGGAAGATTGGTGCTGGATTTGAAGGCAAGACACACAGTTTTAAGGCATGAAGGGATTACACCCCAGCCACAGAAGCTCTCCAAGCCTCTTTGTTTCTGAGGACTTTACCCCTGGGTTGTTGTGAGGTTCAGAAGCATAAGGAGAATATAGTTGTCCTTTGAGAATGATACCTTCTTGCTGGGGGAAGGGGGACTGGAAACATGATAAGTGAAAAACTCATGAAAGAAGTAATCTTTTAGTTGACGGAAAGAACATGTAGCCTGCAGAGATGCTAAAATGGGGATGGGGTGAAGGAGAAGTTCAGGTGAAGGAAGGAAGGAGAGTGAATACTCAGAAGCAGCATCAATTTAGTTGACAAATTTTACTGAGCAACTACTATGTGCCACTCACTGTACTAAGTGCTGGGGATAAGACATGGTAGTGGATACCTGTAGTCTCAGCTATTTGGGAAGCTGAGGCAGGAGGATTGCTTGAGCCCAGGAGTTCGAGGCAACAGTGAGCTGTAACTGCACCACTGCACTCTAGCTTGTGTGAGAGAGAGAGACCCTGTCTCAAAAATAAAAATAAGTGCTGGGGATACATGAGTAAAGAAGACAGACACAGCTCCTGCCCTCATGATCTTACATTCTAATTGGGAAGGACAAACAACAAATGTAAATAAATAAAAAATACTAGATACCTTCTGATTGGGAGAAGGGACATGAAGTCAATATGCTGGGGAAACTAAAGATGGCAATGCTCCAGAGGTGGTGAAAAAGAAGTCCCTTCTAAGGTGGTGACGTCTCAGCTGAGAAGACAGTGAGGAGATGGAGTGGGTTGAGGAAGAGCACAGCAAACGCACAGCAAGCGCAAAGGCCCTGGGGCAGGAACAAGCTCAGCATATTCAAGGAACCAAAAACAAGATCAACGTAGAAAGAGCAGAGTGAACAAGGAGAAAAGGAGGGTGACCTGAGGCCCAAGGCCATATGTAAGGAAGAGTGATCTGTTGATTTGGACTAGAGTTGAAATGTCCAGTGAGTCTGGAAAACTAATTTGGACTGAAGTTAGAAAACCTCAGACACTAAATTAAGGCAGATGAACTTCATCCATCAGGAGCAAGAATGGAGGCATGAAGGCATGAGCCAGGTCTGCTAGGTAGCTCCTCAGGGATGGAGCCAGATATTTCTCACAAAATAGGGTGACCTTGGGGAGATCAGAGCACCTGACCCAGAGCCCCAAGACAGTAAGATAAAGGAGTGCAAGACTTTTGGGCATGTTGTATTTAGTTTTGTTGTTTTTAAAAATATGGACAGGGTCTCATTATGTTGCCAAGGCTGGTATCAAACTCCTGGCCTCAAGCAGTCTTCCTGCCTCAGCCTCCCAAAGTGCTAGGATTACAGACGAGAGCCACCATGCTCAGCCTGCCGGGCATGTTTCACTTCAGAATGTCTGGGCAGAAAGTCATCTTGTTCATCTTCTTCACTAAAGGAGAAAATGAAGCCAGAGAAGGAAACTGAGAAGTGGAAGGGGTGAGAGTCAAAAGGTGTAACTCATGTTTATGAATAACTGGTTACACAGGAATGAGACCTGCCTTCTGCAATTGCCAAAGTGTTTTGTGGTTGGCATTCAGCTATGATCCTGTGGTAGTGATCACCTGTTAAGACAGAAGTGCCATGAGACAGGTGCAGCGTGGAATGCAGAGCCAACACCTGTGGGGAAGTTGCCCTGGAAAATCACCTGGATCCACAGCAAATATGTGAAAGAAAGAAATAGACTCTGCTTGTATTAAGTCCCTGAGCTAGTTGTAAGTTGTTTGTTATGACAGGATAATCCAACCTGCAATGACTAATACCAAACACAGGCACAATGACCCAATCTGCTATGACTAATAAGGGTTTTGCTCGGAAATTTCTGTGAGTTTCTAGCATGCATGTGTGCATGCCCGTGTGTGTGTGTGTGTGTGCGCGCGTGTGTGTGTGTGTGCAGGGTTGCATGTGCATAGCCGCGTGTGTCCACTGCTGGGGGTATATGCCTGTCTAGATGAGTGTCCACCATGCTCCCAGGAGGGCTGCAGAGTCCTCACTGCCACTCTCTGACACCCTGGCTGTGCCTGGTCAGATTCTGGGGAGACTACCAGAGCCCACCTGGCCAGGTACCTCCGATGTGATCACAACCTGCAGAGTTGGGGCCTGGAATCAAAAGGGGGTGCTGTCCCTCCAGGTGGTCCTAGAGCACGCTGTGGAGTCCTCATTTCCAAAGGTCTCCCCCTAACCATTTCTATCCTTCTGAAAACCCCATCTTCCCTTAGAGCCAGAGGGAGTTGGAGGCAAAGGTCACTTTGATGTAGCAATGCTCAAGAACCTAGAAATCTGACCCCTCTCCTCCCTGCCTGCCTGCCTGCCGTCTCCAGCCCCTGGGCCCATGGCCCTTCATGCCTTCATCCTTAATTTATACAAACCACCTTGTAATAAGAAAGTCACCTCATTTTATAATAAGAAAGTCACTCCTTACCTCACTTGCTTCTCATTATAACTCAGGAAGGGAGGCTGGACAGGAAAGGTAACCCCACTTCACAGAGGAAGCAAACAAGACACGCTCCAGAGGCCAGGGTGTGGAATCCCAACAGCTTTCGAGAGGAGGAGGCAGGAGCCTGCGCCCCCTTCTCCCACCATCTGCGGTGTTCCTTCTCACATACCTTCCTGGACGGGTACCAGTTAGCCAAGAAAAACAAATAAACGCTAAATTTTCCACTTCTCTGAAAGCATTTTTGGCACCCCCTACACAATGCCAACAAGAAGAGAAGGAGAAATCATTCCATCAATAGCTCTGGCTTCCTTGGGTACAATTCTAATTAAAGTTAGACTGCCAGGGGCCTTCTGGAAAGGGCTAAAAATAAACTAAGGGCATTTTTAGATTGGGGGAAGAGTGTTTAGCAGGGAGGCTGCGGAGTGGGGGAGTGGGTGTGGGGCCCAGCAGGGTACCAGGCCCTGGGGAGACAAGCCTGGTTGTGACTTTGAATAAAGGGAAGAGCTGTCCCTAGCCTCTCCCTGCATTCATTTCTCTTTTCGTCCTTGCCTTCCCCTTTGAATAATGTGTTTTCGCTGCTACTTCAATCTCAGCCCATGCTCTCCACATTAACATGTATATTGCTTGGTTAAGGGCTATCTGGCCTGTTGGTTCTAAATAACTGGAAAATGACTGGAAGGTGATGGGGGCAGGATGAATGAGGGGCTCCTCAAAAGCTCCCACCTGCCTTTGTCGTTTATAAACAAACGCCCAGCTGAGTTCCACAATTCCAATTGCAGCTGCACTCTCCTAAATAGAGTGGGGTGGAGCCCGCCTGGGTTTGCCTCCTTGATCTCTCCAACCCCAAGTCCTAGCCCTGGACCATGCAGTCCAGGCATTCACTCACAACCATCAGCTTGTATTTACTCTGAGCCAGGCACCATGCTGAGCAATGAACATCACAATCACTGACCTCAGGGAGCTTATAGCCTCTGGAGACAGACACTGATCACAAGTTGTGTTGACGCATTAAGCCCTGAGACATGGTATGGCCGGGGCGGTGGGGGTGGTGCTCTGAGAGCACTGACAAGGGGCATCCATTCAGATGGGCTCTGATCCAGGAAGGCTTCCAGGAGGAAGTGACCCCTGATTGGAGTGTAGATAAACAAATAAGTGTTAGCCCAATGAATTAGTAATCCAAGGCTACTGTCTCCTCACCCCAAGGACCAACGCATTATGCTGTTTAATTTCCCTCATGGCATTTTACACTTATAAACATACACACACACATGCGCACGTGTGTACATAATTACATCAATTCAAAATACATACATATTTTTGTTGCTTGTTCTCTTTCTAAGGTGTATCTCCCTCCACTATAACGCAAGCTCCAAGGGGCCAAAAACACTGTCTTGTTGACTGCTGTAACTTTGGCAACTCACACTATGCCTGGCATGTAAAGAGAGCACAATTATTATTTACTGAATGGATGGATGGATGGATGGATGGATGGATGGATAGATGGATGGAAGCGGGTGTTTGAAGCAGAGGGACAAGGATCTGCAAAAGCATGGACTCAGGAGACCAGGCAGGTTTTCCGAATCATTCAAACCATTCAAGTCTGGGGCACTGGGTCCCCTGAGGGGACAGCTGAGGTATTCCAAGGCCAGCACTGTCAGCCTTCGTGGGCTTATACTAAACAGATCAGACTTTAACTTCAGGGTAGCGGGGAGCCATGGGAGGATTTTAAGCAGGGAGGAATGGGATCAGGTTTGCTCTTCAGAAAGATTGTATTTGTGGGAGAGGAGAGGATAGGTTAAAGGGCCGAGTGGAAAGTGAGAAACTAGCTGGGAAGCTGTTAGCAAGAGTCCAGGAGACAGAAGCTGAGTGCGGGACAGGTGCAGTTGCCCTCCACTTACAGAACAGCCTGGTGCTTTTGGGCAGCCAGGAGTTGGCTGGGCAGCAGGGCCTGGACTCTGGGCTGGCTGGACTCACTAAGTCCCTAGGCAAGTCACAGATGCTGGCTGCTCCTTGGAAATGCTCTGGAGGGAATAAAAGGAAGGCCACAGAAGAAAATAATTCCCAGTTGACAGTGGAGTGCCCAGCACACTTGACCATGAGATTTTCCCACTGATTGGGCTTCCACAAGTCTCCCCAACTATTGTCACCTGGTGTAAAAACACTGACAATTGCAAACAGTTTCAGGGCACTCCTTCTATGCCTGGGATATGTTCTAAGCATTTGGCGTGGCTGATTTAAGCTTTGCATGTTCTTGAAAGCACCTGGCTCCATAGTCAGTGCTCCGTGGACAACAGCCACACTGCTATGTTTTGCTATTGTCATTCTCACTAACATTATCAGCTTATCATCATCCACCCTTATAAGAGACACATGTGCAGGACAGATGTTCTCATTCCTTGAGTCACAGGTATGGAAACTGAGGTTCAAAGGGTATGTGAGGCTGGGCACAGTGGCTCACTGCTATAATCCCAACACTGGGAGGCTGAGGTGGGAGGATCGCTTGAGCTCAGGAGTTTGAGACCAGCCAGGGCAACAGAGCAAGACCCCATCTCTATAAAAAACAGAAAAATTAGCTGGTCATGGTGGCACGCACCTGTAGTCCCAGCTACTCAGGAAGCTGAGGTGGGAGGCTCGCTTGAGTTCAGGAGTTTGAGACCAGCCAGGGCAACACAGCAAGACCCCATCTCTATAAAAAACAGAAAAATTAGCTGGTCATGGTGGCACGCACCTGTAGTCCCAGGTACTCCGGAGGCTGAGGTTGGGAGAATTGCTCAAGCCCAGGAAGTCAAAGTCAAGGCTGCAGTGAGCTGGGATATCACACCACTCCACTACAGCCTGGGCAAGATAGTGAGACCCTGTCTCAAAAACAAACAGACAACAACAAAAAACAGGATATGTGACTTTCTCAAAGGCCTATAGACAACAAGGCACAGAGTAACCGTAGAATCCAGTTAATAAGGGTGACTCCAGGACTATAAACGGAAAGCGACTTTTAACACAGGCCCTAGCACCAGGCCAGGGGCTGCCCATAGTTTCCCTAAATGCCGCTCCATAAACCTGTACAGTGAGTGTTCCTATCCAACCTCTGTTTGCAAATGAGAAAATGGAGATTCAGAAGGTTGAGAAATGTACCTAAAATCATACAGCTAGTATGAGTTCGAGCCAGAACATAATACCAAATTATCCAGACTCCAGGGTCCACATTCCTCCAATTCCATCGTTGGGATTCTGAGCGCAGATTCTCTCCATTCACTCATTCCTTCCACGATGACTTATTTCACCTCTACTGCATGCAGAGGGCTGAGGTCTGCACCTGAATATGTTCTCCGTCCTTCCAGAGGGTAGAGATTTGGGGCTGCGGGTGGTGGTCTGCAGTGACTCCGATCTTGAGAGTTGGGGCACACTGCACAGCTTGCATGATAACGCCATGCAGAAGCAGAGACACATCCCTGGTCACTTCCCTCCCTGGTTTTCTGAAGAGCTACCGCTACCTGTAAAACATTTTCCTTTGAGCCCTCAGGCTTCAGGTGAAATGCTGATGCTAATCTTCCTCCAGATGCACGCATCCCCCCTGCTGTCTGCATTGCCAATGGGTAGCACAGGACACAGTACAAGGTGCTCCCCATGAGGCTGCTGTGCTTTGGACCCAGACGATCCCCCTCTATGACTCTTGGATGGGTTACTTTACCTCTCTGAGCCTCAGTGTTCTTCCTTATAAAATTGGGGTGATACGTTACACTTCCCTGGGTTGGGGCTCATTGGTGATTATTGCACCAAATTTCTGAGCCTCATTCATGAGGCCCCTGAATTCTTTTCTTCTCAGGAGCTTCTGAGGAAGGCTCAGCCTTGGGTAAAGTCAGAGTATTCCGTATCTTCCAGCCCAGAATTTGATGGGTGTCTTCCTGGTCTGTCCTGATGTCTGTGATGTCAGCAGTGCCAGCCTGTTGCAGCCGTACAATGTGTCTGATGTTCTGTCCCTGCCCAGATGTGCAACCTTGGGAACCCCTTAAGGCTCTTCCCTCTCCTCCTTCAAACAGGAGTCTCCGGCCAGGTCTTTGGGAATCTTCCAGCTCTCACATCCACATGCTAAGACTGGGGAAAGATGACCAGGCATGGTGGCTCAGGTCTACAACCCCAGCATTTGGGAAGGCCAAGGCAGGAGGATCGCTTGAACCCAGGAGTTCAAGACCAGCCTAGGCAACATAGTGAGACCCCATCTCTATAAAAAATAGAAAAAAGGCTGGGTGTGGTGGCTCATGCCTGTAATCCCAGCATTTTGGGAGGCCGAGGCTGGTAGATCACGAGGTCAAGAGATCGAGACCATCCTGGCCAACATGGTGAAACCTCATCTCTACTAAAAATATAAAAATTAGCCAGGCATGGTGGCAGGCACCTGTAGTCCCAGCTACTCAGGAGGCTGAAGCAGGAGAATCACTTGAACCTGGAAGGCGGAGGTTGCAGTGAGCCGAGATTGTGCCATCGCACTCCAGCCTGGCGACAGAGTGAGACTCCGTCTCAAAAAAAAAAAAAGGAAAAAATCAGGCAGATGTGGTGGTGCATGCCTGTAGTCTCACCTTCTCAGGAGGCTGAGGTGAGAGGATCACTTGAGCTTGTAAGGTCGAGGTTGCAGTAAGCCATGATTATGCTACTGCACTCCAGTCAGGGTGATAGACTGAAACCCTGTCTCAGAATAACAAAGAGAGAGAAAGAGAGGCTGGGGGCAGAGGGGGTGGGGAGCCAGCACCAGTGGCTTTCTTCTATCTTCTCTTTAAAAGCAACTGCTCCTGGGAGAAGTGACACATTCATCTCTTAAAGTATGTTTTAACGTCTTCTGTGGCAACTGCCTTTCAATCTTGCTACCTTGAGATGTTCCCACCAAACGGGGAGAGAGAGAGGAGGACAGCAACCTAAAAGATAAAACTGTAGGCCATCAGATCAAATCATTAAAGGGATCATGCGAATTAGCCCATCTTCATCACTTTCCTCAAACGCTTGTCAGCAACAAATATTTAATGAGCACCTGCTAAGTACAAGCTACTTTGCAAGGTACAAAAGAGGCCCCCTGTCTTCAGAAAGCTTGTATTCAGGATAGAACAACAGGATTCATTTTCATGAAAAAAAGCTGAAAACATAGAGCTTGATGCCTCTGGGGTGAACAAGGAGACAGAGGGTGGTGTGAGCTTAGCACCCGGGCTGAGGAGTGCAGCTTTGTCTGCCAGCTCTCCACACCCCGAGCAAGCTTCTATCGTGTGTCCTCGCCTTTCCCCAGGACCTGAGAGGACCTCGCAGCCCACTCTGCCTTCAGCTTCTGTCCAGCCCCCTCTAAAGGCCCCCACAAGGAAGTGCACACAATACAGGTTAGATCTTTCACTCCCTTCTGAATATAGCTTCTCACTTGCTATAGAAAAGGCTCCAAACTCATTGGCAATGGGATGGTCCAGAAATCCTCCTCTCTCTCGGAACTAACCTGCCCACGAGCATGTTCCGTTCACACTCTTCTATCAGCCTTGGAAAGCATCTTCCCCACTCTCCCCAGCCTCCTTCTCCTCCTCTTCTTACTTATAAAAATCTAGCTCACCCTCGAGGCACAATGTAAATGACATGGATGTGGGGAGGCCACGTCGTACCTGACTGTGTGTCCAGGGCTCTTGCTATCACACAGGGTATGCTCTGTGGATCAGGAGCACTGGCGGACATCAGGGCTTGTCAGGAATATAGAGTCTCAGGCCTTGCCCCATAACCACTGAAACACACTCTGTTTTAACAAAATTCGTGGCTGCGTCTGATGGCTCACGCCTGTAATCCCAGCACTCTGGGAGGCCAAGGTGGAAGGATTGCTTGAGATTAGGAGTTCAAGACCAGCCTGCCCAACATGGTGAAACTCCATCTCTCCTAAAAATACAACAACAAATAAAAACCTAGCTGGGCATGGTGGCATGCACCTGTAGTCCCAGCTACTTGGGAGGCTGAGACAGGAGAATCACTTGAACCCAGGAGCCAGAGGCTGCAGTCAGCCGAGATCATGCCATTGCACTTCAGCCTGGATGACAGAGCAACTCTGTCTCAAAAAAAAAAAAAAAAAAAAAAATCCATGAGTGCTTCACATGCAAAATAAAGTACGACAAGTTCTGTCTAGAGAATGCCTTGTACACAGTGCCTCACGCATTGTAGTCATTCAGGAGGTGTTTGTTGAGTGAATAAGTGAGTGAATCCAGGAAAGATCATCAAAGCCCAGTCATGGTTTCACCCACAGCCAGTCCTGAAACCCAGAGATGCTTCTTAGCTGTTTAAATAGAGTTATCGACACAACCCAAGAACCTCCCACACTCTCCTCTCACTTTATTTCTCCACTTCCTCCTCCAGAATCAGGCACCTCCCACCTCCCATGGACAGCCACATCCCAAGCTCAAAAATGTAATTAGAAAAAGTAGTTTTTACAGCAGCTCATCTATAACCCACCCTATAGCCCTGCCTTTGTGGAAGGAGGCAGTCCATCAGGGGGTGTGAGTGATGGGCCAACCAGCAGACCAAGGCAGGGAGGAAGCCCTGCTCCCATCCGTCATCCCTTCTCCCTCGATCACCCTGCAGACCGCACAGCAACGCAGAAATGGCCCCCTCCAGGCCTGCAGGCGGCTGGCGGCTCTTCATCAACCTCAGCACTGCTTCTCCCACACACATCACCTCATGCTCTTTGTAACTTCCAGCAGAAGAGCCTTCCGTAAAGACTGCTGGGAAAATCCCAGGGAGAGAGGCCTGCCATCCGGCGTAACAAGGAAGGCAGGTTACCTCTTAACCATTGATCCCCCTCACTCTCGTCCCACCCCAAACACCTGGGAAACCCCATAGATGGGCAGTCAGCCTTACCCTACAGCAAACGCCAATCACCCTCTGAAAATAAGGCACTGACTTGTGGACTGTCAAAAAGTCTCATGAAGACCACTCTCACTCCAAGCTCCATTTTCCATACATCAGCCAAGGACTCATGCTACACATTTTGAGGAATATAAACAACAACAAAAAGCAATATATTATTTATGTTACTTTGACTTCGTGTAATGTTTTGCTCCCATCAAATTGTTTTCATATCCATTATCTCTTGAGTCAGGCAGACAGGAACTGTTATCACCATTTCACAGATGGAGAACCTGAGATGCAGAGAGGTTAAGCCTCTTCCCGTTTTTTGTGATTTATACCCTCCCTATGTTCAGGAAGGATTTTCTACAGCTTAAAATAAAATGATATTTACATAATGACTCGCATTTGAAGTTTAACTGTAGAAACATTTCACATTTGGTCAAAAACTACGTGCAGAACACATGTTATGACAATCGAAGTACTTCAATTTATGAAGAAAATCACCATTTGCAGGTTTTATTTGCTCAATAAACTTATATTGAACATTTAAAAAAACATAACAACTGTACTTGTATACATGTGAATATAAAATAAAGATGTAAAAGGAATCAGAAATCATCTAGGCAAAGGAGGAGATTTTTGTGCCAAGAGCCAGAAACAGACTCTTCACTATAGCTAGCCATAAATTGGCCTCTGGGCTTCCTAGCAGGCAAAGTAAAAAAAGGAACATAACATGTTGCAAGCCATTACTGTCAGATGAAAGAAAGAGAGCATGTTTATTCAGAAGAAACAACTGTTTCCTGGCATTGAGTTCTAAACAAAAGTTATCAATGGAGTTACAGGGAAATGGAATGGAGTAAGATACTCAGTCGTCCCTTCAGCAGTGACCATCAATGGATATGGAAATGTCCTTCATACCAAGACTTTTCAGTTGAATATTAAGCGAGATGCAGTGCCCGGCCCCAGAACAAACATTTCATAGAGACCTCCTAGATACTTTGATCCTCTGTAGCTATTGGATAAACTCTTTCCCTCTCTTTCTCAGCCAAAGGTTTTTAAAGAATAGTCTTCAATCGGCCAGACCCAGTGGCTTTCACCTGTAAACCCAGCACTTTGGGAGGTTGAGGCAGGTGAATCACAAGATCAGGAGTTCAAGACCACCCTGGCCAACATGGTGAAACCCCGTCTCTACCAAAAACACAGAAAATTAGCTGGGCATGCTGGCGGGTGCCTGTAATCCCAGCTACTCAGGAGACTGAGGTGGGAGAATTGCTTCAACCCAGGAGGCAGAGGTTACAGTGAGCTGAGATTGGGCCACTGCACTCCAACCTGGGCAACAATGCAAGACCCCATCTCAAAAAAAGAAAAAAAAAGAAAGAATAGTCTTCATGCACAGCTCCTATTTCCACGTCTCCTATTTACTCCTTAATTTATTAAGCCAAACATCTGCCCCAACTCTCCCCTGAAGACAGCTCTTCATAATGAATTCCTGGTCCCAGAGGAATCAGGAAATGGGTTCACCCTAGTGAACTCCTATAACAACATACCAGAGACCAGTGACTTCAACAACAGACTTTTTTCTTCCCCCTGTTCTGGTGTCTAGGAAGTCCAAGATCAAGGTCCCAGCCTTGGTCATGTTTTCTGCTTCCTGGCTTAGACAGCCACCTTCTCCCTGTGTCCTCGCAGGGCTGACATATGGTTTTGGGCAGCAGGGGAGAGCTTTGTCTCTCGTTAAGGGGACTCTAATCTCATGATGAGAACTCCACCCTCATCTAAACCTCATTACCTCCCAAAGGCCCCACCTCCAAACACCATCACATTAAGGAATAGGGCCTCAACATGTGAATTTGGGGGAAGTACAAACATTCAGTCCATAACACCGCCCTTCAGTTTCCTTTGCTACATTCCTGTCCTTGGCTCAGGCAGAGCCCACTGCCCCAGTTCTCTTCTTCTGGCATTCTGTTTTGTTCTTCGACTCCCTGATGGGCTGTTGCTTCTCCTTCTGATGTCCCCAGCCCCCTGGACACCTTCTCTCTGGGGAAAGCTTAGGCACTCTCAATGTGGACACCACTCTAAGATGAGGAGCCTCAAGTCCCCACCTCCAGCCAGCCTTTTGCCTCACTCCTCCCTCAGACCCATCCACACACAATCGCCTGCTGGACATCTCCAACCAAGTTCCCAAGTCTCTGACTCAGCCTTCCCAAATTAAATGACCACTGCCCTTCCTCCCCTACCCTCACACACCCGGCTCCTCCTAGAATCTCTGGCTCAGTCTGGGTCACCTCCATCTCCTGCCCTCCCAGAGCCAACCAACAATCTCTCCCACAGCTACTTCCTAAACGTTTTTCAAAAGTGTCCTTTCATCTCCTTCCTTTCTCCCTGGGGACTCCAGCTACAGCCTCCCAATTCTCCTCCTGGCCTTCCTCAAGTCCATCCCTTAAACCGATCCTAGAAGAAACACACATTAGAACATGTACCTCACCTCCTCTGTTTAAAATTTTAAAATGGACCCTCATCGCTTACAAGATAAAGTCTCAGCCTGCCCTCCCATGGCCTGTGAAATCCTCCAGGATCCATCCCAAACTCATCTCAAAGCACTCTCTGCCCAGAGCGTAGCAGCAATAAATCCACATGGATGCCAGCCTCTGGCAAACGCAGCCCCTCCCGAAATGCCCGTCTCACAGCTCGAAGCTGCTTGCCTTTGCTTCAGCAAATCCTCTACCTCTGATTTCTTGCTTCTTTCTTTTCTCCTCCTCTTTTAGCTTCTCTGACTCAGGTCAGCTGCCCCTTCTCAGAAAGGCAGCTCCCTTTATCCTCCCAGGCTGAGAAGAGGGCCCTTCTCTGTGTTCCCTCCATCTCTCCCCTGTCTCGATCACTGCACTACCACAGTACCTGGGTTGTGTGTCTGTCTCCTCAGAGACAATAAACAATTTCTGTGCCATCCTTTCCGTTAATCATTTCTGTCGTTCCCTGACCTCTAGCTGGATGCCGGGCACAGAGCTCACATCGAATGTCTGATGAATAAGTGAATGTAGGAATGAACGAAGGGATGGTTGATTTATGGGTGAATTGGGACTGGAATCCAGATCTCCTTCATTTGACATCAAAACTTTTTCTCTTCTACTCCCTGTCTGACAGTCCAGAGGGCTATATTCTCTCTCTTTGACTGGAGAAGGGGAAGGCTGTGTGTGTATAGAGATCAAGAGAGATCATCAGGGTGAAAAATGTGTAACCAGCCTAAGTAGCTGGGTAGGTCTCTAGAGGACTCATTTGGAAGTTGATAATGGTCAACAGCAGGTGGAAGGACACAGGCACAGCCAGGACTTGAGGGACAGAGAAACCATGTCAAAGACCTGGGGGTGGGTGGTAGGCTTTTGAAGGGAGGGAAGAAGGCAGAGCTTCAAGAGTGGGAAGGCTGTCTGGGAGAAGCTAGAGCAGACTTCGGAAGAGTTGAGGAGGGAAGTCATGGGAATGACATGAAACATACAGCCAGTCTTGGAGTATGACAAGGAAGTTCCAGGGAAGAATGAGGGGCATGGTGTTGGGCAGGGGCTTGAGAACAAGGGTCCAGGGAGGGAGCTGAAGCCTTGTTAAGCTGCCAGGTGACCATAGGCCTGCAGAGACAAGGAAGTGCATGTTTAGGGAGGTCTTGGGGTGGCGAGGACCCGCCCATCTGTCTACCCATCTCCTTTCTTTTCCTTCTCCTTTTTCTTCTTTTACTCCGTGAAAGTGTAGCAAAACCTAATTGTTTCCTCTGCTCAGTTGCAGTAACAAAATTACACTGATAATTCACCAATTCTGAAAGAAACACACATCTAGGGGTATCTTTGCTCTTTAAAGCATGCGTAGCTGGGGACACTGGATAGATGGCTGCAAGGATAGTGAGGGCCCCTCACCCTGTTACCGGCCCCGGCCATTCTGCCTTTCCGGGAGGTTCCTTCAACCAGGCTGTCAGCCAGACAGAAAGTTGCTCAGGGCTCAAAAGCAGAGAATTAATCTCAGGTTGGAGAGATGCCTGGCGGGGAGGTAGAAACTGGGAACCACTTCTCCTCTGAGCCTATTCCTTTCTTTTATGACAATGGCATCAATCCAAACTCAGGAGACTTATATTCCAGTCTTGGTTTTTCCAGTAACTCCTTGTGGTCTCGGGGCCCTTTACCTTCCCATGGATAAGATGAAGTTATAATTGAAAACCTCCAATGTCCCTGGACCGTGGGGAGGGTGAACAGTGCTGCTGTTCACATCCTCTGAGACCCATAAATCCTATATTGCCCAGGGATGATCACAGTGGATAGTATGATTCTTGTCCCTTGTAAGACCCAGGAAAGGGTGCTGTGTAAACGAGGTTGAAGCAGATCTCTGAGTGGTCTGTAATATCAAATTAGATATCAACAACAATAATATTTTTATAACTACCGATTGAGTTTAATGAGAAATTTGAAACCGTGCCGCCCTGTCACCCTCCCTGAAAGCCTTGGGTTCCACTCAGTCAATCCCTTCCTGGCATGCAAATCTAATACCTGAAGTACTGAGATTTCAGCCAATCTCAGCTCCAGTTTCATGCTACCTAAATCTCATCCTGAGATCCCTCCATCCTGAAATTGAGTCTTGCAGGTTCCCAACCTTGTGTGAGGCCCTGTAGGGAGGTAGGGATACCAAGAGATGAGCTGTCCAGCTGGGGGAGGAGCTTAAACAATGGTCATCAAAGCACAGGGAAGTGCGGTCTGTTGGTCCCGATGACCAAGGCATGGGTGGCCACAGAGGTATGTCATTGAGGGTGGGCATCTTCTGAGAGGAATTCATGGAAAAGCAGAAGTCAATCTGGATCTGGAAGGACTTAGGTAAGTGAAGGGAAGAAAGCAAGGCAATGGGGCCCGGCGCAGTGGCTAACACCTGTAATCCCAGCAGTTTGGGAGGCCGAGGTAGGCAGATCACTTGAGGCCAGGAGTTTGAGACCAGCCTGGTTAACATGGTGAAACCCCGTCTTTAGTAAAAATACAACAATCAGCCAGGCATGATAGCGCGTGCCTAAAGGCTTTGAAAGCCAAGCAAGGGAGTGTGGGACCCACAACAGAGACACGTGTAGCAAGAGCACCGGCTTTGGGCTCAGCTGACCTGGGTTTGGCTTCTGCCTCGACTTGCAAATTGGGTACCCTTGGGGAAGTTACTTAACCTTTCCGAGATTTTCCTCAAATGCTTGTTCTCAGGGTATTTTTTGAGGTGCCTTGTTTCATATCTTACTGACCCCTTCTTCTTTCCCCAAAGCAAGGTAGTCAACACACAGCCAAGAAAGATTCATCCCCAATCTCTCCAGGTGAGAGGAAACCATTCGGGACATTCTCAGGGCTGTGGAGGAAGATTCTCAGGTCCGGGGCCACTTACTCGGCCTCAAGCAGATGCCAAACAATGTGGATAATGAAGAATGTGTAGGTCTTGTTAAGGGAGCTCTCAGTTTATAAGCAGGGGTTAGTGCCCGGACGTAGGGCCAGTGAATGAAAATAATGATGATAATATGATGCTGGGTTAATAACATATTACATACACTTCATATGCACCAGACACTGCTAAATATGATGCATTAATTATGTCATTTAATCCTCAAAAAGCACTCTGTGAGATGGGTAAATCTCCATTTCATACATAAGAAAACTAAAGCACAAGAGAGATTAAGTAACTTGCCCAAGATGACACATCCAAAATGCATTAGAGATAGATTCTGACTCTAGGCAGTCAAACTTCATACATACACTCTTTTTTTATTATTATTATTTCAGAACTGTCACCCAGGCTGCAATGCAGTGGCTCGATCATACTCACTGCAGCTTTGAGCTCCTGGGTGTAAGTGCTTTTCCTGCCTTAGCCTCCCAAGTAGCTGAAACTACACAGCTGTATGCCAATTTTTTTTTTAACTTGGCTAGTTTTATTTTATTTATTATTTATTTATTTATTTATTTATTTATTTATTTATTTATTTATTTTCTTGTAGAGACAGGGTCTCACTACATTGCCTAGGCTGGTCTCGAATTCCCAGGCTCAAGAGATCCTCCTGGCCTTGGCCTCCCGAAGTCCTGGGATTACAGGCATGGGCCACTGTGCTGGCCACACCTATACTCTTAACCACTTTATTGAGCAGACTGGAGCCTCACAAGAGTCTGGTCACCTTTGAAAAGCTGGAGTTCCCAGGGCTTCCCATCGCAGTAGACATTAGCTATTTGGGAGCACCCAGACACCCATCCCTTGCCTTCTGTTAACATGGCTCCCATTGCTACTCTTTAGAGAACTGCTCCGCCCTCTCCTGGTTCCTTTGACTTTGACAGAGCTGCCAATCAGGGCTCCCCATCCCCTAGGGCTTGGATTGTAACCCAGGCTGGACCGATCAGAGTTCTTCCCCGGAACTGTCACAAATTGGAGATGAAGAAAGTGCTCATTCTTTCTCCTTGGGTTTCCAGGTATAAGGATGTTACTTCAGAATTTCCCATAGCCGGGTCCTTAATCAGATGGAAAACATGAGAGAAGGGAGTCAGCACAGAGATGGAAACTGACTTGAGAAAGGAAAGGAAAAAAACAGGAGGTTTGAGTAAGAGGGTAGGAGAAGGAAAGTTTCTGTCGGTCTTATGCCACCTTTATTTCTGCTTATTTGAAGATTGGTTATGCTTTTTCCTTAAGCTAATATGAATTGGGTTTCTGTCACTTGAAACTGAAAGAGCACTGGATGATGTGCCAGCCCTCCTAAAAGATTTTAGAGATCTCATATCTGCTGTCTCTTAGACCTAGCATCCCTTAGAAGCATATTTGAATACAACCCTAACTGTTTTGTTTTTGGTTTTGTTTTTGTTTTGAAACAGAGTCTGGCCCTGTTGCAGGCTGGAGTGCACTGGTGCAATCTCAACTCACTGCAACCTCCATCTCCCAGGTTCAAGTGATTCTCCCATCGCGGCCACCTGAGCACCTGGGATTACAGGCACGTGCCACCATGCCTGGCGGATTTTTGTATTTTTGTACAGATGAGGTTTCATCATGTTGGCCAGGCTGGTCTTGAACTCCTGACGTCAAGTAATCCGCCCACCTCAGCCTCCCAAAGTGCTGGGATCACAGGCAAGAGCCACTGTGCCTGGCCAAACCCTTTTTATTTCCATGGCTATTACATAGGAGTACAGACTTTTCAATACCTTATCATAGACCCGAGGTCAAGATGATTACTGAAAGATGATTTACAGCAGTGCTTTTGGCCCTGATCATAAAAATGACATTGTTGATTGAAGTGATCTTATTAGCACTGACTTGTTGAATGCTTACTCTGAGTCAGCATGCTTTACCTCATGTAATGCCCATATCGGTTCCATGAGAGAAAGCCTATTATTAGTCCCATTAAATAGAAGAAGAAACTGAGGAACAGAGAGGGTTAAGGAACAGCAGGCTTGTGGCACAGTGGAGGTTCAAACTCAGATATGCGTGACTCTTTAGAGTCCCAGCACCATACACGGCACTCTCTCAGGTGGCATCTGAACATCATGCTACACAAAACTTGTGACAACCAGTGAAACAGAATACAAAAGGAAGCTGAGCTGAGGCGGGCAAGTCAGCTGCCATCTTCTGATGGTCACAGGAGGAGAAAAAAAGAAAAGCTCCAAGAATATCGGCTTCAAAAAACAAAGCACAGGAACATAAACATTACAATAAGCCTCAGAAAAAGACTATATTTTGGAGAAACTGTTATTTAAACAGTTGTCATTTTGCTGATCCAAATATCCAGTTGTGAGATATCAGCTCCATCTCAGATCTCTGTGATCAAATGGACTAAAAGTAATGCCATCAAACAATGTCTCTAATCCGGCTGTCGGCAGATGCCTCACTACCAGAGGTGTGAGTACTCAGAACTCCAGTAGCTACACCATTGAATCAAAATGGTGTTACCAAGCTGGGATGGGTGGGAATCATGGAGATGGGAAAGGAAATCTTCTGAGAAACCCCATATGATGGATGGGACCCTGTTACGGATCATTTACTGGGGTGACAAGACAATGTGCCTCCTTTGCTTGTGTTCTCTTTCCCCAGCACACACGCACACTGACCACTCCCTGCCCCAGTTGTGGTGCAGTTTAACCATTCCTGTGACTGAATTTCCCCAAGTCTGAGGCCTCTGTTGGCCCCTATGACTTGCTGCAGAAAGATACCACCTGTTCTCACAGCCGGCCAGGCATCTATCAGAGTTTCTGTGCTTCAGCAGTGGCAGGCAGGATGGAAGCAAGAGTGAGGACACATTCCCCTGCAAGACCCTGGAGCCTCTCCTGCATTCTCCATATGCCAGCCTACCAGGCAGCCTGCATCAGAACACCTCCAATTAGCCATCAAGGACACACCCTTCCCCAACACTGCTCAACAGGAAAAGGCAAGATCTTTTAAGATTGCATCATGAGATTCAGAAGCTTTTGCCATCGCTCTTTGTTGCATTTATTTATAGCCTTTTCTCCCTCCAGCCTTCCCATGTCCTCCTATGACTTCTACATCCAGGTACTTGATCCATGAAACATGGTCACTTCCCAGTGTCATGATATCATCTTCAATAATCAGCTCGGTAATCATCTCAGCCCTACCTCAACCAATCACTCCCATATTCACAACCTGGATCTTGTCATTACCACCTCTAATATCCTGTTCCACCTCTAGTATCTTGATAATAAATATCCAACTCTGGCCATCACCTCCAAAATTCCAGTTTACTCTCTCTAGCGCTTCTACTCCAATAATTTTTGACCTCCCGCAGCTTCCAGATCATAGGCCCTGTGTGCACTGGCCATCACACATTTTCTGTTTTCATTCCACAGTCCCTTACTAAAATCAATCTATCCTTTGTCTCCTTCTCTTTCCATTTTGGAAGCCATCCTGAGGAAGCCTCCAAGCTTTGGCTAAATGCTTGCATCCAGGTGAACAGAAATAATGAAAAACATGCAAACACCTCGAGTGGTATCATCTGGAGTCCATGACCACAAGCCTCAAGGAGGTGGGCATTCCTGCTATATCTTCCTGCTCATTTCACTCTCCTACTCTGTGCGGTGAGCATCTCACAACTTGTCACTACTCAAATCTCCAACAGCCCTCTGCACTTCTTCACTCTCGAATGCTGGTCTATTTCAGTGAGAACATAGAAGCAATCAGATAATTGTTTATCTTCCCCTAACCACACAATTCCCAGCCTCTGCGCCAACAGGCTCTGTCTTTCTTCTGCGGCAGAGGACAAACTGTGACATTCTTAGTGAAGATTAACCCTTCCACTTGTCCAGAGAATCCCTCTGCCTTTCACCCACAGAACTTTATCCTCATTGCTATCATATCACTCTCCTGCTTCAACTCCTTTCTCTAGATTGGTGTATCACACACAAACATGCTGAAATAACATTCATCTCAACACTAACAAACAAAGTTCTCACTTCATCCCAGTTCCCTCTCTAGCTACTGCCCTATTCCCCTGCTCCCTTGATCTTAAAATTCCTGAAGTTTTCTGTAATTCTTATCTTTATTAAGTCACCTTCCATTTTCTCTTGAACTTCCTTTGTGGAAGATAGGGTTATTGTTTTCAATTATTGGCTTCTCCTTTCTTTGTGGAAGGATCATATGTCCCTGTTGTTTGCCATGTGACCTGCTGTGCCTCCCTGCAGGGACAGTAGACCTCCTACCCATCAGCAGGCTTGGCCATATGGCTGGTGCTATTCAGCAGAAGCTGAGCAGACATGGTATGGACCACGTTTGAATACAAGCTTTACGAAGTATTTCAAGTTTCTACCGGCAATCTTGCTTTTCCATTTGGCCATAATAACTGCAATCCCAGATTGGAGCTACTCCTTCAGCCTGGATTTTGAAAGAAGTTATGAGGAACAAAACTGTAGCTGATCCACAGCCTCCAACAGGTGACATGATAACAATAAGATATTGCTGTTCTGCAAGCCTTTGAGAGTTGAGAGTAGGTTGTTACTGTAGCCTTGCCAAGTAATGCTGGTTTTCCAAACAGGCCTTTGTCCCTATCACTCTATGAAAAAACTTCATATATCAAAACCACTTCCATGTTACCAAATCCAGGGGTCAACTCTTGGTCCCCCTACTTTATTGAGCCTATAGTCAGCACTCAATACTGCTGATGATGCCATCCTACCTGAAACACTTCCATTTCTTGATATCTGGAAACCCACTATTTCTGATTTTCCTCCCACTTTCCTGGACCCTCCGTCAGTTTCCTTTGCTGGCCCCTCCTGTTTTTCAGATCTACATGTGGAAGTTCCAACGCATACCTCTTCTCTACCATTTTTTCCTCTAAGTAATCTCATCCATCTGTGGCTGGGATTCCAAAATTAACATGTCTAACCCCTTCTCCTCCCCTGAACTCCAGGCTTGGGTGTCTAATTTCTTACTCAAGATCTTCACTTGCATATCCAAACCAGTACTGTTACTTACCTCCTGCACTACACATGAACCTGCTCATCCTCACTCTTTTTCATTTCAGCAAACAGCACCGTCACCATTGCACATCCACTTGCTCAGGTCAAAGGGCTTGATGTCATTTTTATTCCTCTCTTTCTCTCATATCCCATGTTTGATTTTTCCTAACTCTGGCACTTGCACCATTATCGCTCTGATCTAATCCCAGAATCTCTCTTGCCTGGAATATTGCAATAGTCTCCATTCTGGTTCCTACTGCTACTCCTGCCACCCCTCACTCCTGCCATAAGCTGAGTATCCAGGATGGTTCAAAATTTTAAGTAATCTAACTCAATCTCATTACTACCGTCACTCAAACATACCTGTAAGGATTGCCCATAATTCTTCAGACAACAGCCAAAGCATTTATGGACACCAAGGTTCTACAAGATCTGGCCTCTGGCATCTTTCCAACTCATCTTCTGTCACCTTCCCCCTTGCATATCCACTTTGTTCAAACCAGCATTCTTGACATTCCTCAAACCCACGACCCTTTGCCCATCTCAGGGCTTTTTCCTTCTATGGTTCCCTATGCCTAGATCACTATCTTTCTTTCCCTTGAGAGCCTCAGACTGGCCTCCTGACTTCAATCAGATTTTGCTCAAATGTCATCTCTTCTTACCCACTCTACCTAATTAGCCACCTCCTCTCTACTATATTTTATTCCATGCCCTATGTTAGTTCTAGTCCATAGCACTAATAGGAAACAGTATGGATTAGTGGTTAAGAGCAGTCTCCCTGGATTTGGCAGTTAACTTCTCTGTGCATCAGTGTCCCCATCTGTAAAATGGAAATCAGAATAATAGCACTTAGCCTAACATGGCTTATATGACTTAATACCTGTAAACCACTTAGAAAGAAACACGGTGGGATGCAATGGTGATTGGCTATGTTTAGCTGACATTGTGTTCTCTAAATGCACATTGTCCATCTTCCCCACCAGAGCAGGAACTTTGTGTTTGTGGCCCACTGCTGTGCCCCCAGCACGTGGGAGGGGCTGAGGCTGTGGTAAGAAAGCTGCCTCTGAAACCTATCGTAAGAACCTATGCTCACACCTGCAATCCCAGCACTTTGGGAGGCTGAGGTGGGCAGATCACTTGAACTAAGATCGCACCATTGCACTCCAGCCTGGGCAAAAGAGCGAGGCTCCATCTCAAAAAAAGAAACCTACACTTTGTGTACTATTTTTTAAGCCATACCTAAGTTGGATTTTATTAAGTCTGACTCCATCCTTCCTTAAACCCAGCATTACTTTATCATTATTTTGAATGATCTCTCATTGATAACTTATTTTAAACTTTCTTCCCTTTCTCTCCCACTGTATGAAACAAGATAAGATCAGGAAAACTGATAGCTAAAGATCCCCTACTTGAAAACAACCATTCTCTAATTACATCTGTTTATGACAGTTTCAATCTCCATCTATGAGATTTACATAAAATGGATTATACCACCATCTGGGCTAATATTGTATAACTTGCCTGGGGTCACTCAAAGTAAATGTCACACTCAAAATGATCACTTGAGAGTTTCCAGAATTTTTTGTTAATTTCCTCTACCCTAATTATTATAATTAATAATAATCTTTCATGTAGCATTTAGGTGTGTTCAAAAGCAATCTTTGCCAACCATTATTTTATTGCACCTTCATTACTACTCCAGAAGGCAAGAAAAGGCCATGGTCATCATATGAAAATCACACACAGGGAAAATGTCCTGCCTGAATCATCTATGCCAGGAAGGAAAACATCTACCATAGATGGCCTCGAACGCAAGCTGCCCAAAGACAGGGACCAGAAAAAAGCTCAAAATGTACCATGACTCAAGCTCAATGCTAAGCTGCTAGGGTTTGCTGTTCTCCTTCATGGTGTCACAGAACCAGAAGCTGTTAAATTCTGCAAAGACCCCAGAAATCATTCTGGCTACCAGTCTCTGCTTTTCCACATGAAGAAGCTGAGTATCCCAGCTGAGATCATGCTAGTTGTTACAATGGATAAACCTTCAAATCCTAGTGACTTCACATGATAAAAATACATTTCTCACAGGAGTAATTCGGGGACCCAAGTTTCTACCGTCTGTGGCTCCATCATCTTCAGAGCACGTGGCTACTAGAGTCACTGTGGAAGAGGAAGAAACATGGAGAAGGTCACAGATGAGAGGTTCTTTTTTTTTTTTTTTTTGAGACGGAGTCTCGCTGTCTCCCGGGCTGGAGTGCAGTGGCGCCATCTCGGCTCACTGCAGCTCTGCCTCCAGGGTTCATGCCATTCTCCTGCCGACAGGTGAGAGGTTCTTACCAGCCGAGCCTAGAAGCAGCGTGCACCACTTTCACCCACATTTCAATGGCCAATACTCAGTCATTTGACCACCCTTAACTTCAGAAGGGCTAGAAAATTCAGTCTAGCTGTTAACCCAAAAGAAAGAGGAAATGTGACTGGTGAATATCCAGGCAGTGTCGGCCACACCAAGCAAGTCATCTGACTCTCTTGAGCCCCATCCACCCAGTCTACAAGTAACAAGCTGAGATTGCATCCAAGACCTCTGTTCCTAGATATGAATATCTTCTACTTAAGTTATTCTCACCTTTCTCTCCTGCTCTCCTCTGTATTCTAGCTTTAATTATGCAAATTTTCTATTGCTTCTAATTTCACATTCTCCTTGAGTTTTATTCTGTTGACTATTATCAAAAAAAAAAAAAAAAAAAAAAAAGGAGAAAAAGGAAAGAGAACCTGAGAGGATAAATTGTTAGTGATAAAAAAGAAGTTGTCCTGTTGGAAGCTTCCTAGCACCCTACTCCCAGCTGTAATCGATTCTGATGTTTCTCTCAATGGTCCCAGAAATAGAATATCAGAACTGAAAGGACCTCAGAAATAGCCAGAACAAAGGAAAGAATGTGCCACTTTTATTAATCCAACATGGAATTGTGGGCAACACCCCTGGGCCATCCAACTAAAAAAATGAGACGACGCCTTATGCCAGGTTGTTATACAGATTAAATGTGATCATGTGTACAAAATTACCCAATGCCTGGAACATAGTAGGTACTCAATCAATGCTAGTTAGTTTTGAATCTGAATCAAGTTCAATGTTGTCATTTTATAAAATGCTCTGCACCCCCTAAACAAGCGACATTAATTAAGTGCACAGGTAAGGTCTGTGAGGTGTTAAATGACCTGAGTACTGTGTGTAGAAAGCTGCAGTCACCTGGATAGATCCAGAAGTTGCCTCCTGGCAATGAGAACAAAGCCTGGGCCTGTAAGCTGCTTTCACGGCTTGTTTCTTATGCTAGAGGCAGCAGCGTGCCTTGGGTCCACTCTCTGCTCCTCCCCTTATTCCTCCCTCTTCCCATCCTGCCCTCTGTTCATCAGATTCAAAGTCAGGGAGACCCACCAGCACCAGCATCACCAGCCCCAAGGCAATGCCCACCCCAATCACAGATAAATCCTCACTTGCATTTCCAATCACTTGCTATGTCATTTTGGACATTCAGTATGGTAGCCAATAGGACTCTTATTATCACTATTATTGAGTTATTATTTTTTTCAGGGCACACTGATGTTACCACTGTCAAAGCGTCTCTACTACCTCTGAAAAACACACCTATCTATTACCAAGGGACAAAAATGCAATGTCTCATGTGTGAAAGGCAAGTCCATTAACACTTAACCACTCCTGAGTATCCCATACAGCCAGTCTTACAACACTCACTCTCGGAATGGTCCCTGAAGTCTTTAAAGATGATTTAGAGCAACTTCATGATAGAGGACTCCAGTGGTCCTGATGACTTGTGCAAAGAGACCTGGGATGGCGAGAAAGGGAGCTTGAGAGAGAGTGATAAGATTAGTGGCTGTTGCACTAGATTTTATGATGTTCTAAGGGATGAGGTAGAAGAGAGGGACATCATGGTGAACAAATCCACAAACTGTGCTGCTGCTATCACAATGTTGAAAGATGAAGCTTCATTTCTGCACAGCTCCAGCACCCATAGGCTTCAAGGAAAAGCAGCTATGGTGGCACATTCAAGGACTCTGTGCTGTTCATGCCCAGCTCCTTGCCCTATCTGTGATCTACGTCCATGACATGACCTCTGTCACAAACTCCTGAAGTCCCATCAGTCCAGAGAAGACAGAACTACTCTTTCTTTCAGACTCCCACAGCATTTTTATGCACCCCTATTACCATAAACAGCACATGATACTGTAACTGCTGGTTTCATTGTCTCTGTCCCCACTGGGGTCAGGAATCATGTCTTCCTCATCACCTGTGCTAAGTAGGTGTTCAGTGACTGTTCACTGACTGATAACTGACTCATTCTTTTGCCAGATACCTGAGTGTTCCTGACCCCTGGCTCTTATTCCACAAAGGATCCTATCTCTCTGACAACCTGATTTCCAGAGACACCAAAGATCAGGCTACTCTTGAGCCTGGCCCTGGCCCTAAAAGCCTGGCTTTTAGGAAGCATGAGGGTTCCGACATGCATGTTTTACTGTGCTCCTGCACCCTGGGGATGTTTCTCCTTGTCCTACCTGGCTTCACCACCTCCACATTTGAGCACTGGTATGGTGGCTTGGACTGGCCTAGTGTCCCCCACCCTGCTCACATAGCCTGGGCCCAGTTTGCAGGGCCTCACAGGACAGGCACAGGGCTTGGTGTGAGATGGCAGGAGCTCATCTTCAGGTCCCCAGTATAGGAATAGTGTCATCTCTTGCAACTCACCTACCAATGCCACTCCTCAGTTTGCTCAACTGTAAATGGATGAAATGATACCAACCTGAGAGTTGTTCCAAGACCAGCAATGGAAGCAAACGTAAGAGCCCTTGAAAAGAGAAAGCTGTTTCATAAAAACAGTGTGTGGTTCAGACAGCCCCGCCTGCCACCACGGCAGAAAGCCAGAAAGCACCCGGATGTGTCACCCACACCACTGTTTGGCTAAGACTGACTCTACATGCTCTCTCCACCCCAGAGGACACCTCCGTCCAGGCAGGGGGATTGCTGGCAGGGTGCCGTCTACACTGACATCCTCAGACTGCAGAGATTCCCACAAGTGGGCTGGTCTGGGAGGAGAGGAAGATGTAGGTGTTTCTTAGGTATTGTCAAATAAGAGGATCAGCAGAATAGGAAGTGGCAGAGAGCAGAGACTGTCTGTGTTATTTCAAGATTGTGATCACATCTCACACGCTCTGCTGAGCCAGTGAACAAAACAGCCCTTGGAAAACTGGTGCTTGGCGTGGGCGGCGCTTGCCAACCCGCCGGCAACCCTGGCTCTGCTCCATTCACTCACCAGGAAAGCTGACCTCCCCTGAGGACATCCATTGCTGGCCTCCATGTCCTTGGGGATCCTAACACCCATCCATTCAATTCAACGTCTAGTGAACCTTTACCAAGGCCAAGCATGATGCTGATCCCTGCGAGAGCCCTAGGAAAGAAGCACCCACCATCCTTGCCCTCAATCACCTCCCAGTCATGAGCCATAGTTGAGAGTTATCTCAACTAACACTTCCAGCCAGTCACTATCCTGCTCAAGAACTTGCAATAGCTCCCTACTACGTTGGTATCAAGAATCAACTCCTCAGCCTGACTTTTAAGCACCCACACTCAACCTAGGCCCACTTTCTCTTGCTGACTGTAACATGAACCCTCAATCGCTACAGGTAAAATATCCTAATTGTGCCAGGACCTTCCTGTCTTGTCTGTCACCCTGTAGCTTATTATTATCTAAACCCTCAAGACTTACCTCAAATTCTATTAGCCTAATGCTATCTCTCTCTTTTTTTTTTTTTTTTTTTTTTTCTGAAGTCCAATTCCACTGATAGTAAGCCATGGTCTTGCACTAAATTATTCTCCAAATCTCTCTCTCTCTCATAAGGTTCTGAAGTGCAGAGATGATTCAATTAAACACAATTCAACAAATATTGACTGAACTCCCACCATCTTCCCCTGCCTGTATTTGTGGATGGGTTGACTGACAGGCTGATCCAGCCTCCAGGCTATTCTGGGCAGAGGGACAGCTTTCATGATAGGAAATTTAAACTGCAACCTCATGCAAACCTCCGCACTATGCCCTGCCTCATTGACCCCAGGACACCCCTGAAATCAAATGAAACCACAGCCCCTCCTCAGTGCCACCTTGAGAAACAGGAAACCATTTGTTCTCCCTGTATGAATACCTAGCATCCCAAAGGTCACACCTGAGCACAGCAGGAACCAGGTGTGGTAACGCCCAGACCAGTGCTCCACCCTCACCTGGCCAGGACTTCACAGAGTAGCTGGGGCCCCAGTGGCCGGTCCCTACTGGAGAGCAGGCTGAGCCCTGCGTGGGGGCAGCACAGCATCCTGCACTCACCACACCTCTTTCCTCACGTGCGGCTTCAGACCAACCCCATTTCTCAAACGCCTCCCTCCCCTGCCTACCTATGCGTTTGTTTCCTGCCTCTTCTTTCGCCACCCTCCCCCCATCACCAGGCCTTCCGTGGCAAGAGATGCTGGGAGAGGCTGCCGGCGGGGTTGCGGGCTGCTTGCTTTGCGCACGTTTGGCTATTGCCATCTAGTGGCCATAAGGCATAAACCCGTCCCCACTCCAGGCCTTGCAAATGCCCCTTTCCCCTTTTTAAAAAGTGTGGGAGAAAAAAAGCTCTCTTTTTCAACCCCAAAAGGTCCTAAAAACTACAAGCAAAGACTACCAGGAAGCTTCAGTGTTCTCCAGGGATCACTTGACTGCCTGCCGCCCTGCAGTCTTAGGATCTGGAGTGGAAAGGGCCCTTCCCACTCCAGTGCCAGCGCAGGCATCAGGGCTTTCTCTAAGCAGATTGGAGGGTTGCAAGGAAAGGGAGACAGAAGTAGAGAGTTAAGGGGAAAGAGGAGGAGAGGACGGGAGAAGGAGGAAGCAGTGAGGTGAGGAGAGATGAGGGAGTCATTGCAAACCCTGGGCCTACAGCAACAAAGACATAGGATGTGAGGCGCAGCGCGGGGGTCATAGGGGAGGGTGTAGCCCATTGTTGCTGAATGACCTGCAGGATCTGAGATAAGAAACCTGAGGCCTGCCTGGACCAAGAGGGAGAACAGCAAGGCTCTGACCTGAAGCCAGCATGGATGCCCTCAGAGCTGCCCCTCACCTTCGTAGGGAGGATGGGGCACGCAGGGCCCCTTTGCACAGCTGGCTACCTGCAGAGCTGACCTGCTCCCTGGAGGGGAACACACCCCCTTCTAAGTGATGTCATTCATCCCTGACTCTGCCTTCCATCTTTCACCAAAGCTGATCTCAGGGGCCAGACCATTCACCAGGGCTGAGAGCAAAGAGGACAGACCTTCGGCAGCCCCAGGGCAAAAGTGGGCTTCCACTCCTAGCCAGCCTGTCTCTGCCCCTCCCACCCTGCCTTCAAGCCTTCTAGCTTCATTTGGAAGAAATCTCTTCCTGCTGGAGGAAGAAGAAGAAAAAAACACCCAACCTGCAAGGATTTTACCCTTTGCTTCATCTCTTGAGAAAGCAACCAGTCCCCAGCCCTACCCCCTGGGCCACTACCCTCCATGTGCCACGTTAAGTGATGAGGATAGCTATTAAGTAAATTCATTACTGACTATTTCACATTAGATTCCATTTTTTTCCCTTTGACGCCAACACAACTAATAAAAATGCACTTTATCTTCTTGGATTTATGGGATCGTAAAGCTGCTTTCATGTACCTCCGGGAATTGGGATTAAAGGAGAATTAAACATCTCCAGTGCAAAGCCTGCTCAGGTAAAGAGAGTGGGGGAAGGAATCAGAGGGGCGGGGGGAGAGAAGGAGAAGAGTGATTCAAGGACAAGAAATAAACTGAAGTAAAAACCTGGCAAAAATATGGCTTTAATATATTGTAAAAGAATAAAAACCTCATAAAAAGTTATCACCAGACATGAGGAGTTCGTAATGTCGCCCATTGTGGATTCTGGGGCGGAACTTTCTGGGAGATGAGAGTCATTAAGTAAAAGTGAGCCTCGAGCTGGCGGTGAGATGCAGGGTGGAGGTGGGACAGAGCCACATTGAAGGGGGCCAGCCTAGAGGCAATGGGCCAGCAGGCACCTCCTGGGCCATCCCTCCCCTGATGGGAGAAAGCCTAGGCACAAGACACGGTGCTTCCCACCCCTCCCTCCACTGTCCCACAGAGCTCCGAGGTGATACCAGGGGCTGAAGAGGACAGATCTTCCCCCGGCTTTTACCAGCCAGCCGTGAGACTCCGATGACGTCCTTAGTCTCTCCGTTTCTTATTTTCTGTTAACCAGGGACAACACCCACTGGTTAGTTCCTCCCAAAGTGATTGCAAGAACAAGCTAGAACAGTCAAGGCAAGGGAAAGAGCTTTTTTAAATTTAAATCTGAGATTTTTGAGCCATTCTTGCCATATCCTTTTCTTCCTCCCCAAATCCAAGCCAGGACCTGTCCTTCCATTTCTCCCTCAAAAATCTACCTCTTCTCCTTCTCCTTTCCTCCCTCTCCAGCTCCCAGGCACAGACCCCTGTTGTTTCCACCTAGTCTGCTGCAATACATTCCTCGTTCACATCTTCCAGGTCCATCCTCCGCACAGCCCCTGGAAGGATCTCCCAGGACTTTGAGAGGCCGAGGCGGGTGGATCACCTGAGGTCAGGAGTTCAAGGCCATCCTGACCAACATGGTGAAACCCTGAATCCCTGTCTGTACTAAAAATACAAAAAATTAGCCATGAGTGGTGGCAGGCACCTGTAATCCCAGCTACTCGGGAGGCTGAGGCAGGAGAATCGCTTGAACCTGGGAGGCAGAGGTTGCAGTGAGCTGAGATTGGGCCAGTGAACTCCAGCCTGGGTGACAGAGCAGGACTCCGTCTCAAAAAAAAAAACAAAAAAAGCAAATCCAATTATGTTTTTTGCTTAAAACTCTTCAGGAGCTTCTCCCAGATCTAAGGATAAAATTTAGAATCCTTAAGCTGGTCTAAAAGGCCTCATCTAGCCAGGCTTATGTTCCCAAATGCTTCCTGATCTCCGGCCCTGCTTCCTGCCCTGGCACACCGAATTTTATTCCACTCCTGGGCCTTTAAAGCTCCCTGAGGCCTCCCCAGAAGCTGAGCAGATGCCAGCACCATGCCTGTACAGCCTGCAGAACTGTGAGCCAATTAAACCTCTTTCCTTTGTAAATTATCCAGTCCCGGGTATTTCTTTATAGCAATGCAAGAATGGCCTAATACAGTAAGGTCAGTGCCTGCTTATATGATGGGAAATCCAATTTTCACCCAGCGGACTCCTTCCCAGTATAAGGGTTTACGGATTCTCCGACTTTATCTGCAGTGATACTCATCCAGCCTTACTGCACACTTAATTGCTTTTGGACTTGTACCATGCCAAGCTCAGTTTTTCCTCTTCCCTTCGGCCTTTCCTTTAGGTGATTCACAACGTCTGAACTACTCTCCCCTACGTCTTCCCCCTTCCCTTCATGTGGATAATGCTGGCTCTCCATTTCAATGCCTCTTACTCTCAAATGTCTGCTACGGCTTGCAGACTAGGTTAAGTCTCCCTGCTAAATATTGTAATAGTTCCTTATATTTCTGCTCATTGTTCACTCAACAAATATTGATTTGCATTTATTTGAGCTACTAAGTGCCAAGTTTTGCCTGGATATCGGAGGTACATCAGTGAACAAAACAGACAAATATTTCTGAGCTTTTAGGAAGTACATGTTTTACACAAATGCACACACATACACACACACACACACAATGGATTGTAAGCTTCTCGGGAACATTACAAGTGCATTATATTTCTTAGTATTCATTAATTCATTCCTTCTCCATTCATAGAACGGATTTTGCTTAAATGTCTATTCTGCCATCAGACACTATGCTTAACTCTAAGGTGCTATTGGCAGAACAAATACACATGGTCCCTGCCCTTATGTATCATACCATGTAAGGTGAGCAATAGGTACTAAAAACGAAAACACAAATAAACAACAGGTGCTTCGAAGGGAATGGACAAGGGGCTTTAAGAGAGAATAACAGAAGAAGAGTCTAGTTGAGATTGTGTGGTCAGGGAAGGCTTCTCTGAAGAAATTACATGTAGGATGAATTTGGAAGGGAATCAGGAGGATGATAAGGAGCCAGTCGTGTAGACAGTGAGAGGAACAACATTGTGGGCAGAGGGAACAGCCCATGCGAATGTCCTGAGGCAGTAAAAAGCCAGCACATCTGTGGAACCAGAAGAAGGCCAGTGTGGCTGTAGATGGTGAGTGAGAGAAAGAATGGTAAGAATCAAGGTTGGGAGGGTAGTCAGGGGCCTGATCCTGCAGGGCTTTCTGAGTCATGATCAAGATTTTGGATTTTATCCTAAGTACAAAGGGAAGCCATTGGGATGTTTTAAGCAGTTGCTATGGAATATTTTAGAGCAGACATAGAAATGGGAAAACCAGTTAGAAGATTTTTGCAACAGGTAAAAGATGGTGATGTCTTGACCTAGGGTGATAGTGTTGGAGATGGGATATCTTTTTGGAGAGTGAATCCACATGCCTTGGGACTACCTTGGATGTCGTATTTTTACCAACTCGCACAGTGGATGTGCAATACAGAAGATTCAACAACCTTTATTTGCCTGTTGCCCATTAATGTGTGTAAGTGCCCATAAAAATGTCCTAATGTCCACCCTAATCCATCTTGTAGCATTTTATATTCATTTATTTGTGCCCTAGAATGATTAGTGATCTGAAGTGCTTTGGTAACTAGTGGGTGTATTTCCTCTACGTATGGACTCCACCTTCATTCTAAGTAATTTTGGATGCCCCTACACATTCCCTTGTAGCTGATGTCTGATTATTTTTCTCATGATCCCTAACAGTGTCATAGTGTTGCTCTGGGTGACCTCAGGGGTCAGAGACCTGGGACGATGTTGCCTTGAAGAACAAGTCAAAAGGAAGGGTGAATTGGATTCAGAGAAGAGACTGGGCTCCTGGAACCAGCTCAGCCTGTGGGAGCCTTTGTGATCTGAGATAAGCAGCACACCTACCTTTTAGATCCAAGCAGATCCCTGTGCTTCCTGGGGCTCTCGTTCATCCATCACCATGATTAAGGGCCTACTACGTGCATACACTTTCCAAGTGCTGTTGGTGCAATGATGAAAGAAAGAAAGCATCATTAAGGATAAAATACTTTGAAAGGCTAAATATGCGTGTAGAGATATGTCATCATAGCCATCTTAAGCCTGAGAGGTGCAGGGACAGCCTTGCCTTTTAGACCAGGAGCGCAGGCCTCCAGAGAGTGCTCATCTGTGAGCAACTGACTCTTCACATGACTTGCCTAGTCCCCCTCGCAGAAAGATCGAGGCTTTAAGGAAAATTTCTTAGCAATCAGCTCATGCGTGATTTATAAGTTTATGGTTCTAGGAGGCATCTGCACATTGGGGCATAGATCTCAGTAATTAATCCTAGGAGGTCCCTAATGACAGAGGAGATTGTTCTGTGTGAAAGTTGCTTTAATACTAAACAGCTTGTGTTATCTAACAAATGAGAACATTTCACACCCAATAAACGTCACTTTTGATAAGTGCTACTAGCGGTCGTAAATCTGATAAATAACACAGGCAAGATCTCCCACACACTTGCCCTTCCCTGACATCTTCCACTGGGCTCCCTTGTGCTCTAAGCCTTTGGGAAAGAGCTGGGCCAGAGCCTACCTCCGTCCTCACGCTAACCCCTCAGACTCCTAGCCAGCGGCTCCATCCTGCCGGCACCACAGTGCCTGCATCCAAGTAGGAGCTCTGCAGTTTCCAGGTGAATTTGGATCATTCTAAGTGCAAAAGTGGATGATTCAAACAAATAAATACGGCAAAACAAAACAAAACTCCCATGTCCCTGCCATATCAGTTCTCTTATTCAGGACACATGAGAGACTGGGGGGAGTTGGTTTAAATGGTAACGATCATCCCAGCTCATCATCAAAAAGTATTTAAGTGATTAAATGTGCTTTACTGAATCAAGGAAACTGCAAAGATCCAATCTGTCCCCTCTAGGCTAACGGTGGATCTATCCTCCTTGCTAAGTGAGAACACGTTTATCTTGTACATCGCTGCCTCTCAATTACATGAGTGAGCCTATATAACTGTGGGAGGAGAGAGGTTTCTTAGTTCCATCACTCCGGGATGGACGCAGCCACCAAATTAAACCAAAATTGAAAGGAATTGTGAAAGGAGAAGAGTCCTATGTGATGGCAACTATATAACATCTTGAAAAGGGCAAAATTATGGAGACAGTAAAAAGATGAGTGGCTGTCAGGGGCTAGGAGGGTGGAGGGAATAGAGACGAATAGGCAGTAAATGGAGGACAGGAGTTTTTAGGGCAGTGAAACTATTCTTATGATACAGTCATGGTGGATACATTTAATAATAACAAGTCGATATTGGCTCATCAATTGTACCAAATGGATCACACTAAAGCAAGACGTTAATAACAAGGGGAGCTTGGTCGGGGGTCCGGAGGGGTATATCAGAACTCTCTGTATTTTGGGTTATGGTTTTTTGTAAACCTAAAACTGCTCTAAAAGATACATTCTCTATTGAGAGAAAGAGAGAGAGCTGTCTAGTAGCTCCTGGGCTCAAGACCACAGATTTCTTGAAATTCTTGAAATTACCTACAGGTTTACCTTTGGAAGCACTGACCTCAATCAGTGCAGGATGCGAGCTTACATTGACAATAGATGAGGGAGATCCAGATGGTTCACAGGTGGCTTTTGACAGGTCATCTCCTGACCCACTGACCACTCTCTCCATTTCCTCCCTCCGCTTGCATCTGTTCACACCTTAAGTGTTATATTTCCCCTGCTAGCATGTTAGCTCTGTGAGAGCAAAATAGAGGTTGTATATTTTGGCCGGCCACAGTGGCTCACTCCTGTAATCACAGCACTTTGGCAGGCCAAGGCACAAGGATCACTTGAGGTCAGGAGTTCAAGATCAGTCTGACCAACATGGTGAAAACCCATCTCTACTAAAAATACAAAAATTAGCAAGGCTTGGTGGCACACGCCTGTAATCCCAGCTACTCTTTTGACTGCGGCAGGAGAAATGTTTGAACCTGAGAGGCAGAGGTTGCAGTGAGCCGAGATCACACCACTGCACTTCAGCCTGAGTGACAGAGTGAGACTCCATCTCAAAAAATAAATAAGTAAATAAATAAAACCAAACAAACAAACAATAGACTTTGTAAATTTTTATTAACCACTCTATCTATAGTGCTTGGATCTGTGCATGGAACACAGTAGTTACTAAAAAATTTGTTGAACTAAGGAATAAATAAATATAATCACATACCCACCTATTCAACAGGCATCTCTCATGGTCTTCTGATGCCCTATTCCAGGAGCTGTGGAGATAGTGAACTTGTATAAAACATGGGCTTGTCTTTAAGGGGCTTATAGTCGACTAGAAAGAAACCATCTGATTTGCAAGTTGCAGTTTCAGGCAATTCCTAATAAACATTCTAGGAGGTACAGTCTAGGTGGATCTATCCCAACATCATGATATACATGTAACAGCATAGAATACCTAAGACGGGATCTGGTAAATGGTAGGCTTTGTAAATGTTTAACAATTCCCCCTTCTTAAAAATATCTAGTACTAAATTTACTCTCACATCCTACTTCCTGCCTGGCACAGTGGCTCATACCTATAATCCCAACACTTTCAAAGGCCAAGGCAGGAGGATCACTTGAGCCCAGGAGTTTGAGAGGAGCTTGGGCAATATGACAAGACACTGTCATTTTTTTAAAAATCAGCCAGGCATGTTGAAACATGCCTATAGTCCCAGTTACTAAGGAGTCTGAGACAGGAAGACTGCTTGAGCCCAGGAGTTAGAGGCTGAAGTGAGTCATGATCATGTCACTATATTCCAACCTGGACAACAGAAGGAGACCCTATCTCAAAAACAAACAAAACAAAATTTCCTTCCATTTTCATGACAGTATTGCACCATCTAATGCTACCTATGGGCCACTTGGCCCCACTCTCGATAAATAATAACAAAACTTTTTAATTGTACACAGGCTTACTATTATTAACATACATAAATAGATATATAAATTAGTACTACATCTCTGGAAATCAAGGGCTGGAGTACCAATCAATCAAATCAAATCAATACATATATACAATACATATAAATATAATATAAATATATTTTGTATTACATTATTATATACAATATATAGTATATAAATGCATGTATATATATTTACATATGTGTATATG
This sequence comes from Homo sapiens, assembly GCF_000001405.40. Classification (NCBI taxonomy): domain Eukaryota; kingdom Metazoa; phylum Chordata; class Mammalia; order Primates; family Hominidae; genus Homo; species Homo sapiens. The sequence goes on along the minus strand of NC_000008.11, from coordinate 20,427,774 downwards.
TACATATAATAAACAATATATGTAAATTGGTACTCCAGCCCTGAAAATTAAGACTCGTAGGAAATTACCTAACTGAAATTTCTAACTATTTCAAGAGAGCAAGGGGAATGAAGATTTGTAGGGTGACTAGAGTGTCAGGCTCTGTGCCAAATGCTTCATGAAGTTATCTTGGGTTTTGTTCACAATGAGAAAGTAGACGGGAGCTGTAGCTCCAAGCTGCTGAAGAGGGGCTGGAGCTCTGAGAGATTATGACACTTCTCTGTGAGAATGTCTTAGTCAGTTTTATGCTGCTATAACATAATGTTTTGGACTGGGTAGTTTATAAAGAACAGATTTTTTTTTTTCTTACAGTTCTGGAGGTTGGGAAATCCAAGACTGAGAGGGGGGCATCTTGAGAGGACCTTCTTGCTGCATCTTCCATGGAGGAAGGTATCTCATGGGGCGAGAGACAGAAAAGGAAAAGGACCAAATCGTTCCTCATTCTTTTTATCAGGAACCCACTCCCATCATCACAGCATTACTCCATTCATGAGGGCAAGCCCTTGTGACCTAATCATCTCTTACAGGTCTTACCTCTCAACAGTGTTATGTTGGGAATTAAGTTTCTGACACATGAACTTTGGAGGACACATTCAAACCATACCAGATAATAATTCTAGTTTATAATAATTCTAGTTTATCTACCAGATAAACTAGAATTATTCTGGTCATCTTAATAATTCTTAATTACCTACCAGATAAACTAGAATTAAAATCCAGGTCACTGATTGCAAAGACTAGATTATTTCCAGAGACCAGCTTATTGGAAGACTAGAAGTCTCGAATTCTAGGAGTTTCAAGACTTCTGTGGATGAAGGATTAGAATTTGAATTGCACGCCAGCAGTAATTTAATAAAAGTCATACTCTTACTTCCTTTCTACCTGATAGAATGTGCTCAGTGTCCCATCAAACTGCCCCTAAGTCCTTTCTGTGTGCTAGGCACTTTAAATGTACTATCTCACTTAATTTTCATAACATTTCTGTGACCTTGAGAGTATTTTTATCCCCATTTTACAGATAATTACTTGAGGTTTAGAAAGGCTAATTAACTTGCCTAACTTCATACAGTTTAGGAAAAGGCTAAATTGCCATTGGACCCAGATTATTTGACTTTGGCACCCAGAAACTGAATCCTCCACAGAGAATGATTTTTCTCAAGGTCTCAGGTTTCTGCTAGGCAGGGAAAGTCCTTCCCTTGGTTTAATCTCAATATTCCTTGCTGCAATAGCAGGTCATTTTCTTTCTAGCCCTTCTGTGTAGAGCCAAGAATAACTACTGAAGTCAGGTTTAATGTCATTCATCTGTGCCAGGCTTAGAACCTGACCCACTAGCCATTTTCAGTCTTCGAAGAAGAATCAAGTCAGGTTATTAACACGGGGAGACAATTGCCTTTTATTTCATTCCTCCTTTCTTATTCTAAAAAGGAAGAGTAATGAGTTAGCTTCTGTTGTCAGAATATCAACAAGCGCACTTTCTGGCAGTTGGTTCATAAGGAGATTTTTCTTGTAATTGGAGTTTCAGAAGCTCACCCGGCATCAATGGCATCCACCATATAAATTAGCCTCTTCTCTACGCTTACAGATTTTATCCTAATTATTGCAGCTAATACGAATGCAGCCTGGCCAACTTCACTGAAAACCAAGCCATAGCAGGGGCTCTGTGACCCTGGGGAAGGACAGGGCAGGCCCTAGAGCCCTGCAGTCTGGCAGTGTCCCTGTGCTTTGCCGGAGCCCACCCAGCACAGAGTGTTAACACGGGCTCCCCACAGGCTTCTCTATGAACCCTCAGGGGTCTTCTTCCCTCTAGCTCTAGCCCGTGGCTTTTGGACCCAGAAGACAACCGGCTCCCCCAGACTTTCCACAGCACTGCAGGGCATACTCCAGCCCCATCCTCTGCCTTACTTACCCCCACGAGGAACCTGGAAAGGGGCAACTTGCTATCTCTACTGTCCCAGACCTTTGGCTCCCCAGCCACCCTGAGAGCTGCCAGCAACTTCCTTTCTTCCCAGTGCCAGTTGTCCTAAGGGGAGATGCAATTCTGAAGCGCACGCAGTGATGTGTCTCACCAAGGGAGGACGCTGGCTCGGACAGCCCTGACCAAAGCAATGGTCTGGCTCAGAATCAGGTGTGGGCAACAATGGGACAAGAAGCACCCATGAAGGAAAGACAAGCACTGAGAAACCCTTTCGTAACCCCGGGAGCAGAGTCCTCCAGTCCTCAGGCAGCCAGGCAGGGAATGCACATCCTAAAATGTCAGTGCTGGAAAGAAATCGAAAGAGCATCTCATCCAACCTGCGCCTTACACAGAGAAGAGACCTTAGGCAAGAACGTGTTGTGAAGCAGCAGGTCATGCCGTTTAGCAGAGGAATCGGGCCTCCTGAGTCCACAGCTGGGGCTCTCTTCTCTGTTTTACAAAGCCACAGAGACAGGACCTGGCAAGGACACCTGTGCCCACCGCCCCCACGGACAATTAGCATCCTCCTCGGATGTACTGGAGCCCAAGTCCCCTGCTTCCCAGTTCCCTGTGCTTCCTAACTTCTCTCTACGGAGATTATTTCTTCCTCCCTGCTCTTGTTTTCATATAAAAAGCTGAAATCTAGGTTGGGGAATTGGCTTCCCTGGATTTTCCTCAGGAGATAAAATTGCTTTCAGGCTTGGCTCTCTTGAGCCGATCTGACCCTTTCACTAACTTGTTTTTAGCATGAGGCTTGGGAGAGGCGATTTTGAAAGCAAGAAAGTAAGTCTTCCCAGAGCCCATTCTCTCTCTCTCTGTCTCTCTCTTTCTCTCTCTCTCTCTTTCTCTCTGTCTATCTCTGTCTTCACATGGGCTCGATTTTGGCTTTCTATCCACCCTCAAATCCATTTCAAACAGCTTAAGACCCATACTGGGAGCAATGAAGTTCTTGCTAACAAATGCCACTCTGGCTTTTTCGTTCACCTGTGAAGGGAAGGAGGCCCTTCCTGTTTGTATTCCAGCCGTTGTGTTGTCTCATTATGTAAACTTCCCGGTTTGTTAATAGTTTTAGTATCCTTCCGATGCATTTAAAACCTGGGCGATGGAATAAAGGTGGGTGAGGATAGGCTCTGGGCTGATGCAAATTGAAACTGAAAAGATATTAGGCTGAAAGTGTTAGGAAGAATATAAGAAAAATCTGCTGCATAAATGGAGGCAGTGCTGCTCTGCCAGGAATGCTACTATTACCAAAGTGAAAGCACGTATGTGAATTTTAGTGCTGGGTAGCGGCATTAGCCCAGTAGCGTCTTTTCTCAGAAGGGCTGGATTCTTCAACACAGCTAACATCACTGAGCACTTACTATGTTGTAGGAAGTGCTAAGTGCTTCACAAGCACTATTTCCAGGATAAAATCCCTATCATGGAGGTGCTGTTATTATGCCCATTTCACAGATAAATTAACTGAGGCTTGGAGATGTTTTGAAATGTCGTGTGGCTCACAGAGCTAACAAACAGGATGTCCAGAATTTAAGAACCCAGGCATCCTGACAAGACAGGCCAAATCCTGACTCACTTTTCTTGATCTGTTTGCTTTCTTTAAATAAACCTCCTGCCAAAGTACCTGTGAAAAAGCTGAGGAAGATGTTATGGACCTAGAATAGGTCCTGGGTCTTCAGCCAACAGGAAGAAATGAACCAAAAGAGATGCATATTTTGTCCTTTAGTTTTGAGCCTTAGGCTCTGGTTCCATCTCTGCCCTCTCTACTAGTTTGTTTCCATGTATGCAAAAGGAGAGGGCCAGTTGGAAGGTCTCCCTTGTGTCCCTGACAGTTTCCACGGATGGTCTGTGGGGAGAGGTACGGGAACAACACGGAGACAGGAGCATGGAGCTGGCTCTGCAGACCTGCAGCACCGCCCCAGCCCTTCCTTCAGCTGTCTCCAATGAACAGGAATTCTCCACTAAAATCAGCTAAGTGGAAGGAAAGAGTTTCTCCTACTTCACTGATTAAAAAATACTAAAATGTAGAAAGCTTTCAGGTAACAGGGCTTCTTTTCTTTCACACATGTTGTTGATGAATTCTGTGTTTTCCAACAACAGCTGTACCATATCACTCAAAGTGCAGATGGAGGGACAAGGCCGGGAAAACACGTTTCGGGGGTCTGATGATTCATGCTTTGTTCTCCTGGTTGCCCTAATGTCAGAGAAGCTCTGGTGGGTGTCTAAAGCCTGGTAGAAGAGCAGTAGCTACCCAGGACCTCTTAATCTTCTGAATGCATATTCTTATGAATCTCATGGCAATGGCACCTAGCCAGTTTGCATAGAACAGGGACTTGCTGGACAAAGCAGCTGTTGTGCTGGTAACAACAAGGAGACTTCATAACGACACCGGAACCAGACAGTGGTGCTCCGCAGTGGACAGGCCACAAAAGGCCCACTGTTGTGTGCTGCTTCCTAGGAGCCTCCAGAAGATGGAATGTCTGGTGACCTGATTTCCTAGCATATACGAGCTGTATGTTTGAGACTGGCTCTAGGGAGGTAAAAGGAGATGTGTGGCCTCTGGATGGAAGGTCTGCTCTTCAGGCCAGTGTTTCTCACTGGAGATGATGGGAACCACGAGCTTTTGTCTAGGCTTTCATGGAATTGCTGGTCTGTTGACTTCACCAGCAGAGTAGACAAGCCTCTTTTGCCAGTGTAATGGAAGCACTGCAACCCCACCCACCCCACCCCACCCCCTTCCTGGGAGGCGGAGGGTCTCACCAGGTGGAAGAGCATAATGCAGTGTAAGGAAAGACCTCTTCCAGGAGCAGAGAGAGCTGAGGGGCTCCAAGGTAAAGAGAGGAATGGAGGAGTGGGCACCCGAGCACATCACAGGGTAACTATAGGATTCACTGAGATCCGCTCACTTGTTTGTCCATTCATTCATTGATTCTTTCACTCAGCATCTCCTACACTGTGCCACTCTGTGAAAGGTTCCAGGGCCACTGCAGGAACTAATGCAGACACCGCAGCCCCCATTCTCATAAAACTCACAGTCCGAATGGAAGCACAGACAGCCAAGAGGAAAACCGCAGCAAACAGTGAAGCCCGTTGAGACGAGGGCAGAAAGGGGACCTGGAGTGGGTGATGCTGCTGCCTACCCCCAAGGGATGCTCATTAGGAAGACACAGTCGAAACTGGGGCTGGAGGAAATGGGGTCATGTGGCCTCCGGACGGGAGGGCTGCACTTGAGGCCAGTGCAGGAATCACTTCTCACTCCCCTCAATTCATTTCTCCAATGTCTCTTGACCACATCAGCCATTATTTTTGTCCCCAGCACACTGGACTCCTTCCTATTCCTCACACACGCCAGGTAATCTGTGACTGGGAGCCTTTGTGCCTGCTGTTCTCTCTGCCTGGAATACGCTCCCCCAGACATCAGGGTGGTTTGCCCCCATCTTCCCCAGGTCCTGGCACAAATCTCTCCTCTGTGAGGCCTTCCTGGACAGCCTGTGTCAACTGCAGGGAATAATTAGACATACTGCAATGTGGATGAACTTTGAGGACATCATGCCAGGTGAAAGAAGCCAAACACGAAAGGATTTATACTGCATGATCCCATTTATAGGAAGTACCTGGAGGAGTCAGATTCATAGAAACTGGAAGTAGAGTGGTGACCCCTAGGGGCTGGAGGAGGTGGAGGGAGGAATGTTACTGTTTCATAGGTAGATTTTTAGTTTGGGATAATGAAAAAGATTCTAGAAATGAAGGGTGTGGATGGTTGCATAACAATGTGAATGTGCTTAATGCCACTGTACATGTAAAAATGGTGAAGGTAGGCCCAGGGCGGTGGCTCACGCCTATAATCCCAGCACTTTGGGAGGCCAAGGCAGGTGGCTCACCTGAGGTCAGGAGTTCAAGACCAGCCTGACCAATATGATGAAACCCCATTTCTACTAAAAATATAAAAATTAGTCAGGCGTGGTGGTGTGCACCTGTAATCCCAGCTACTTGGGAGGCTGAGACAGGAGAATCACTTGAACCCGGGAGGTGGACGTTGCAGTGAGCCAAGATCGCACCATTGCACTCCAGCCTGAGCAACAAGAGCAAATCCCTGTCTCAAAAAAAAAAAAAAATGGTTAAGGTGGCAGCCAGGTGCAGTGGTTCACACCTGTAATCCTGTCAGTTTGGGAGGCCAAGGCATGAGCATGACTTGAGGTCACGGGCTCAACACGAGCCTGGGCAGCATATGGAGACCTTGTTTCTATGAAAAAAAGAAAAAATTAATTAGCCAGTCATGGTGGCATGCTCCTGTAGTTCCAGCTACTTAGGAGGCTGAGGTGGGTGGCTCACTGGAGCTCTGGAGATGGAGGCTACAGTGAGCTATGATCACACCACTGCCCTTTAGCCTGGATGATAGAATAAGACCCTGACTTTAAAAAAAAAATTAAGTTTAGGTGGTAAATTTTTTGGTTATGTGTATTTTACCACAATAAAAAATGCTGCATAAAAAAGTAATAAGTAGGAGTGAACCTTGAAAAGGACTGAGTGGATGACAATGTGGACATGACGGGAAGGAAAGGAGAAGGGGTTCCGGCACTGGGAACACCATGATCCCAGGGCTGGAGGCCAGAGACTGGGCACACTTGTGGCTTTGTTCTATTCTCTTCTACTCTGGCTAGCTGAGAACAGGGTTGGCCAGGGAAGAAAAGTTTAGGTCTAGAAATGAGGCATAAAATTGAACTGAGGCCAGATCCATAACCTTGCTGTGGAGTGTGGACTTCTTCCTCCATCAAATGGGTAAATGCTGAAGAACATTTATCAAGAATGTGAAATGATCAGATTTACATTATTTGAAGACCACTTAGGCAAATGAGCTGAAGCAGGGCATGAAGAGTGGGGAGGCCAGTGAGGAGGCCTCTGCAGAAGTCGTGGCAAGAGACAGTGACGGCAAGGACTCATGTGGATCCAGAGAAGGTGGAGACTCAGATCTGGGCTCAGTCGGTGTTTAGGAGACAGAATGAATCACCTATGTGATATATCAGATATGAGGTGTGAGACGGGGGGAGGAGCCCATGTTTCTCCCATGGACCTGAGTTACATGGCAACGCCATTCCCGGAGCCCAGACAAAGAAGAAAGACAGACACATGGCAGGATCAGTGTTGAAGTCCCAGGGTTGTTATCCCTGGGGAAATGGCTTGTAAGTCTGGTCACAGTGGCAGGTGGTTCTAGGAGAGAATTACAGGCTGGAGACAAATATTAGAATGATCAATAGAGACAGATAGAGATAGGTAATAGAAATAGAATTGGAGATATACAAACAGTGAAGGGAGGCCTGAGATAAATGAGCCCATCCTGGGGTGGGGGAATAAGCTGTAGACCACCCCTCAGGGATGGGCCTCAGCACAGACCACCAGGAAAACGGTCAGCTGCAGGTGCACTCATCCCTGCCCAGGTATACAATATGCTCTTATATCCTGCTCCTGGCCTATGCGGTTTGACAGACTCAAAGGCATGCTAGCCTTTGAAACAGGATACTTTCTCTCTTCAGATGAGCAGTTGTCTTAGTTTCTACAGGGTGCTATAATAGAATACTAGAGACTGTGTGGTTTAAACAATAGTAATTAATTTCTCATAGTTCTGGAGGCTGGGAAGTCCAAGATCAAGGTGCCAGCGAGGTGGGTTTCATTCCGAGGACTCTTCTCTTGGCTTGTGGGTTGCCACCATCCCTGTGTGTCCATGTGACCTCTTATTTGTGTGAAAAGGAGAGAGATAAAAAGAGAGAGAGTGAGAGAGCGCTTGTGTCTTTGACTCCATCATAAACTCACCCTCAGGGCCGCATTGAAACCTAATTACCTCTCCAAAGCCCCACCTTCAAATACCGTCCTATTAGGGGTTAGGGCTTCAACATAAGCATTTTGGAGGAACACAGTTCTGTTCACAGCATCAGTATTTCCTCTCCCTCTCACATCAGAAGAACTTTTATTTTTTTACATTGGTTGAGTTCTTTTCTGTGAAGCAGCTGATGTACTTTCCCACTGAAGTCATCCCTATCCCAACACACACTCAGACACCCCCTTCTATGCACACAGTGTGTGGACATCCCCAAAACCAAGTACAAGAACGTAAAACTATGTTTCCCTAGAGAATCAGGGGAAACAATGGTGGCTTGGAATTCACAGGGTTCCCAGAGTCAAAACATTGTCTCATACAGGGGTCCTCACCCCCAGGCAACAGACCAGTACCAGTCAGTGGCCTGTTAGGAACCAGGCTGCACAGCAGGAGGTGAGTGGCAGGCCAGCGAGCATTACTGCCTGAGCTTCACCTCCTGTCAGATCAGTGGTGGCATTAAATTCTCATAGGAGCTGAACCCTATTGTGAACTGCACATGCAAAGGATGTAGGCTGTGAGCTTCTTATGAGAACCTAATGACTGATCTGAGTTGGAACAGTTTCATCCCAAAACCATCCCCCACCCCCCATCCATGGAAAAACTGTCTTCCACAAAACCAGTCCCTGGTGCCAAAAAGGTTGGGAACCGCTGGTCTTACGGTAGCAAAGTCTTGCAGCCTTGGGTGAGAAGCCAGGGTTGAGAAGACGGAAAAGCTGAGGCAAGAGGAAGAAAGAGCCCTAACCTTGTACAGACCCAACCATGACTTGAAATCCTAATTCTGCCATTTACACCCTTAATAGCTCCGTGTTCCGGGTTTCTTATGAAAAAATAGGAATCAGCATGTGTCTTAGTCTGTTCAGGCTGCTATTACAAAGTACTCTCAACTGGGTGACTTGTAAACAACAAAAATTGTATTCTCACAGTTCTGGAGGATGGGAAGTCCAAGATCCAGGCATCAGCAGACTGGGCGTCTGGTGAGGGCTCATGTCCTCATAGATGACATCTTCTTACTATGTCCCCACATGCCGGAAGGGGCCAGGGGTCTCTCTGAAGCCTTTCATAAGGACACTAATCCCATTCATGAGGTCTCTGCCTCCATGATCTAATCATCTCCCAGAGTCTGCACCTCTTAATACCATCATCTTGAGGGACAGGACTTCAATATTTGAATTTCGGTGGAGACATAAACATTCAGACCACAGCACTATTGTTTCCTCATATAAACACAATTAGACGTGAAGGAGAAAATGGAAGTATATGCAAAAGTGCAGTGCCTGAGCCTTCTCAAGTTCATTCAGCAATTCATTCAGTAAATATTTGCTGCACATGTAGTAAGTGCCAGGCACCAAGGACGCCCTGATCCAAGCCAGCATCAACATACTTATATTCTAGAGAAATTCAATAAGGTTTTTTTAAGAGGCAGGTTCTTGCTCTGTCACCCAGACTGCAGTGCATTGGTGCGATCATAGCTCACTGCAGTCTCAAATTCCTGAGCTCAAATGATCCTCCTGCCTCGGCCTCCTGAGTAGCTGGGACTAAACATTCTGTACACCACCATGCTCAGCTAACATTTTTTATTATTTTTTGTAGAGACAGGGTCTCATTATGTTGCCCAGGCTGGTCTCAAACTCCTGGCCTCAAGCGATCTTCCCTCCTTGACTTCCCAAAGTGCTGGGATAACAGGTATAAGCCATGATGCCCAGCAAAGGTTTTCTTTATCTTCCTTAGAGTGTAAAGAAGTCACTGGTTTGTTTCAGGCCAGTTTCCATGGTCCCAAATAAAAGTGTGACCTTGGGAGCAATGTGTCATGTACATCACGTAATCCAACCTTTGCTTTCTGGGTGCTCCAGGGTTGATCCTTACACTGACCCTAGACTCCAATGAACTCCTTCTCAGCCTCCTTACCATGCAAGAAGGCTGACATTTTTCTGATCACCATCTGTCCCAGGGCACCCAAATCTCTAACTTCTTGGCCTGTCCCACCTCCTTTCTTCAAAGCCTGACTAGCTGATTGAATTAATCTACTTATTATATTGCAGCCTCCCTGAGGCCAGGGAGTTTTGTGCAATGTATTCACTTCTATTTCCCTAGTAGCTAGTTCTGAGCATGAGGCAGGCACCCAAAGAACGCTCAAATCACCGAGTGTTCCTCCCATGTCAAGACACTGGATAGCTGAGAACAGCTCAGCTTGTGGAAGGTCTGCCTTCAACAGGAGAATGTATGAACCGAGCTGTCAGTGCTGGGATCGGACCATTAGCCAGAGGTAGTGTATGGAAAGGGAGCCTCCGACCCCTGCCAGACACAGCTGCTGCTCCCCCTGTGCAAAACACCTGTCTGTGTGCCTGGGCTGAGCCAGCCATGGTGAAGGCAAAGCAGCACCCATGAGAATCAGAAGGTTTTTTTTTTTGTTTTTTTGGTTTTCGTTTTTTTTTTTTTTTGAGACAGAGTCTTGCTCTGTCACCCAGGCTGGAGTGCAGTGGCGTGACCTCGGCTCACTGCAAGCTCCGCCTCCTGGGTTCACACCATTCTCCTGTCTCAGCCTCCCAAGTAGCTGGGACTACAGGCACTCACCACCACGCTTGGCTAATTTTTTTGTATTTTTGGTAGAGACGAGGTTTCACCGTGTTAGCCAGGATGGTCACGATCTCCTGACCTTGTGATCCACCCATCTCGGCCTCCCAAAGTGTTGGGATTACAGGCATGAGCCACCGCGCCTGGCTGAGAATCAGAAGGTTTGAAAGCAATCTCTTCTCCCCACGCCTCCTCCTTGCTTCACTTAACCAAAAAAAAATAACCATGATATGGATAAGAGTCCATGAGGCTCCAAGATGTGCTCTCTGCTTTCCGTATACTTCTCGGGAGACACCACCATCACTCTCCTGGACAATTAGAGCTCACTCTGGAAGGGCAGGGACTGGAGAGCAGGAGTGAGGCTGACCTTCTATGCACTGGGTAGAAATCCAGTTCTCCCACCAACTGCCCATGTGTCCTGGAGCAACCCACCACTGCTCTTGGCCTCAGTTTCCTCAAATGTAATGAGAAACCAAAGGGCTTCTCTGAGAATTAAATGAATGTGATCACATGTTTGATGGCGAAGATGAAGTTTGACAGCCAGAATCACACCAGGCTCAATCAGTGTGTGCTTCTGTCCATGTGCCAGGCAGATGGAAAGTGTTCAATCTAGAGGAAGTCTAGAACTATAATTTTTTGCAAAATTATCTTGTTGGTATTTGACCCTGTCTATACTGCTAGGTCAATAGAATACAGAATCTAGGACAGTTGTATTTTTGTCTAGCGTAGAATAGGTATTTAATACATACATTAAAGAATTAAATGAATGAACTAACTTTATCTTTCGCTACTCTGTCACCCAGACTCTTAGACCCAGAAACACAGCCTTCATACTGTTCCACATTCATATCTAGCTCAACTACCACCATGATACCATTTCCTATGAACCAAACAGTAAGTATGTAATATTCCTCTATGTTGTGTTCAGTACCATTTGGGGGCCCGTGGGAAATAAAAAAGAAAAAGAAAATATAACCCTATCCCCCATGGAATTTATAATATGTTTGGGGTGGGGAATGACATCTACCCAAGATAAATGTCAAGTGGACAGGGCGAACAATAAGTGTTGGAGGAGGAGAACCGGGGTGAATGAGGTTTCTTGAAGGTTGGAGTATTTGAACTGGGTCTGGAAGGATGTATGGCTTCAGGTTCCCCAAGGAAATATCACCTTCATATGAGACTTTTTCTTCCATCACCAGTTGCCCCTGACACAGGTGAAGCTTGTTGCCTTTAAATATAAAGCCAAGTGGTGCAATTTAGAATAATACACAAGTTTGAATTAAGCATTATGGCAGACGATTAATTGCCTGCTCAGTATCTGTTGTTGTCTTCTCTTTGACAGAATCTCAAACCTGTTTGAGGGTGGCAGTGCACCCAAGTAAAAACACTCAATTTCCAACTCTATCCCAGGCAAGGGTGTCTATGTAACCCAGAACTAGATGATGAGATAAAGCAGAAGTTAGCAGGTGGGGCTTTTAAGCAAGGGTAATATTAAAAATAAATAAATAACCACCAATTATAAAAGATGCCAGATATGAACTATGGGTAAACATAGCCCGCTTCAAGGAAAGGAACAGGCTCAGTGTCATCTGCTCTGCCAATTTGCCCTCTCCCTTCTTACCACCTGGAACGTGATCCGATGCCTGAAGGCACAGCAGCCACCCTGCAATGGAAAATAAAAGCTAAAGATATGAAAGATGATGAAGCAGGAAGAGAGAGAAGGGGTCTGAGCCTTCAGTGGCCTATTTGAGCAGCTGCACGTGAGGACCACCTATTTCCAAAGCTCATGTCGCACTGCATAAATTGACCCCTTATTTACGAAGGCCTCTCTTAGGTTTTCTGTTGCTTGCACCCGAATGGAATCCTAGATTTCAGTGCCATGTTTAAAGTCTAAGAGTGTGACCAGCTTTTAATATATACATAGGAAAAGGATTTGAGTCTTACTTGGTATTTGAGCTGTTCAGCCTTTTGATGCCTAGCTTGTCTCACTAAGAATAATCCCAACCACCAGATGACTACAGAATAGATGACCTGATAGGGTTCGGCATATACCTAGTTTATGTTGTTACTGCTGCATCTTCTAAGTTCCACTGACAAGTGTGCCGTCTCGTCCAATGAAACAAGAAAGGATGTTACTTCACTGGTGAGCTGCAGGTTTTCAAGATGAAATACTCTTCTCTAACTGTCAAGGTGTGCTGCACCTTGCCTAGAGTGCTGAGAAATTATAACTCAGAACTTTCTTCTTTGGTTAGAAACCTGTTTTCTTCTCCACTTGGTCTTCAGAGGCCAGGAGGTAGCTTGCTTTGACTTACTTGTATTCTGCCCAATCTTTGTGAGTCTGTGTCTCATGGAAACGTCCACGCAAATGGAGGTAGACCAACCCAGTTATAGAAAAGGAAAAAGACATTTTAGGGGACAGTGGCCAAAGGCATAGACATAGAAAACTTAGGTCTGTGCATATGTGCCACATTTTCTTAATCCAGTCTATCATTGTTGGACATTTGGCTTGGTTCCAAGTCTTTGCTATTGTGAATAGTGCCACAATAAATATACGTGTGCATGTGTCTTTATAGCAGCATGATTTACAATCCTGGAATACTATGCAGCCATAAAAAATGATGAGTTCATGTCCTTTTTAGGGACATGGATGAAGCTGGAAACCATTATTCTCAGCAAACTATCGCAAGGACAAAAAACCAAACACCGCATGTTCTCATTCATAGGTGGGAATTGAACAATGAGAACACATGGACACAGGAAGGGGAACATCACACACTGGTGCCTGTTGTGGGGTGGGGGGAGAGGGGAGGGATAGCAATAGGAGATATACCTAATGTTAAATGACGAGTTAATGGGTGCAGCACACCAACATGGCACATGTATACATATGTAACTAACCTGCACGTTGTGCACATGTACCCTAAAACTTAAATTATAATAAAAAAGGAAAAGAAAACTTAGGTCTGTGCATGGGAGCTTGAGTAGAACAGTCTTGCTAGGGTGAGAAGTACACTTCTAGGATCTTTGAGAAAGAAGCTGAGAAGATAAGCTAGAACTAGATTGTTGGGTGCTAGGCTGAAAAGACTGAGCGTTATCACACAGTAAGGAAAGAAACAACTTAGAATTGTAGAGTTCTATTCAGGTTTCAAAACATTTTCACCTATTTAAGTCCTCTTGATCTTCAAGATCCCCTCTGAAGTGTGTGTAGCACTAGTTGCTCTATCTTTGCTTGAGGGAAAGAGCTTGGAGAAGTTGACTGAGTTATCCAATGGCACACAACTAGAAATAGTAGATTAAGACCCAATCAGGTCCTTAGCTTCTAAATCCAGTGTTCTTTTCATTCTACCCTGCTGAGAATGGGAATGGCATGGCTTTTGTAAGCATGAATTTATGCAGACACCAGGAGGTAAGTGTGGAGACGATGAGACCACATAGTGTGCTTTTGTAATAGTTCAGGGTTAGGTGAAAAGGGCTTGAATTAAACATGTGTCAAGGATGCAATAAAAAAGAGGGAAGAAGACAAGAATTCTGGTTAGGAAGAACCAGCAGTGCAGGAGAAGCTCTCTTACTCAATGTCCACTCAACCAACTCTCCACATATACCAGTATTCTCCCTGCTGTCCTTAAAACAGTTGACATCCATGGCCAAGTGATGCTTGTGATGAGTAGAAAACCACCCAGTGTCCCAAGCCTTCTGTTTCCATCAGTTGACTTTGTTCCCAAACTTGTTTATTCCAGTAATTATTGTCATTGCAATGATTTAATGTAATTAAATATTACAAATGCATTGTTATGTAAACCAAGTCAGATATTCAGAAATAGTCAAGAAAGATGAGTCACTCAGATGAACTGTTCAGATTCCTTTGTAAAGTCTTTAGTTCTTACTCTGCTTGTAAAAACCTAAAAATCTTAGATCATGCATTAAAGATATGGGTTATGCAAAAAAGCTGTCATAGAAATCCAACCAGCAGACTCACACTCAAAGAAAGGCCTTGACCCTACATCGAAAGATTGACTTCCTTTCGTTAAAATTAAAAGTTTCACAAATGTAAGTAGCATTTCTTAATTTTAATTAATTTTTTCAATTAATTGGCTATTAGTTCTGGTCATGTGGCATGAAAGGGTGCTTCTGTAGTTAGAATCACAGAAAGTCGGCTGAAAGGAACCAACCCCAGGGCTTCTTTAACCCTTACACACATCAGAATCACCTTATGGGCTTGGTTAAATACAAATTGCTGGGTCCCACCCAAGATGTTTGATTCAATGGTTGTGAGGTGGGGCCTGATAATTGACTATTCTAACACATTTTCAGGTGAAGTTGATGCTGCTGGTTTGGGGACCACACTTTGACAACCGTGGAACACATCCATCACTGCAGAAGTTCTGAGGTGTGGAGATTTAAAGAGGTTCCCTCATGTACACACAGTGGGCTAACAGGAGAGCCGAAGTTAGCATCAGGATCTTCCCATTGCCTCCTGCTGTCAAAACAAATAATATAACGCTCATGATAGATTACATGTGACCACAATTGCTTTGACACTCTTCCCATCCACAGGTGGGGTCTTTGTCCCTTCCCCTTGACTAGAGGGTGGTTCTGGGATTGCGTCACCAGTAATATAGGGCAGAAATGGTGTTGTGGTTGTTTCCTGACCCAGCCTTGAGAGAGTATCAGGTTATGCTTACCGTCTCTTGGAATTTTCACTCTGGGAGCTCCGAGCTCCCATTTAAAAGCTCTGACCACCTTGAGGTCACCATGCTGAAAAACCCATGCATAAGCACTTTGGTCAATGGTTCTAGCTGATCTCACTTTCCAGCCATGCTCAACAAGGAAACAGACACAAAAATGCAGCCACCACATGCTGTCCAGATCTGCATGGTCCAGTGAACACCAGTGAATGCTTCCATGAATGCCATGTGAGACAGAGAAACTATTCAGCCAGGATTCCTGACCTGCAAAATTATAAGGTATAATAGACCAGTTGTTGTTTTAAGCCACTAAGTTTGGGAGTAGTTTGTTACACAGCCATAGATAACTGGAATGATATTGAAAAGACAAAAGCCATTGAGAACCTGAAGTTCTATACACAGGCTGAACTTAGAGACAAAAGCAATCCATATGAAACTTAATCATAGGTGACTGATTAGATAGAGGTGTCTAGTGAGAGAAAAAGGGAGAATTGACTGAGTTCTTTTGCCTGGGAGACTGTAAATACACTGACAACAGGTACCAAAAGAAAGAGCCCAGAGCCAGGGTTAATTAGAGAAGACATAGGTCTAAAGAGGCTCAGATGTGGGCAGTGCAATTGTGAGTTACAATTTTAGACATTTCAGGTCCCCAGGTCAGAAGGCCAAGCCCCCATCTCCATTCCCTGAAGTCTTTCAGGGACCCTCTCAGTTTCCACATCTCACCTTTTACCCTGCTCAATTCCCACCCACACCCTTCCTCCATAAATTCAAATAGCCCTTCTTGTCTGGGTGAGTCATTTCAGCACCTCAACATGGACTGGTGTGCATTTTAATTTGATGTTTTCATCTGCCTCTCCCCAGCATAACTGTAAACTCATAATGAACACGGTTTGCCTTTTACTTTCTCCTCAATGCTCCACAGTCCTGTGGACACTATTGGTGTCCCTGACGCTCAGTTGACTGGAAACCGTGTAGACTGACTTACGCTCCAATAGCAGCAACTGGCGAGATGTGGGTTGGAGGGAGGGCACCCAGGGTTGGGATCTTCTTGCTGCTAGTATCTTGCTTTCTGGCAACCTCAGGGAAATCAGTCTCTGACTGGGACCACCTTGAGGAGCAATACTCATGTCAGTATAATACATTCTGGGCTGTTTGCAGAAATATCACTCTTACGTGTGGCTATGAACCTACACACCTCTAAACCCTTACTGTTTTATCTATTTGACAGTTCAGTTTGATTTCCCTTGTTCTAGTCCTCTGAATTGGTATTCTCACCAGAACTAAGTCTTCTCCCCACCATGTTGATATTGATGATCCTATAAGATCCTAAGAGACCTTCAACCCTATTAAATCAGTCAATCAGCAAATGCTTTTTGATCTTCCTACTCTGTCAAGCAGCGTTCTCTTGAGAAAACAAAAGAAATACAAGGTACCATGGGGGTTGAAAGGAAGAAAGTTCACACACAACTGAGGGTCAATCAGGTCATGCTTCCTGGAGGAGGTGGTATGTGAAGGTGATCTGTAAAAATGAACAGAATTTAGTCAACAGAAGTGTTGGGGGTAGGTGTTCATGGATCTCACGGGCCATTTATCCTCAGATAAAAACAACGTGAGGTAATACAGGTGAAGGCACACGGGCACGTGCAGAAAAGCCCATTGGTTGGAGTCAGCTATGTGATGCCTTAGACACCAGGGCAATGAGTTTGGCTTGAATTTGCTGAACTGTAAGAAGCTATTGAGTTTTTAAATTTTGTATTATTTATGTGTTTATGTATGTATGTATGTATTTATTTATTTATTTATTTATGTTTAGAGATAGGATCTTGCTGTGTCACCCAGGCTGGAGTGCAATGGCACAGTCATAGGTCACTGCAACGTCGAACTCCTGGGCTCAAGGGATACTCCTACCTCAGCCTCCCAAGTAGATGGGACCACAGGCACATGCACCACACCTGGCTGATTTTCTTTTGAATTCTTTTTTGTTTTGTTTTGTAGAGACAGTATCTTACTCTATTGTCCAGGCTGGTCTTGAACTCCTGGCCTCAAGTGATTCTCATGTCTTGACCTCTCACAGTGCTGGGATTACAGCTGCAAGCCACCACACCTGGTCAAAAGCTATTGAGTTTTTTGAGAGTGAACAGACAAGATTCCATTCACGTTTTTTATACTATCCACAGTCCCTAACATTATGCCTTACATGTGGTCAGCAATTATCAAATATTTGTTGATTGATTAATGAACTGCCAAAGCCATTTTGATTCACTGCTGGAGTCTGTATCTTCCCCAAGACTTGATTCTCCACTTTCTTCTCCCGTGTTCAGGCAACATTTATTCTAGGAAATGGCTCTGGCTTTAAAGACAAAGGAGAAGAAAAACTCCCAGTAAAACAGAGATCATCAAAGCAGAACCATTTCTAAGTGAAATGATTTCTTCCTACCCAAACTTTACCACAAGGCCCCATTAAAGAGCTGCAGAGCCCCAGCACGGAAGCACTATAGATTACAAGAATCCAGAAATCAGGAACAGAGAGTCACAATTCCCACTGGAGTTTGCTGTGCATTTCTTTTTGCAAAGCATCCAAAGCAGATTGAAATCCTGGCTGAGGAGCTCGCAGAAAGAAAGAGCTAAGGCAAAGGGCAAAGGCATTAAATAATATATAGATTTTCACAAAAGATCATTTCTGCTTAAATAGCTGACTGGTCACGTTGGTGACCAGGTTTGGCAAGGAAGGAGGCTGGTGCTGCTGACAGTGGAGAGCACGGAGCTGATGCAATCGACGGGGACACAGTGACCGTCATTTAAATGCCCCAAATTGAAAGTCCAAATTTCTAGGAGGTATAACGTGAAGACGATTTATCCTAGTTTTATTAACTCTCATAAAAGCACTTCTAGCTGCTCTCTGATACAATCATCTATCCAGTGGTATAAGTTAAGATATAAGTTGAGCAGTATAAGTTAAAATTCCAGACAACCCTATACTACCCCAGGAGTGGTTTCCCCACTTTCAAGGTTTCAGAAACCAGCTCTTCCATGAGAGTCTCTACAATAACAAAGGGCTCTATTCTCACCCTTCTTCAAGAACACCATCGCCACCAACCCTCCAGTTCTGGTACATTTCCACCGAATGGAACACCCGCTGGTTTTAGGGAGAGGAGGACTAACAACAGCAACTAGATCCAGCTGCATGACTTGATTCAGCCTTGCGAATAACTACCTGCCCATTCACCCAAGGCAAACACAGATTTATATCGAATGCTAAGTGAGTGGAAAAGAGTGATGACTCACTTTCATTGTATGACCTTTCTAATTTCGCAAGGAGAAAGCAGACAGTTTAAAACGAAAAGCAATTTGTCTTCTGCTGGATTTTCTTGTATGAAGTCTGAATTCCTCTGACTAATATTCAAGGACCTACCTTCCAAGGCAAGTGTCCCACCACTTGTTAACTGAGTCTACACTTTTTGGTGTCCTCTTCTGCCCCAAATACAACATGCCTGCTTCTGTTTCTTTACTCATGATGTTCTCCTTTCTGTTTTCCAAATCCAGCTCTCTCAAGGTCAAAACTCACCCTTCTATAAAACCTTCAACTATGACTCTTTCCATGAGGTTTCACAGCCTCACCAAAACAAGGCAGACCACTGTTCATTTTCCTGTAATTGTTTGAGGAGCTTACTATTTTTATTTATCTCTAAATTGTAATCTCCTTAAAGGGAAGATCTCTGACTTTTTATCTATGTGTGACAATTAGCACTGTGGCCTGCAAATGGAGAGCTCAATGAACACTTGTTCATAGCAGGGCCAATCCATGTGTTTAACTTACTAGCTTGCAGAAGCCAGCAGATAGTTGGGGCTCATTTGAAATCCAGCTCATTTGAAGAGTTAAGAGCCTTTAAGCTAACCATGGTCTGACCATCCCCACAATCCCATCTTTTTATATTTTATTTTGTTGGTTGTTGTTATCATTGCCATTGCTATTCCTTTATTTGATGAAGAAAAAGAAGATAGAGGAGAAGGAGGAAGAGGAGGAGGAGAAGAAAGAAAAGACCTGACATTTCCTGGGAATTTACTAAATACCATGCACTATTTTCAGCACTTTACCCATATTACCTCATTTATTCCTCATTGCAATTATAGGAGAAAGCATTTCCACCTTACTGCTGAGGAAACGGAGCCACAAAATGTTAGTAACATGCCCAAGATCATTTCACAATGAAGGGCAGAGTTGGGATTTGAGTCCAAGCAATCTGACTCCAGAGCTTGAGCTCTGAGTGGTACCTCATCCCTCACACCGGGTTTCACCAAGTTTGTGAAACACATAGAATGACAGGGAAGTCATAACCCTTTCCCTGCAGGCATTAGAAGTTATTTAGCACTTTATTTTTTCTAAGTGCTTTCACCTGCATTATTAACTCATTTGATCTTGACAAGAGACCTCTGTGGAAGGTAGGTTGAGCATTTCTATACCTATGAGTAGATGGGGAAATGGATGCCTTGCCCTAGAGTACAAATGGGTGAGTAGAGCCAGGAAGTCATGGACCCATAATCACAGGATGCTAGAGGAGAGAGGAAAGCCATGATTAAACAAGTCAGCCATTCATTTTATAGCAAAGCAGTTGAGCTACCAAGACGTGACATGCTTATGATTGTGCAGCAAATGGGTAGAAAAACATGTCTAGACTGGAATTTTGTGACTTCTAGTCCATGGCTTTCCATTGCGGCATCATAGTCCTGAGTGTGATTCCCAAAACAAATGGTGAAAATGACGTCCTGGTCAAATGTATTGGGACCTACTGTAGGTCATGTCTGCCCCTTGGAGAGGCATGATGCATGGGCTTTGAAAAATCATGCAAAGCTCTTCATAAACTCACTTGACCAAGGATATTTTTAACACCTTTCATTAATCGTTTTGCAGAACTAGTATACTATGGAAGTCAACTTGGGAAACAATGCAGAACAGATACATTGGTATATGCACATACAAATAATTACAATTCTTTTCTTTCAGCTCTTGGACCAGATACAAAATGAAAAGAAAAATAGTTCCTCTTCATTCTCCCTTCTTATCTCCTAAACACCCCCTCCCACCACCGCCACCAAATCTACACATTCCATTCTTCTATCACACAATAAAACATATATAGGAAAAAATTTCAACCCACTTAGATGAAACATGAAACACAATGGAAAATTCACTCTCTAAAAAAGAACACCTGTACTCCTGCCTATACACACACACAAACACACACACACACATTGGTACCATCCCCACTGTTCCTTTGGGATTTGCTTGTTTATAGAAGATTATATTAGTCTGCTCAGGCTGCCATAACAAAATATCACAGACTGGGTAGCTTAAACAACAGAAATTTATTTCTTACAGTTCTGGAGGCTAGGAAGTCAGTCCACGATCAAGGTGCCAGCAAGGTAGATTTTATTCTGAGGCCTCTTTTCTTGGCTTGTAGGGGGCCAGCATCTCACCCACTGTGTGCTCACAGGACCTCTCCTTCACATGCCTACAAATCAGGGTCCCACCCTTATGATCATTTAACCTCAATTACTTCTTCCTACACCCTGTCTTCAAATACAGTCACATCAGGGATTGGGGCTTTGACATGGGAATTTTTTTTCAGGGGGAACCTAGTTTTTTCATAACAACGATAGAGAATGTAATAATACCATCAAAGCAGGTTGTGTAGATGGTGACCCGAGATGATCTCTTAGAGGTAAACAGAATTTGATTTTTAAGACTAAAGAAAGAAACTTGGGCAAATTATCCACACATCGCTGCCTCACATCCTTTTCACAAGTTGGGGGCTGCAATAAAGGATTTCAATGGATCATAATAGCTACATCTGAAAATGTTAATCCATTATGAGCAGAAACAAGGTGGAAAATGCATATTGAGATATAAACAGCTGGCCTGGTGTGGTGGTTCACACCTGTAATCCAAGGGCTTTGGGAGGCTGAAGTGGGGAGATCATTTGAAGCCAGGAGCTCGAGACCAGCCTGGGTAACACAGCCAGACCCTGTCTCTACAGAAAATAAAATTAGCCAGGTGTGGTGGCATGCACCTGTAGTCCCAGCTACTGGAGAGGCTGAAGCAAGAGGATTGCTTGAGCCCAGGAGTTCGAGGTGTCAGTGAGCTATGATCATGCCAGGCACTCCAGCCTGGGCAACAAAGCAAGACCCTGTCTTAAAAAAAACAAACAAACAAAAAAAAAAGATAAACAATTGACATCTGTTCCTTTGAGCACTTCTTTGTGGCAGGGGTAGACAAGAAACCAGAAGAGGAGTGGAAGGAGGATGAACTCTCCAAGGACAGACCTGACTTCCAGTGAGGGTTGGGGAGCTGCCTCCCCTGCCCAGGTGCCAACCACACTCTCTTGTCTTCTTGTGGGTGGCCTGAACTAAGCCCAGTGACCACAACTTCTCCATCCATCTTTCTATCTCCCCTCAAACTCCAAGACAGCAGGCAGTGCGGGGGCACATGCAGCCTCTCCCCAAGCTTCACCGCCACCCACCCACCTGCAAGTGCAGCCAAGCCAGGCAGATAGAGGAGGGAAGGGCATGTGAGCTGGGAAAGGGTACAGCTTTCCGGGGGTCTGAGGGCGGCTTTCGAGACATTGGTAAGAAGGACCTCACTGATCACTTACTTCCTCATTATTTCAGGATTATTGTAATTTTATGCAAACACTCCTTCTCCACGCAGCTTCTGACGGCTACAGTTCTTGTTTGGTGCTGGCCCCCAGCAATGCTAATAAACGGCTTCCGGATCATTTTTATTCATTTTGCGCATTTCACTCACAGTACTTCATGTGACTTATGTAGCCCCTGCAGCTCATATTTCTATTTGAATTGCAGGGCAAGTAGTGAGTTTTAACATTCCAACTGCACACACATTCTTCTTTCCCTCAAAATGAAAGATCATTTGAACTTTGAATTGCATTAGCATGACATTTTTCTACTAAATTACCCTGGCTGCACTCAACAGCCTGAAAAGAAACAAACCTCTTTTAACTCTATAGGCTATGTGAGTGAATAAATACCAGAGGAAACGCCAGCAGAGAGGAGGAGGGAACCACAGCCTGGCAAGGCTTGGACACTCCCTGTGCTGTGGAGAGCCCATCTGTGATGCTGGCCTGGCAGACTGGGGGCCACTGCTGTCCCCCTACCATGCCAGGCCATGGCTGGGGCATTTGAATGCATGTAGCAGAAAGTGAATGTTTCTCAGCAGCTGTTGTTTTGTGAAAAATGAGGTGTAGCTTCTCATATCATTTTTTTAAAGTAATAATGTTTGCTTTTTCTTGTATTATAATTGCAGGCAATATTCATTGTGGGAAATCTGGAAAGCACAAAAAAGAATAAAGAAAACGAAAACCACCCCTACTCTTGCCATTTAGATAAACGATAACTTTCAGGGATATATTTTTGCAAATCTTTTTGAGGGAGTGGATGAAGTCCTATTTATATATGTGCATAGCATCCTTTTGTTTATCTTGCATAAATTAGGATATATATTTATGATTTGAATCTTTCTCCAACTTGACATTTCTTTTGTGAGCATTTTCCCATTTCTTTAAGAATCATGATTTGCAATGGTTGTACAATATTTCATCATAGGAGTGGATGCCATTTTTATTGGTATACATTAACATCACTTCAAGGTTTGCGTTTAAAATGCTGTGATGAACATGTTGTTGCATTTAATGGATATGATAAGTGATCATAGTGACCACTTCCTGAGTTCCTACTATGTGCCAACCATGGTAACAGACTCTTCCCAGAGGGTATAGTATATATTATAGTAATTTAACATATAATCATAATACATATTAACCCTTGTCATTTCCCTTAGAGGTGGTCATTATTCTCCACAATTTATAGGCAAAAAAAAAGTGAAGTACAGAGGTTAACTAACTGGTTCAAAGCCATCAGGGAAGAAGGAAACAATTCCCGGATTTGACCCCAGCATTCTCTGAGTCCAGTGTCTCTACTCTTTCACCTACATCCTGGGGTGTTACTACCACGCACTCCCATTTCCTTCTCTGAAGGTTGTAGGAAAAGTTGTCCTAGAACACTTAAATAAAAACCCAGCTCTGCCACAGAAGTCTATGTAAAGTCAGAGTCAGATCTGAGTACCAGGAACTCAGCAGGAGTTTGAGATTTGCCTCAGTCAAGGAACAGGGAATTATTTTCTGGATACAGGTTGTGGGTGATAAAGATTCTGCTTTGGGCAACTGCAGACACAGGATCCTCAGCTTCTCACTGTCTGCAGCAGGGGCCACATTTAGTGAAGAGCATCATAGCCTCTCAGAGCCACTTGGACTGAGTCTTCAGGCCACATTGACTGCTGGGTGCACGGTGAGCTCCAAGACAAAAATTTAGTGAGAAAAATAAATTGTGTCTTCTCAATGCTTGTTAACATGAAAACTCAGTGATACACTTGACATTTTCTGTTGAAGGAGGTCATATGGACCACCTTGCAGGATGATATATAAATATCATATTCCTACTAAATAAGGTGATGAGGATAAGTGATCTTAAGTATCTGACTGGATACATCGCAGTAACTCTGGCAAAGACACATGGATTTATCTGCTTTCATGAAGCTCCATGGCAAAGCAGTAGTTCTTAGCCCTGTCCGCCTCTCAAAGATCTATGCGAGGCAACCTTAGCCTTTGGGTGGAATAGAAACAAGATCCACCGGTCTCTCTACATCTTTACAACCCTATAAATGTGAGGTCTTGGTTTGAACTCCATGGCTACACATTCCACACAGTGTGCAGGCACCAGATGTGGCAGATACATTCTAATAATTTACAAACTGCCTGCTGGGCTCCAGGACAGCTTAACTATGCGTCAGCCCTGGGTTAGAGCCATTCAGGCTGCCTCTTTATTCCTCTCCCAAATTTTGTAAGATAGGGAGTAACATTTGGTACAGAAACATAAGCTTCTCCTGAGCCAGGCAGGGAAACACTCCTTGAAATGCCACTCCACTGCTTGCAGGAGAGAGACACAGCGAGCAGCATGTTTACATGGGATCAGGGACCTGCAGTGGAACCTCAATTAGTCATGTGGCCTCAGGTTAGTGAGTGAGTTTATCTGAACCTCAGTTTCTTCATCTGCAAAATTACTAGTTCATCTGTTAATTTAATTTTATTCCTTTACTGACTCCCTGCTATGATAACAACAGGTACCATCTATTGGATGGTATGTGCTAGCATAGTAACAGGTGCTGTTCAAACACCAAGCAATAAAACAGGCACTGTGTCTGCCTTCATGGAGTTTGCTATCAGGTGGGAAGTCACAGAGAAGACATAAGTGATCATATGTAAACAAGTGAGTATGTAAACACACATCGGGATGAGCACTGTTGGGCAAATGAACAGAATGCAACTCAGAATGCAACAAATTGCACTTGGTAAGAATGCATTGGCAAGAATCTATTTCAAAAAAAAAAAATTAAATTTTATGTACTGATCGTATATCCTGTGT
Organism: Homo sapiens; assembly: GCF_000001405.40. Classification (NCBI taxonomy): domain Eukaryota; kingdom Metazoa; phylum Chordata; class Mammalia; order Primates; family Hominidae; genus Homo; species Homo sapiens. The sequence continues at coordinate 20,403,164 of NC_000008.11, read as the reverse complement.
CCCATGATTATTTCCTGAACTTTTTCATAGATTCCATAGGATTTTCTTCTTAGATGATTATGGTTGTCTACGAAATAAGACAGGTTTACTTTTTTTTTTTTTTTGAAACAGAGTCTTGGTCTGTTGCCCAGGCTGGCGTGCAGTGGCACGATCTCGGCTCAGTGCAACCTCTGCCTCCTGGGTTCAAGCAATTCTCCTGCCTCAGCCTTCCATGTAGCTGGGATTACAGGCACACGCTACCATGCCCAGCTAGTTATTGTATTTTTAGTAGAGACAGGCTTCATCATGTTGCCCAGGCTGGTCTTGAACTCCTGACCTCAAGCAATCCACCCGCCTCAGCCTCCCAAAGTGTTGGGATTACAGGCATAAGCCACCACACCTCGCCAGGTTTACTTCTTCCTTTATGATTTGGGTACGTTTTATTTTTCTTGCCTTATTGCCTTGGCAAATTCTTCAGTACAGGGTTGAATAAAAGTAGTGAAAGTAAACATCCTTAACTTTTCACTGATCTTAGGAGGAAGACATTCAGTCTTTCAGTCTTTCATCATTAAATGCAATGTCTGCTGTAGGTTTTTCCTGGACACCTTTTATTAGGTTGAGGAAATACCTTGCCATTCCTAGGTTGCTGAGAGGTTTTTATCAGAAATAGATGCTAGATTTTGGTAGTGTTTTCTCTGTACTCATCAAGATAATCAGGTGCCTTTTTTCCTTTTAACTAGTCAACATAAAAAATTGCATTGATTGATTTTCAAATGTTAAACCAGGCTTTCTTCTTATTATCGGTTATATTTTCCTGCTTCATAATTTTTTATCAAATGCAAGACACTGAAATATTTACCATGTTTGTGCTGGATATTTTTATGTGATTATTAAAATTATTGATCTTTGTACTGGGATGCAGTTAAGTTCATTGGAAACAGTTTGATCCTTTTATGTCTTGCTTTTAAGCTTTGTTAAGTGAGACCAGAGTGACATTAGATCTAGGTCTAATTTTCTCCTATTACTATATCAAACCTTTCTGAGTACTCTACCCAAACTCTGACAAATTATGACTGTTTTCACTCTGGCTGCTATGAACAAGAACAATTCCCAACCCTCTTTGCCCCCTAGAGTATATTCCACTAATTTTGGGGAGTGGTATCTGATCTTTGACAAACCTGACACAGACAAGCAATGGGGAAAAGAAACCCTATTTAATAAATGGTGTTGAGAAAACTGGCTAGCCAAATGCAGAAAACTGAAACTGGACCCCTTCCTCACACCTTACACAAAAATCAACTCAAGATACGGGAAACAACAGATGCTGGAGAGGTTGTGGAATAATAGGAACACTTTTACACTGTTGGTGGGAGTGTAAATTAGTTCAACCATTGTGTAAGACAGTGTGGCAATTCCTCAAGGTTCTAGAACTAGAAATACGATTTGACCTAGCAATCCCATTACTGGGCATATACCCAAAGGATTATAAATCATTCTACAATAAAGACGCATGCACCCATATGTTTATTGTGGCACTATTCACAATAGCAAAGACTTGGAACCAACCCAAATGTCCATCAATGACAGACTGGATTAAAAAAATGTGGCACATATACATCATGGAATACTATGCAGCCATAAAAAAGGATGAGTTCATGTCCTTTGCAGGGATATGGATGAAGCTGGAAACCATCATTCTCAGCAAACTATCACAAGATCAAAAAACCAAACACCACATGTTTTCACCAATAAGTGGGAGGTGAATAATGAGAACACATGGACACAGGGAGGGGAACATCACACACTGGGGCCTGCGGGGAGTGGGGGGCTAGGGGAGGGACAACATTAGGAGAAATACCTAATGTAGGTGACAGGTTGATGGGTGCAGCAAACCACCATGGCACGTGTATACCTACGTAACAGAACTGCACGTTCTGTACATGTAACCCAGAATTTAAAGTATAATAATTTTAAAAAATGAGGGGTGGTATTTTTCTCTGCCCTTGAGTAATGTGCTCACATATCTGCACCCATCAGTGCTCTGCGGAAGCCTTGAGTGGGATTCTGTAGCCCTCCAGAGTCCTAATCTGACCCTCTTCTCTCAGGCCCTCTGCCCTGCTATTCTAGTCTCCTTGGCCTCCCCAGACTTCCAACCTCTACCCTGTTTCTCCTTCCTTGTGCTACAGCCTGGAAACTTTCTCAAGCTGAGGCAACCCTACGGCTTACCCTGTTGTTGCCCATCTCGCGGAATCACTGTCACTTGTTGCCTGTTGTCCAATGTGTTGAAAACTTGTTCCATACATGTTGTCCAGTTTGTAGTTGTTTCAGGAGGAAAGGAATTAACAATGGGACATTGACTACACAGAAAACATTATAATCAGTCAGTGGCAGACAGAAGCAATGATGGACAACAGAAGGGACAGACATTATGTGAACACCAAAAGAGGAACCACAGAGATGACCAAGAGAGAAGAGCAGCCAACACACCATGAGTAATCACATAAATTCTTCTCTCTTTGCCCCAGCTCAGTTCCAAAGAATAAGTAAAGGGAAGATGGAGAGAACCACAACAGCTAGTCAGGGTAGCAGATAACAACAGCCCTCCACCCCAAACCACTGGAGTCACGCCTCTCCTACAAGAAGATGAGGTGAGGTTTGAACCAAAACTTCAAGCCTTTAAATGGATAGAACTAAAACTTAGCAACCCATGTCATTTTTATTTTTAAATGAACAAAAATTATGAAAGTGGATTTAGATATATTAAGGAAGCCCACTTCCCTGTGGAAAAGAAGGTTTCGAGAAAACACAATTTAGCAGCTACTGAAAATATATAAGTAATTTATGGCTACACTTCAACAAGTTAAGACATCTCAATCAAATCAGTTATACATATACCGGTTCAACTTCTTTGAAAAATAATATGGCAATAAATTTATCAAGAGTAATAAAATAAAAGTTTACATGCTTTGATCAATAGTGTGCTGGTAAGCCAGCTCTCCATAAACTAAACAAAAATTAGATTTGTAGCATTTGTTAATTTGTGTGACATAAATATTTCTACCTCTCACAACTTATTTTAAGGGAACTTTCTGAATACAGAATTGGCAACAGATTTGCAAAATGAGATCTCACAAGCTGGTATGACCTAGCGCCAACATACACTGCCTTTGATCCTCCTCCTAGACATTAATCCCGAAGAAATAAAATGATTTTTCTGCATCTATTGAGATGGTCGTAAGATCTTTATTCTTCACTCTGTTAATGTGGTGTATGACACTTACTGACTTGCATATGTTGAAACTTTTTTGCATCCCAGGAATAAATGGCACTTACTTAATCATATTGTACGATTCTTTTAATGTGCTGTAGAGTTCAGTATGCTAGTATTTTGTTGAGAAGTTTTGCATCTATGTTCATCAATGATATTGGCCTGTAATTTTCTTTCCTGGTAGTACCCTTGTCTGGCTCTGGTATCAGGGTAATGCTGGGCTCATAAGATGAATTTGGAAGTGTTCCCTCCTTTTCAATTTTTGGAAGAGTTTGAGAAGGACTGGTATTAATTCTTCTTTAAATGCTTGGTAGAATTCACCAGTGAAGCCATCTGTTCCTGGGTCTTTCTTTTTTGGAAGGTTTTTGATTACTGATTCAATCTTCTTAGTCATTAATAGTCTGTTCAAATGCTCTGTTTCTTCATGATTCAGTCTTGGTAGGTTACATGAATTTATTCATTTCCTCTAGGTTATCCAATTTGTTTGTGTATAATTGTTCATAAAAGTCTCTTATGATTCTTAGTATTTCTGTGATATCAGTTATAATGACTCCTCTTTTATTTCTGATTTTGTTTATTTGAATCTTTTCTTTTTTCCTTAGTCTAGCTAGAGGCTTGTCAATTACATTTTTTTCAAAAAAAAAAGCACTTTTATTTATCTTTCCTATCATTTTTCTCATCTCTATATCATTGATTTCTGTTCTGATCTTTGTTATTTCTTTCCTGTTAACTTTGGGTTTTAATATAATGGAACATCCATTCATGATAAAAACTCTCAACAAATTGGGTATACAAGGAGTGTACCTCAACATTATAAAGGCCATATGGGACAAGCCCACAGCTAACATCATACTCAAGGGTAAAAAGCTGAAAACGTTTCCTCTAAGATCAGGAACAAGGCAAAGGTGCCCACTCTCATCGCTTCTATTTAACATAGCACTAGAAATCCTAGACAGAATAGTTTTTTTTTTTTTTTTCAGAGACAGGATCTCACCCTGTTGCCTAGGCTGAAGTATAGTGGCATAATCATAGCTCACTGCAGCCTCGAACTCCTGTGCTCAAATGATCCTCCCAAGTAGCTGGGACTACAGGCGTGTTCCACCATGCCCAGCTAGTTTTTTATTTTTTGTAGAGACAAGATCCGATATGTTGCCCAGGCTGATCTCGGACTCCTGGCCTTAAGATATCCTTCTACCTCAGTCTCCCAAAGTCCTGGGATTATAGGCATAAGCCACTGCACCCTGCCTACACAGAACAATTAAGCAAGAAAAATAATTGCAAGACATCCAAATCAGAAAGGAAGAAGTTAAATTGTCTCTGTTTGCACATGACATAGAAAACCCTAAAGATCCTGCCAAAAACTGTTATAATTACTAAATGAATTCAGTAAAGTTATAGGATACAAACTCAACATGCAAAAATCAGAGGAGTTTGTATACACTAACAATGAAATATCTGAAAAAGAAATTAAGAAAACAATCCCATTTAGAATAGCATCAGAAAGAATAAAATAGGAATAAATTTAGGAGATGAATGATCTGTACACTAAAAGCTATAAAACATTGATGAAAGTAATTGAAAAAGACACAAACAAATGGAAAGATATTCTGTGTTCAAGGATTAAATAAATTAACATTGTTAAAATGTCCATACTATCCAAAGCAATCTACAGACTCAACTCAATTTCTATCAAGATTCTAATGGCTTCTTTCACAGAAATAGAAAAAAAAATTCTAAAATTTATGTGGAACCACAAAAGACCCCAAATCATTAAAGCAATCTTGAGAAAGAATAATAAAGCTGTAGGTGTCACATTTCCTGGTTTCAAATTATATTACAAGGTTATAGTAATCAAAACAGTATAGTACTAGCATGAAAACAGACACATTTACCAACAGAACAGAATAGAGGTCCAGAAATAAACCCACATACATGGTCAACTAATCTTGGACAAAGGTGCCAAATCTACACAATGGAAAAAGGGTAGTCTTTTCAATAAATTGTGCTGGGAAACTGGATATTCACATGCAAAAGAATGAAATTGGACCATTTTGCCATAGACAAAAATCAACTCAAAAATGGATAAAATATTTCAAAGGCCTGAAACTCCAAGAAGAGAACATAAAGAGAAAGCTCCTTGACATTGGTCTTAACAATAATTTTTGTGAATATGATACCAAAAGTAAAGGCAACGTAAACAAAATTAAACAGGTGAGACTACAACGAATTTAAAAGTTTCTGCACAGCAAAGAAAACAACCAAATGAAAAGGTAATGTATGGAATGGAAGAAAATACTTGCAAACCACATGTCTAATAAGGGGTTAACATCCAAAATGTATAAGGAATTCAAACAACTCAACAGCAAATAATAATAATAATAACCCAAATTTTTAAATGAGCAAAGAAGACATACAAATGGCCAAGAGATATATTTTTTAAAATGCTCATAATCACTAATCATCGGGGAAAACCACAATGAGATATCACCTTATACCTGTTAGGATGGTTATATCAAAAAGTCAAAAGATAACAAGTGTTGGGGAGGATACAGGGAAAAGGGAGCCTTTGTTCACTGTTAGTGGAAATATAAATAGTACATTCATTATGCAAAACAGTTTAGAGGTTGCTCAAAAAATTAAAAATAAAAGTACTCTTTGATCCAGCATCCCACTTCTGACATATCGAAAGGAAATGAAATCATGATCTTGAAGAGTTAGCTGCACTCCCATGTTCTCTGCAGTATTACTCATAATAGCTAAAATATGAAAACAAATTGCGTCCATTGACAGATGAATGAATGAAAGAAATGTAATACATATAACTATATAATAGAATATTATTCAGTCTTAAAAAAAGAAAATTCTGCCATTTGCAACAACATGGATGAACCTGGAAGACATTAAGTTAAGTGAAATAAGCCAGACACAGGAAGATAAATATTGAAAAATATCATTTACATGCAATATCTAAAAAGGTCAAACTCATAAAAGCAGAGAGTAGTATGGCAGTTACCAGGGGCAGTGGGTAGGGGAAATAAGATGTTACTGAAAGGGCACAAAATTCCAGTTATAAGAGGAATGAGTTATGGAGCTATAATATATAACATGTTGACTACAGTTAATAATACTATATTGTATACTTAAAGTTTGCTAAAGGAGTAGATCTTAAATATTCTCACCACAAAAAAAGTGGGGGAAGTGTACCATGGGAGGTGATAGATATGTTAATTTGCTTGATTGTGGTAATCAGCTCACAAAGTATATGTATACCAAGTCATCACATTGTACACCTTAGACACAACTACTATTTGTCAATCATACCTTAATAAAGTTAAGGAGAAATAAATTATTTAAATAAGAAAAGAGCTGTATACACAAAAGCGTTACTGTATGGTTGCTTCTGACAGCAAAAAGATGTAAATAATCTCATAGTTTGTTCACCTGCCACATGGAATATTATGCAGCTATTTTAAAAGATAACTAGAAAAAGAATGGAACAATATAAAGAAACACTTGATATAATGTGAAGTGAATAAAGGAGAATGCAAAATGTTATGTTAACTGTGATTACAATGATGTAAAATATGTATGATTATGGCCAAAGCCTCCAGAATACACAAAAATAAAACCTATTTTGTTACAGTCTTGTGATAGGGAGTAATTTGTTATTCTTCTTTCAAAGGAACCTTTGAAGTTGTTATAATAATATATTTTTAAATACAACAAAGCAAAATCAGCAGTAGTTGACTTGACCCATCTCTAAAGGCAAATGCATTTGCAGCACTGGATTAGACTGCGGATATCCAGGCAGTTGCCTGGAACGAAAGCATCACCGGAAATCTGATGAGAAAAACGTTGACCAGAGCTGCTACAATGGAAAGCTCCAGGTTGAGACCTTCTCCTCTCCCAACAACAGGCTTAATTAAGGGTTGCTCAAAGGCTTCTAAGGAGGGCGACCTGTTTCACAATAGATCTGTTGTTTATCGGAAAGGGCCTGAAAATGTAAGGATCCACTTTAGCAGCACTTGCACCTCTTCTCCAAATAATTGTTGAGAAAATATTCAACAATATTGTTTAAAATGGTGCCAAGTTGCTAGCTTGTCTGGGGCACCCTCTCAGCCCTGAACATACCTTACCAATTTCTTTAATTTCCATTCAAATCAGTAAAAATTAAGGGACTCCTAATTCACTGCCAGGCTCTAGCTACACTCTGAAAGCACTGAGGGATAAAGACACAATTCTTGTCTTTAAGAAGCCTTCAATTGCAAGACAGTTATGTAAATAAATAATCTCTGTGCATTGGGTAAGTGCTGCTGCATATAGGAAGCTTACAGTTCCCTTCCCTGGGCCTCTCCCAAAGAGCTTAGGAAGTGCTTGATGGGATCCCTTGGTGCCCTTCAAAAGGAGCCAATCCCCAAGTCTATTAACCTCTCAAGCCGCCTTCTTCACCTGGGCTCCCTTGCCCTTAGCCAAGATCTTACTCTTCCCTGCACGAACTTGTTCCAGGGCAAATCCAGCCTGAAAGACTGCAGCTCACTCAGCCACCATAAGATCTCCAGGCCAGCCCTGCCAGCTGGCAAGAGCTTCCCTGCCCTCCCTGCCCTTATCTGTCTCCTCCAAGCAGAGCAGGTGGCAGGAACCTGGCAACAGAGAGAACCCACACCATGTGCAGACCCCAAAGCTTGCCAGAGAGACCCAGGTGCCTCTTGCCATCCACCAGTGCAATGAGCAGGAAGAGACAGAGAATTAGGGCAGCTTTATGGCTTCTGGAAGCCACTAAGGTTCTCCAGGTGAAAATAACGAAGGAGAAGAGCACAAGTACTGATTTCCAACTCAGAAGCTGGAAGAAGAAAAGAGACCCGGAGTGATGCTCTTGTCTGAAGGTGTTTGGGTCTGAGCTGTGAGACTGAGCTATGATGGTTCTCTTCTTCCCTCCTCTGCACAGCCCAGCCTCAGTCACATGGGCATCTGCCCAGCTCTCTGAGGACCTAGAAAAGAGAAGTGAAGAAGAAGGCTCTTTTCCTAAGAACAGGAAACAATGAAGATAACAATTATCCCACGCTAGAAAGCGGCAGAAATTGAGTTCAGAGAGCCCCTCCACCTTGTTCTCTGAGGAGGGACCAAACAAAGCAAGATCTCTGCAGGAACATGGGGAAAACACAGTGGGAAAAGGAAAGTCAACAATGGTTAAGTAGATAACAAGGCATATCTTGTACAGTGTCATTCAAATACAGTGAAATCTAATTTCTCAAGTTCCTAAAATGGACGCTTTGCCCTCAGAGGCATGAGAAGATCCATGGCTTATATCACTATCTTGTATTACTTCTTCTCCCAGAAAGTTCACTCAACAAAAAGACTGCAGAATGTTTAGATACAGCCAGTTGCATAGAGTTCCCTATGGAGCCCGATCCTTTCCGGTCTGAACTGCAAGGAAACCAAAGAAACAAAAAATCAGTCCCAGCAAGTTCGTGTGTACTCACTCAACTGAAGTTGACTGGTGTTGCAAATGGTTACGTTACCAGTGCTTGCACTGAGCTTGGTAAACCAACAGAAGAACTCACTGGAAGGTACTTACAAAACATTTAGTCCTGGGTAAATAGGTTTTAATTAGACGGAAGAGAAAGCAAAACTAGTTCCCATGGGAACCAGCTTTTATCTGTCTAGGAGACCAGAAGTCAGGGACACCAATCCTAATGGCTTTGAATGGTCTTAAATGGTACTACAAATGTAGAAATAAGTGATCTCCTAAATAGAAACAGACATATTTACATTTGGGCCATAACACAAGTATTTTGTAGCTGTCGTTCCACAATAAGCAAGACATTCTCTGGAGGTATTTCAAGTAAGTCAAAAGATCCCCCCCACTTCCTCCCACCCCTGTCCAACTGTGAGATCACACATTGTCGTACCAGTGTAAGGTGTGTGATCTCTTCAAGTGACTGCTATATTGTTTCACATATTTGAAATAAAAAACATTCAACTTCTAGGTCAGGAATTAAACATAATAATCATACTTAACACTTACTGAGTTCTTACCATGTGCTGTGTGCTTTGCATCCATTCTCTTAATTCATTCTTCTGGATACCCTACAAATACGTGCTGTGATTATCTTCCATTTTACAGATGGAGAAACTAAGGCTCAATAACCTGCCCAAGGTTTTACAGCTGATAAGCTGTGGAGCTGCCACTTGAACTTAGGACTGCGTGTATCTTGGTTCCTAGAAGCCATCAATATCTCCCATTGCCTAAATAATTCCCCACATTTATTTTTACTATTCCTCTTCCATTCTTATGCCACATCCCAGAAAGTCATTGAGTTTCAACCTAATTTCTTTGTTAAATTCAACAATAATATATAAAATGCTTTCTCTGTATTCCTGGCTTTGGTTTAGTTACAATATAGTGAGAAGACAAATAGTACATTTAAAAGTTTCATCCACTTTTCCTCATTTGAAAAGAATATTGGACTATTGGGGTCAACTTATAGGTGGTTTTTCTGATTGATAGATCCACGCTGTAGGCAAGTAATACCTATCAGTAGCCAAAAGGAAAGGCACGCATCTACAGAAACCTATTCTTTGCTATGGTATCCATGAGTCATGGCTAAAAATGTCAGGTACCAAAGATAGTAGCCTGCTTGGATTTCTGATCCTGTCTTCTGACATCCTTAAGCCTTCCTTAAGAAGTAGGCTAGATCCAGGCCTCCCTTTATATGACTAGAACAGGTCTTCAACAGTTCCCGTTTTAGCTTGATCACCACCACTCCCATCACGCCTTACTGCACCGAATTTCTACCACATGTACTTTGAGGCTGCTCCATCTTTGCATTTATTCATGCGTGCAACAACACTTATTATGGCTCCATTACATGCCGGATTAATGATAATAGTCCCCATTCTCAAGTAGCAGCAATAATGAATGCAAAAGTAAAAATCCCTAAATATTATGACAGCAAGGATTCAAGCAATTATAAGGTGACGACAAAAACACATTGATGGGCCGGGCACAGTGGCTCATGCCTGTAATCCCAGCACTTTGGGAGGCCGCGGTGGGCAGATCACGGGGTCAACAGTTTGAGACCAGCCTGGCCAATATGGTGAAACCCCATCTCTACTAAAAATACAAAAATAAGCCGGGTGTGGTGGCACACGCCTGTAATCCCAGCAACTCAGGAGGCTGAGGCAGGAGAATTGCTTGAACCCAGGAGGCAGAGGTTGCAGTGAGCCAAGATTGTGCCACTGCACTCCAGCCTGGGTGACAGAGCCAGACTCCGTCTCAAAAATTTAAAAAAAAAAAATCACATTTAGGTTTACGTAAGTAAATAATACTAGTTCTAGGAGTGTTTGCTGTTTATAGGAAGACTAAAACAAAGAAGACCATCTTTAAACTAAGGGGAAGAATTATTCATAGCACAATGACTTGGGTATCATTGAATTGTGGACATGATTTGGAAGATACCCAATTATTTGCTCACAGGAACAGACAGCATTTAAAAGGTAAAAGACGGCCGGGCGCGGTGGCTCACGCTTGTAATCTCAGCACTTTGGGAGGCCGAGGCGGGCGGATCAGGAGGTCAGGAGATCGAGACCACGGCGAAACCCCGTCTCTACTAAAAATACAAAAAATTAGCCGGGCGCGGTGGCGGGCGCCTGTAGTCCCAGCTACTCGGGAGGCTGAGGCAGGAGAATGGCGTGAACCCAGGAGGCGGAGCTTGCACTGAGCCGAGATTGCACCACTGCACTACAGCCTGGGCGACAGAGCCAGACTCTGTCTCAAAAAAAAAAAAAAAAAGGTAAAAGACTACCTTCCTTTGCAATAAAGTCTAGCCCTAACAGTCACAAATATTTTCATTCTCTCTATCTCTCTCTACAAGCCTGATAAAAATATTCAATATCCAATGGAGGAACAAGAAAGGCATTTTTTCCCTGGGTCAAAAGAAAAGGTCTCTTGTGTCCCCAAGGCTCTGAGCACCAGTCTCCCTGTGGCTCTATCCCCCATGCTGGCCCCCTCTCAAACCCTGTTCTCCCTGGTGTCATGGCCTTTTTCCCAGACTCTATTTCCAGGCCCAGGTGCTTGTTCTTTGGCCATCAAAAATGAGTTGAGCCCCAAAGAGCTGCTTCAGTAATTGGCCTGAGCAGTACACCACCTGTGGCCTGTGTAGATTTTGCTGTCCATCTTGCACCCACCCTCTACTTTTCAGGCCTCTCATTTGGAAGTGATTTCTGAGCCACCCCTTCGTGTGCTCTGGGGCCCAGGAGTTGGAGGGGTGGAGAAGCACCAGCAGCCAGCCATCCCTTTTTCCTTATCCATATGCCACCATCCTGCCTTCTCTCCCTGCCCTGCCTCTGAGTCTCTAGCTGGGCTCCTGCTCAGTCCACGCTGACCTCCCCTGCCAGCCCCACTTCCCTCTCCCACTCCATACTTCATCCTTCCATGTTTATGAGCATTTTCATCTGAAAGGGGGAATTTTTTTTTAAACCTCCTGAGTTGGAAACACGGCCGATTGTAACTATAGTGAGGCATCAATCACGTCGCAATAATTGCACAGCACAGGGTTTCCTGTTAGGGCTGAGCTACCTGCCAGAAAATGGCAGCAATCAGGCTATTGGCAGCAGACAATCAGGCATCATTTGTAATTCTTTATGGCTGCATGTTTCCCGGTCCAGGAATTGGATGCTAATCAATCAGTTGTCATGGCAACCCAGCATCACACAGCTATCAATACAGAAAAAAAAGAACGAGAGAAATTATAAAGGTAGTGAGTGCCACAGTCGCTTGAAGGGTGAGTCAGGTGACCTCACTAGGTGCCAACCCATGAAAAGCAGCACCAAGAAAGAGCCAGAGACCCCAAGAGTAAAACCTCATCACTGGTCCGGGTAAGAGCTATTGTCTTGGCCACAGGGTAATACTAGCAGGTGGGTGATTTGGGGGTCATCTCACCGTTCTTGGACACCAGCTGTGCTCCTGGCTCCTAGGGCCAGGCAATATACAGGCAGTTTGAGGTGGAAAAAAGCCAAGTGATGGAGGAGAGAGAGAGATTGATTAATTATCTAATCAGTGAGCAAATGTTTATGGAGCGCCCACTAGGTGTGAGGAGCTTCGTGAGGCAAATTCTTACCATCTGATCTGGGCCACTCAACATGTAGACAGCAAAAACCAACCTGGACTTTCAGCCACATTTGTTGCACCATATGAACAATTCAGCCTTGAAGTGAACCTGCAGAGGAGGTCAGAACACAAGGAACCACCAGGGTAACCAGCATGGTGCAGGGAATAGTTCAAAACCACATGCCAGGACTGGGCTACACATGCTCACCTGTCCTGTTTTAATAAATTCATACAACTTGGGAGGTATATTTTCTTTCTATTTTACAGCTGAGGAAACTTCAACATAGAATCATTGCCTAAGCTGTCCAATGTCACACAGCTCAGAAGGACTGGGATGAGACTCAACTATTGCTCAGACCTGGTGGTCACCCAGTGCCATGAGGAAGGTTGCAACTCAGTGTAACCCTAGAGAAGTCATTTCAGTTCTCAGGTCCTCAATTTTCTTTTCTGTAAAATGGGGATAAGAACTCTTTTGAAGAGTGGCAATGTTTAAACGAAACAGTGTGTGCTGGGCACGGTAGCTCGTGCCTATAATCCCAGCACTTTGGGAGGCCAAGGCAGGAGGACTGCTTGAGCTCAGGAGTTTGAGACCAGCCTGGGCAACACAGTGAGACCCCATTTCCATGAAAAAATAAAATTAAATTAAAAATTAAAAAAAAATAAAACAGTGTCCACAAATTATCTGAGGAAAGTTCCTGGCACCAAGTGGCTTCTTCCTTCTTTCTTTCTTTTCTCAACTCTGCCAGGGTACCCTAGATCTAGTCTGCACAGTCCTCTTGAGTGGGGTTAAGAATTCGTTCTGAGAAGATTTCTAAGCTTTCCAAATAGCCCACCAGAACTAGCTGAGGATTTGTCAGTTTCCACATCCTTAGTCCCTGGCCCCATATTCCTTCCCTATCTCAACCATTTGGGTGGACTTGAATGAGAAAGGCAAATAGTTCCTCCCCGACATAACCTGCCCAGCCCCCAGCGCCATGCCCATTTTCGCTCCATCAGGGCAATAGCATCGTGATGCTCCTCAGGCAGTTACTGACGAGACACTGTGGCATTATAAAAATGACACTGAAAGCACCATGAATATGAATCTAGTGACAAGCCAATTAATTTACCAAACTGTTCTTGTTAAAGTAATTGCATACTTCAAGCCAAATTACAAACCTAGGTCACAGGGGGTTTGTTTTAAGATCCACAGCTTTCTTGCCAAACCCTTTGAACGTGGGTGCAACATTTCATGGCCTGGGAAGAGGCTTCCATATACAGGAGGTTGTTCTTCCTATAGTAAAAAAAAGGATGGGCCTTGGGTTCTATTCCTATTTCTGCCACTAATTGTTGGTTCTATCATCTTGTACCAGTAATTCCCTCTCTTTGAACTCATCTGTAGGGTAAAGCAACATTTTTGAGACCACTTCCTCAACACGCTACTATATATTCATAAGAGAACACTAGTATACACATATTTTGAGATATAAATAGGCGACGAGGGTATGTATTCAGCAGTGAAATGGTCAAAAACAAGTTGGGAAAGCATCAGGTGAAGCCATGTTTTTCAGGTTTCCTTACTCGGTGAATTCCAGGAAACTTTAATAGGCCATTGTAAGGCGGAATCTAAAATGCAGTGGTTTCCATGTTTGCTTGACCTCTGAATCTGTTTTGTTGTCACCAAGTGTCTCTAAAGGCTCATGTTCCAAGGATCAAACTTTAGAAACCACCGAATTAAAGGCTTTCTGAAGAAGCGCTGTTTGCAGCAGCAACAAGCTAGAAATAATCTGGGTGTCCACTGCTTGTTGAAACCAAAATCCTCTCCCCTCCAGGAATACTGGATGGCCTTATAAAGAACAGGGCAGACCTAAGGTAGGAGGCGGAGACTCAACTCTGGAGGCAGGACTCAAACTTGGGGCCGGATTTAAGACTAGCTAAAATAAGGAAACGGGAAAAGCACCTCTCCATAAGACACGCCCACCAGCGCCATGTCAGTTAACCTTTGCCATGGTGAGACCTAGAAGTTCTTGCCCCTTTCCATGGCAACAACCTGGAAGTAACACCCTTTTTCTAAAAAATTTTGAATAATCCACCCCTTAATTTGCATGTGATTAAAAATGAGTATTAGTATGACTGCAGAACTGACCCTGAGCTACTACTGTGGGCACACTGCCAATGGGGTAACCCTGCTCCACAAAGAACAGTATGTCTGCTTCTGCTGTTCACTGCCACTTCAAGAAAAGTTGCTGTCTAACACCACGGGCTTTCCCTGGGTGAAGCCAAAAACTCTCCTGGGCTAAGTCCCAGTTTTGGGGCTCACCTGCCCTGCAACAGATCCATAAGCACTAGTGTGGAAAATCTCCAACTTGTATCATTAAACGCAGAAAGCAAGATGCAAATTTTACAAAATGTCTACATCTGTGTATGTGTGTGTGCTTAAGTGCAGGTGGAAGGAGTTGATACAGAGATCGTATGAATGCAAGATTTTGCACAGAAAATTTCTCAGGAGATACATAAGAAACTCATTACAGGGGATTCCTTAGGAAGGGGCACTGAAGGTGAGGTTAAAGGACATTTTTGCTTTTCATTTTATACCACTAAATACCATTGGAATTTATTTTTACCAGGTCATGTACTGGTTTTATAATTTAAAAAGAAAGGTTAAATTTTTTAAAGGTCTCTAGAAATGCTTTTAACTCAAGTTCTATAATTTGATGATTTCTTGAACCCCAGATTAAGGCAAAATTAAGCCTATTTTCTTGATTTTAAAAAATGGTCAAAACGTCACACCCTGAGGTCCCTCGGAGTACCGACTCATGTATTTTTCCATCAAGCCACCACATGCAGAGTTTCAAGAATACACACCCTGAGGAGGAAACGGTCCATCTCCCTGGGGGCCCACACTTATGGGCTAGATCTATGTCTCACAAAGGCCGTAAAATCCAGCCGCAAGAATGAAGATGAAACTTTGAGTCTCATTGTAGGCAAACATTAACAGGCAAACCACGACTAAGCACAGACTCTCAGAATCCAAAAACATCTGAGCTGGAAAGAACCTGAGAGTTTAGCTAATCCATCTGCCTCATTCTACGGGGGAGAAATATGAGACTGAGACCCAGAGGGTTGAAATGGAAGACCAAACAACCAATCCCAAATCTGGGACTCTTGATTCCAGATCCAGGAGCATTTCTACCATGCAATTCCGTCTTTTTAAAACAGTGGAGGCCAGGCACGGTGGCTCACGCCTGTAATCCCAGCACTTTGGGAGGTCGAGGCCGGTGGATCACCTGAAGTCAGAAGTTCGTCCACAGCCTGACCTACACGGAGAAACCCCGTCTCTACTAAAAATACCAAAAAAAAAAAAAAAATTAGCCGGGCGTGGTGGTGCATGCCTGTAATCCCAGCTACTTGGGAGGCTAAGGCAGGAGAATCGCTTGAACCCGGGAGGCACAGGTTGCAGTGAGCCGAGATGGCGCCATTGTGATCTTGTTGCCTGGGCAACAAGAGCGAAACTCCGTCTCAAAAAAAAAAAAAAAAAAACAGTGGCGGTTACCTCCTTTTACCAGCCAGCTGGAGATAAAATGATATTCTTAGCTCCAAGAATGGCCAAAGCAAGACCCAGTGAGCTGAGGAAACAAAGCCTAACCAGGAGAAGAGATAGCCAAAGATGGGGAGAAAAGCCAACTTGCTTTTCTATTTTTGTTTTTTGTAGAGATGGGGTCTCGCTCTGTCTCCCAGGCTGGAGTGCAGTGGTGCCATCATAGCTCACTGCAGCCTCAACCTCCTGGCCTGGGATCAAGCGATCCTCCTGCCTCAGCCTCCCAAGTAACTAGAACTACAGGTATACACCACAATGCCCAGCTAAATTTTTTTTAAATAAAGATGGGGTCTTTGTTTATTACCCAGGCTGGTCTTGACTTCCTGGTGATCTTCTTCCCTCGACCTCCCAAAGTGCTAGGATTACAGACTTGAGCCACCATACCCAGACAAGAAGACCAATCTGTTTAACTAACTTAGCTAATGCTCAAATTGATAAAAGTCTTAGGGAGAGGGTACCAAAGGAGAGTACATGGATACAAATCAAAGAGCGAGACAAATTTATACCAACTGATGAAAGAAATTGGTGAGCGCTGTTTTGCTGGTTGCCTTTTGTACCTACTCTGCATAACGGGAGGAACCCCCTTCCCAGCTGGCACCCAGGTTATAAACGTAATTATAATTGGGAAGCACAAGGATCAGTCACATACAAGAAGAATGAGCTTTTCCACATAAGTAAATAGCCCAAAGGATGCAGGCTGTTTTCCCAATGGTAGAACTTCTATGTATTTTCACAATTTTTATGGAAGTCTTTATTAAAAGCATTATATGCTTCCCCACATTATTAAACAGAATGTGCTGCACACCCGTTAACCTTTTTCCTCAGGTTTTTTGTTTGTTTGTTTGTTTGCACATTGAGGAAGTAAGTTGCCTTCCTGAGTTTTTGTACAGAGGGGCCCTTGAAACCGTTGAGACCTAAGGAACTCCTGCTCCTTTGTTTTCTGTTTCTTACATCTGTGTATAAGTTTTACAAAGCGCTATTAACATCTAAAAGAATCCATTATTCTTTTTTTAGTACACAAGTAGTTGTTTTTGCCACAAGTAAGTTTGTTGCTTTTGTATCAAACAAATAAAAGAAGAAGCAGGGAAAAATGAGAAAATAGCACCCTGGCACTTGCTTCTCATTTGATAGGAGCCCAGAAGTATTGGGGGATTGTGATTATTCCCATTTTACAGATGAAAAAACTGAGTCCCAGAGAGGTTTAATGGACCTGACCAAGGCCTCCAAGGGAGTGAGGGACAGAATAAGAATGTAAACCTGGATGGTCTGATTCCTGGGCCCCCACACCCTCCACCAGCAATGCGAGCCCCTGGCAAGTGCTGCCTCCCCTGAGCACTGAGCTCACTATGTTCTTCACCAAAAGCCAGTCTGTCTCTCCCATCCTCGCCCCATGGTCATTATACCTGTTCCTAGAAACCTCTGCTCCCTTCTTTTGTTTGTTTGTTTGGTTGGTTGCTTGGTTAGTTGGTTGGTTGGTTGGTTGGTTGGTTGGTTGCTTAGTTGGTTGCTTTTGCTTTTGAAACAGGGGCTCACTCTATCACCCAGGCTGGAGTGCAGTGGCCTGATCACGACTCACTGCAACCTTGACCTCCCTAGCTCAGGTGTCCTTCCACCTCAGCCTCCCAGGGAGCTGGGACCACAGGCATGCACCATCACACCTGGCTAATTTTTAAAACTTTTATAGAGTAAGGGTTTCATCATGTTGCCCAGGCTGGTCTCGGAGTCCTGGGCTCAAGTGATCCACCTGCCTCAGCCTCCCAAAGTGCTGGGATTACAGGCATGAGCCACCGCACCAGGGGCTCTGCTCTCTTCTAATCTGCTGCTTTCTGCTGTTTCTAAGCATTATGGTCTGGAAGGCCAAACATAAGATCTCTGTGAAGCATGCTACAGAAGAGGAAACAAGTGTCCCTCAGATGAAGCATGAGTGCCTCAGCCCACGGTCACCCGGAGATACTGCCTCCTCAAAAGCCACTTCCCTTCCTTTCTCATTCCCACAGGCGTCCCAAGCAATTGATACACATACATCTGCACATCTGCAGCTAGCGTACGCACAAACAAGACCAACTGAGAGTGTATTCCTGCTGTGAAGATCTTGGCCAGTGTAAGAGTGAAGAAAGAAAGAAGTGGAGCGAGAAGATGAGATTGGGAGGCACTTTAGTTTCCAAGATTAAGCCCAAAGAGCAGTGGTGACTTTAATGAAGGCATGAGCAGGCAGCATGGAGGGGTGCATTGAACTCTGGTGTTTCCCCTATATCTTCATCAGACTCCTAGGCTACCCCTAGCCAAGACGTAATGCAAGCACAAACAGTGGGCTTGCTATAAAACATGACTTTCTAGAAGGCCTTTAGTTAGCCTTTCAAAATACTGCCACCCCTAAGCCTCTCTTATATAAAAATTCTGGAATCACAAGCATTGACATTTCCCAGTCAGTCACTGGCTTTCCAGCCATTCTTGGATAGGGTCCTCCCCAATGACAAGTCAAGATACCATGACAGACTGGGCACAGTGGCGCACGCTTGTAATCCCAGCACTTTCGGAGGCCGAGGCTGGAGAATTGCTAGAGCTCAGGACTTTGACACCAGCCTGGGCAACATAGTAAACCTTGTCTTTACTAAAATTAGCCAGACATGGTGACTCAGGCCTGTAGTCCCAGCTACTTGGAGGAGACTGAGGCAGGAGGATGGCTTGAGCCCAGGAAGTGAAGGCTGCAGTGAGCCTTCACTCCAGCCTGGGTGACAGGGCAAGACCCTGTCCCAAAAAAAAAAAAATGATACCATGACAGATTAAAGGATCAAAGATGTCCAGAGGCTTCCCAATGATGAAGGGAGACCATTTCCCATCTTGCCCCCAGGCTGCCAGCCCTCTGAGGCCAGTTCTCCAGGGAAATCACATCAGAACCTATGGAGGCCAATCCAATCCTGCTTTGTGGCCCAAGTCGCAGACATCAGTCCACACCAGCATGGGCACGCAGACTCCCGCCTGCCCTTCAGCTCAGGGCCCAGTGCCTGTGAGAACCAGGAGACCGTGCGGCCCGGAGGTGGCTGTCTCCAGGCTGCGGCTCTCGGCTGCCACGCGACTATTCACAAGGGGTAGGTAGCTAAGAGGAGAATGCCTGTGTGCTGTTCAGTTAAAAGAATAAAACGACCCATAAGGCTGGTAATAACCATCCCTGTGAAGAGGTATGAGCGACACTAAAGCCGTCACGCTAGGAAGAAGGAAGGATTGCTGTTATCTTCTCGTGCTCTCCCCACTGGCAGGAACCTCAGACATGCGTGGTCATTCACTCTGGGCTCAGCTGCAGCTGGTCAGAGAAAGAATGGAGCTGACAGAGATGGATTTATTTCAGTTCAGTCAAGCACGCTGGGTGCCCACAATGTGCCCAGCCCTGTCTCAGACAATGTAGCAAACTGGCCCCCAAGCCAATGTGCTTCAGAACTACCCAAGGAACTGTTATACAAAGACAGACCCTAGGGTTCCACTTCTGCATATCCAGAATCAGAAATCTGTGATTTTTTTTTTTTAACTCCCCAGGTGATTCTGTTGCAGCTTGTCTGGGGCCTGGCATTTGGAAACCACCGCGGTGAGGAATGTAATAAAAGCATAAAATACAGTTTGTCCTTAAGGAGCTTACCATACAAGCAAAGAGATAAGCCTCATTCAAATGAAGCAAATTTAATTATTTCCTCATCTGTGTTCGAATAGTGCTTTTATACCTTTCTCTATCATAGCTTTTGTCACCTTGGTTTGGAAATGTTTATTAGTCTCTCTCCTTTACAAGCATTCTGTGAACTATTTGAAGGTAGGGGCTATGTTTATTCATCTTGGATACATTCAGTCACGTGGTCTTTTTACCATTCATGCATTCTTTTATTTAAACAAATATTGAGTCCACCAGACACTGTTCTGGGCTCTGGCAGTGTGGCAGAAAGCAAAAGTGACCACCCTCTCACTTTCCTAGAACTTACATTCTAGTGAAGGGAGGAGGATGGGGAGAAACAAAATAAATGAATAAGACAAGTGCCATAAAGAAAATAAAACAAGGTAATGAGAAAGAGATTGACAAGGAGGCCAATATTTGATAGCATGGTCATAGGAGACTTCTCTAAGTTGGTGACTTTTGAGCTAAATCCCAAAATGATAACATACAGTTTATGGCATAAACAACTGGAAAGAGAATCCCTGGCAGAGACACCAAGTGCAGAGGCTCAAAGGTTGCAACCAACTTTGGTTCAGGCTGAAGCAAAGGAGAGAAGGCCAGGGAGGTGGAACTTAGTGACTGACAGGGAGAGAAACAGGAGACGGGGCCAGAAAGGTGGGCAGAGGCTAAGTGACATGCACCCTCATAAGCCATGGGTAAGGATGGTTCTATTTTATTTTCTAGTTCTATTTCTATTTGATTCCAATTGCAATAGGACAAACACCACTGGAGAATTTTAACCAAGGTGATTAACCAACATGATCTGATTTCCTCCCTTCAAGAATCCCTGTCTATGGAGAATGCATTACATTGGGGCAATAGTGGAAGTGAGGTGATTTCAAAATCTGGACTGGAGATGCTGGGCAAGGCAGAAGAAGTGGAGAAAAGGCCAGGCACAGCACATATCTTGGAAGCATCTCTCAGCCCGATTGACAGATTGATCCTGGAGAGACAGAAAGTCATCAGGGATGACTCCTAGATTGGTGAATAAGCCCAACCCTGAAACATAATAATAAGCACTCAATGAATGATTACTGAACAATTGGATAAATGAGTATAAAACAATTCAACATCAGCATCTCAAACATAATTACATTCCAATGTGTCTGGTGCAGACAAAAGTGCTCTGGGTCATGAAGAAAGATGTCAGTGTGGATTCAAATTGCCTGGAGGCAGGATTTGAATTCTGACTCAGAAGTTAAGTAGCACTGGGTTACAGAAGCAGACAGGAAGGGGCATTCTAAACCAGAACATAAAAATGAGCCTGGTATGGCTTTGTGTGTGGTTTTTTGTTTATTTGCTTGCTTTCTTGTTTGCTTTCATCTTTTTGGCTCTAGGTGGTTTTTTTTTTTCAGGGATGGGAGCTTCAGGAGAAGGGTTGAGACAACGGCACTGGCAAAGCAGAGCATAGAGATGCACTTGGATGATTATGAAAACCGGAGAAGAATATGAAGTGCCTCGAAAGCCAGGCAGCAGTTTGGATTCACAAAGCAATAGACATCCATCACAGGCCCTTGTCTAGGGAAGCAGCACACCGTGGGTGATTTACGTCCTGAATTTGGAATGGTCTGGGGCTGGAGGTGGGAGCCGCAACACAGAGAGACAACAGATCAGATAGAATTACAGTAATCCAGACACTAGGTTCATCGAACTACCCTCCCTGAAGCAAACCTACAATGCCACAAGCCTGGGCTCTGACTAGGAAGAAATATCATTGTGCCAGAGGCTCTCACAGCTGGCCAGAGGGGACAGGGCTGGAGAACGGGTTGGGAGGCGGGATGTGGGAAGAAGCAAGTAGCTCTGAGCCAACCAAGCAGCCCTTACTAAGGCTTGGAGAGGACACCTAAGATTCATCAGTTACAGGTGGGTGCCCTGGAGCAATCTGTGTAATTTCTGTCTCTTTCAAACAGATTCCAAATCAAAGCAGAATTCCTGGTCCTTCCCAAGGCATTTGCAGCTGCAGTGAGGGGGTCACATCTAGGGGAGCATCGTATCCTCCCTGGCAATCAGGGACTTAAGGACCAGCCATGACCTAACCCCAACCTGGCAGCCCTTGCAGGGAGTGAGAGAGGTGCTCCGTAGAGGATGGAAGCAGAGGTCCTTTTTCCTGCCCATATTCGAGATGCTGCTAGAACCTGGCCTTTTCCCAGGTTCTCTCCCTCTGTCTGTCTGTCTGTCTGTCTGTCTCTCTCTCTCTCTCTCTCTCTCTCTATATATATATATATAATATATGTAAAGTATATATATAAAGAGTATATATAATATATATAATAAATATATATATAAATATATATATATATATATATGGGAAAAGCCTAGGTTCTAGTAGCACCTCAACTATGAGGGAAAATATATATATGTGTGTGTGTGTGTGTATATATGATATAAGTCTCTCACACAAATCTGCGAGTTTCAGGGACCCCATCCCCACCTCCAAGTCACCAGCAGGTCAGTAAACGACCATCTGTCATTTGGAAGCTGGAGGCAACAGAAAGGGGCAATGGATGATGGAGTCAGGGCTCCAGAATGAAAGGGAATTGATGGAGTGACAGAGAATGGCAGCAGCAGCCTCTGGTGGACACTCGCTGTCTTACAGCCGGAAGCTTCAGGCTGCTCCAGCCCTGGAAATGAGGATGCCGGCCCCACAGCCAGGAGACAGCAATGCAAGCTAAATCTGCAAGGAGGCTGGGATGGTTCTAAAAGGCAGCCATTTAGAACTCATCAGAAATGATTCACAGACGGGCTGCACCAGGGCCGCTTGGCTCGATCAAGGAGCAGTGGGTCTTTCCTGAGGTGCACACACAGATGACAGCTTCTGCCCCGCTAATTTTTATTCTGAAGTATAACAAGAAGTATCAAGGATGCAGTCCATTGACAAAAAAAGGGACCTAGCATGTTCCTTCTTACTTCAGGCTCCTTCACTGTATTGTCCTTCACCCCAAGAACGCCACATGTACACCTGCACAGACAGACACACCAGTCAGTCAACAGATATTAATTGGGCATCTACTGTGCCTCTGGCATGATGCTAAGACCTAGGGACATAGATGACTATGACAGGGTCCCTGACCTCCAGGGGAAGATCAAGCCCTGTAGAGTTGGGTCCATTAGAGAAGTTTTCCCAAGGTCAACATATTGGAGTTGTATCTTGAATGAGGGGTTTTTCCCAATCAAATAACAATGATGAAATTCCAGGAAGAAGAAATAGCATGTAAAGGGGCAGGACATCCTGAAAGAGTCTAGGGAAAGGTCCAGGATGCTCAGAGGTTCTGTATGGCCAGCAGCAATGGCAGAGAAGATGAAAATGGCCTGGTCAGTTGGGAACAGATTATAAAAGGCCTCTGCTAAGGAGGCTGAGCTGCAGAGAGAGAGATTAAATCAACAGTTCATTGGAAACAAATAGATGTTGACATCTGGTGACTGAGGACCCAGGAATGCCTAATCTTACCCAGCAAATCATTTGTGCTCTCCATGAGGTCTTCAAGAGAGCATGTACACACCAATGGCATGACTGTCAGTTTTGCAAGCCCTGTAGACTCCAAATCAGGAACATGTGGCTTAGAATTGAAGACCCATGTGGGATCTTTTGTTCTCTCTGCTCCCAAACCTAAATTAAGAGAAAGAAGGGCATCGTGTGATCATCAGGACCTGTCTTCACACTCCTACCCTACCCCTTCCATGGAAAGAGCTGTGGCCAGACTGCCCTCTTGAGACAGGAGGAAGAAGAGCACCAAACCCAGATGCCAAGGACCAATTAAGTGCCATGACTGTGGAAATTCCACATTGCAGTAGTTTAAAACTGCACTCCAGTTTCTCCCTGTGACCTGTCTCAACCAGTGAGGTCTCTGAGAGAACCATAGATCTCATCAGGGTTCTTTCTTCATCATGGGAGCCTGGGCTACCTTTCACTTTTCCCAGTTTTCAAAAAGTGTACATACAAGATGCACGGTAATATGACTGCACTCTCCCACAACCCAACACAGCTTCAAAATTTAGAAGACAAAACTGAAGCATTAGCTTTTCCCAAGCAAAAGCTAATTCCCACTTTGTCCGTCAGTCATGAAATATAGCCATGTGGTAAATATCTAGGGAAAAAGGAAAAGTGAGTTGGGAGAAACTTGCTATTGAGCTGACCAGGCCACCATATGCAAATTTTATAGAAACTCCAGGCTTTAATAGGACTGCTCGGTCTAAGGCAGATGGCAGAAGAGGCCCTCCAGAAAAGTGACCTTCAGCACAGTGACCAGACCCACTAGCATGTGGACATAGGGCAGTGGGGTGGCTGTGAATGAATGCTGGTATATTAGACTAGCAATTTCCAGGATCATCTCCAGGGGCCAAATGAGAACACTTCCCTTGAGCCTTTTAGTGCTGGAACATTGATTAAGCTTCACTTTCCCAATTGCAGTTCAAACATTTTCTTCTATCACCAAGCTTCTCACTGAAGCAAGGCCTGACTTTCCCAAATAATGATGTAACAAATCAAATAGCACTTCTCCTGAAATCTCCCTCAATTCTTCCAGCTGTAAACAGCCTCTCCACACTTAGCACTTCTCTAATCCTTCTCTGTGCCTTTCTTGTAATTGCATATATGTGTAATTTCTCTCCTCTTAGAAGATTATAAACTCCTTGAAGACAGAAGCAAAGAGCAACTAAAATTGGAATTCTTTTTCTTCTTTATATGGGAAGGAGAAACTCCATGGAGCTCTGTTTTGAACTCCAGGGGTAGGTTCATAGCTCCCACAACTCTCAGCGTAACCCCAGCTAACCTTGGGGATGAGACACAAATGGCAAAGCCAGGCAGGCACACAGGCAGAGTAGGAAGTGGCTTGGGTGGTATTCTTTGGGGAATGCAAGGAATTTTCCTACTGTGCTCCCAAACCTCCCACCCTCAAAACACAGCACAATATCTGAAATTCCATCATTATTAATACATTCCTTTCAGTCTTTGAGATTTCTCTCCTGTATTAGTCCATTTTCACCCTGCTATAAGGATCTTCCCTGAGACGGAGTAATTTTTAAAGGAAAGCAGTTTAATTGACTCACAGTTCTGCATGGCTGGGAGGCCTCAGGAAACTTACAATCATGGCAGAAGGAGAAACAGGCACCTTCTTCACAAGGTGGCAGGAGGGAGAAGAACGAAGGAGGAACTTCCAAACACTTGTAAAACCATCGTATCTCATGAGAACTCATTCACTATCATGAGAACAGCATGGGGGAAACTGCCCCCATGATCCAATCACCTCCTTCCCTCCACATGTGGGGATTACAGGTCCCTCGGTCAAGAGGTGGGAATTACAATTCAAGATGAGATTTGGGTGGGGACACAAAACCAAACCATATCATCTCTTTTGCAGTTCCCTCTTGAATAAGCACTAATTATCCCATAAAAGGAGAATATCTTAAGCCATAGCCATGCAATGGCTTGGCACGGGATTCCTCAGCCCCAGTGATAAGTAAAGTTTTACAGGACTATGAGAATGCCAGCCTGAAGGTAGGTATTCGAACATGTAAAAATCCCTAAGGATAAGGTTTGTTGTTTGGTTTTAATCTACTCTTATAACCTCAACACCCATTAATGTGCCTGGAACATAGAAGTTGCTCAATAAATGTTTGCCAAAAAATGAATGACTGAGTGAACGATGAAGGAAAAGTCCAGAAGACAGTGATATTCCCCTGGGAAAGGTCAAAAGCCAGAAAAAAATTCCCTGGGGTTAGAATTTGTTCCTTTTTTTAAGAGACAAGGTCTTGCTCTGTTGCCTAAGCTGGAGTGCAGTGGTACAATCATAGTTCACTGCAGCCTCACACTCCTGGGCTCAAGCAATCCTCCCACCTCAGCCTCCCAAGTAGCTAGGGACTACAGGCATGCACCACCATGCCTGTCTATTTGTTTTTATTTTTTTTGTAGAGATGAGGGGGGCTTGTCTTACTTTGTTAACCAGGCTAGTCTTGAACTCCTGGCCTCAAGTGATTCTCCTACCTTGGCCTCCCAAAATGCTGAGATTACAGGTGTGAGCCACTGCACCCAGCCCTTTACTCTTCTTGTCTGACCTCCACAGTGTCTTTGACTGCATAACAAATACTCAGTAAATTTACCCAAACTGATATATCTGTAAACCAAAAAAGTATCTGAAATAGGTCTCAAACAATTTAAAAGTTTATTTTGCCATGACTATGAATCATGACCAGTGACACAGCCTCAGGAAGTCCTGAGAACATGTCCCCAAGGCAGTTAGGCTACAGCTTGGTTTTATATGTCCTCAGGAGACATAAGACATCAATCAATACACTTGTTCTGTCAGGAAAGACAAGACAACTGAAAGGATTGGGGAACTTACAGGCCATAGGTGGATTCAAAGATTTTCTGATTGCAACTGGTTGAAAGAGTTAAGTTATTGTCTAAAGACCTTGAGCCAATTGAAAGAAGTGTCTGCGTTAAGGTAAGAGGTTGTGGAGACCAAGGTTCCTATTATGTAGATGAATTCTCATAAGTGGCATCCCTAGAGGCAATAGGTGGCAAATATTTCCTTTTCAGAACTTTAAAATGTGCTAAACTCTCAGTCAATCTCTTCAGAATCAGAAAAAGACCTGGAAAGTAAGGGAATTTGCTTTATAATGTAAATTTTCCCCACAAGAGACAGCTTTGCAGGGCCATTTCAAATTATGTCAAATAAATATATTTTGGAATAAATACTTTGGTTTCTTTCACTTTGGAATAAATACTTTGTTTCTTCGGCCTTGTTATCTGTCATATGATGTTATACTAGAGTCAGGTTGGAATTTGGGATCTTGTTGCTACAAAGAGTCTGTTCCATCAGTTGTAGGATCTCTGTTTTAAAATTAATGCTGGTCAGTTGTGTCTAAACTCCAAAAGGGAGAGGATATAATGAAGCATGTCTGACCGCCAAGCCTCCTGGTCCCATCATGGCCTGAACTAGTTTTTCAGGTTTATTGGGGTCCCCTTGGCTGAGAGGAGAGTCCATTCCATCGGTTGCGGAGGCTTAGAATTTTATTTTCGGTCCACATATCCTCGTTCTTAACAGCTTTGCTGGATGACTCTGTGGCTCGGCCCAGGAGTAGCCCTCCCTCGCTGTCAAAAATCAGTCTCACCACCAGGGGGCAATGCAGACCAAAGACCAGGGTTTTCTTGTACAAACCTCTTATGCCTAACAGCAGGGGGCCCCCAAATGCCATTTGCACCACCAAAGGCAGCATTCCCTCTGCATATTTGTTAACATCAAAATCTCATTTAAGCATCTTTGCTTCTTGGAGTTACATCTGAGGTAATAGTTAAAAAGCCATCCCAAAATCAATAAAAACAGTGGCCTATATTTGGGAAAAAATATGTATAATAATAACTTCTGCTGTTGGTACTGCATTCACCGTTAGAAAAATTCCCTATTGTATTTGTCTAAGCAACTAAAGTATGATCCCTGAGGAGCCTGAAGCATCCCACAGATGATTCATATTTAATTGATAATTAATATGCAGTGAGTGCTGCATAATATCTATGAAATGCACATGAGTCTCTTCTCAGGAACAACTAGCACTAGACTAAAATCTCGTATTTGGAATCCAAATGGTTAGGATTTTAGCTAAGCCCTTCATTGTTCAGTTGTAAAAACAAAACAAAAGCAAAAACAAACAAAAAAAAACTGGTCCAAAATGGGAAAGAGACATGCCCAAGCTAAGGAAGGAAGCAAAAAGGGAATATGTAATATCTGTTGATTCAGGCACTGTATCTCATTAAGCACATATGGAACTGAACTTATTCCATCTCTACCAGGCTATAATTAGCACCCATTTTCTCACATGAGGAAGTAGACTTAGGAAATTACAACACTCTTTGCTTTATTTCACTAGTGCTTTCATTCAACATTGATTGAGCTCTAATTTGGCGCCAGCCACTATGCTGAGCTGTAGGGATAGGGAGACTGTATGACCTCAGGTAAATGGGGCAGAGGCACACAGACATTACAACGACTGAGTATAGTGAGCATTATTCTATAGCCTCAGTTCTCCCTTAAGCCATAGCTTGATATTGTACTGCATTTTGCTGCCTTGACTGTATCATCACCTCCCTCCTTCCCAGGGCAGGTTCTGTGTTGTATCCTCTTTGCTTCTCCAGTGTTTAATATCTTGTACTCCAATAATGACTGGTTGACCAAATGGATGGAAGGAAGAAAGGAAGGGTGGGTGGATGGATGAATGGATGGATGGATGGATGGATGGATGGATGGATGGATGGATGGTGGATGGACAAATGAATGGATCAATGAATAAATGAACAGATGAATGAAGTCTGGCCACTGTGGGTCAAAAAGGGAAAGAAGTGAGACATTGAAAGACTTTCTTCATTACTATATTCTTATTATCTGTGCAGATATTTGATCTGCTTAGCATGTTGTGAACCCCTTGAACTTTCCTGTATTTTTCTACTGCTGGCACATGTTAGGCAGCTTCTAGGTGCTTAGTAAAAGCTTGTGGAATGAGTGGTATTTTTCCATGTTTAACTTCATTCTCTCTCGTTTCTTTGATAAGTTTTAGGGTGGGGGGTGAGGTTCTTCGGTCTTTCATGCAAAGAGGAAGACTAAGCCACAGAAAGGTGAAGTGTCTGGGGGTCTAAATCATCTAGAACTCTGGGATTCGGAGACCCCAGACCCTGGGGCAAATCCTTGAGAGAGCCTGTGGCCTTTACAAGAAGTACCTGGAGGTCCCAGCCCTGAGGAGGGAGGAGGAGAGCCTCCCAGCTGTGTCTGGAGGAAGGCCCCAGGCCTGAACCTTTCAGCTAGAGGTGTCCATGCCCCCAGTGGCCAAAGGGGATTGTGGGAGCTGGGGCTGGCTGCTCTGGAAGAGAGCAGGGAGAAGGAGGCAGGAACAATGGCTGGAGTCCTTTCAATAGAGGAGCCGGGAGGAGGTTGGTGGAACAGCAGGTGCAACTCCAACCCAGACAGCTCAGAGCACTCTGCCCTCGTTACTGCCCCAGCCCTGTGGGGTTAGTGAGGGGCCGCCTGAAACTTGAGGCCCAGGGTGGGGCCTCCAGAGGCCAAAGACAAACCCTGGGTGTCTGTAGTGCTGCATTTTACCCAGGTTTTGAAAGGAGTACGCTTAGTTTGAGGAGGCCTGCCCTTCTCTGTGCCTCTGTTTTCTAATCATTGCAGTGGCGTTATGGAGAAGAATGAGTGAGTCACTGCTAGAAAACACCTGACAGAGGCCAGGTACATATTAGGTGGTCATTAAATACTTTCCCCTCCCTCCCTCTTCACTGTTTCCTGATGTGGCACCTTAGTTTCCTCATGAGTGAAATAGGAATGACAGTCCCCACACCAGCTTTGTCTTAGGGATCTTATGAAAAATGATAATAAGATAGATGTAAAAGCACTATAAAGTCTATAGGTAAAATGTGAAAGCGAGGTCAAACGAACGCATGAGGGCCCCAGGATAGAACACGCCAAGGCAAGCAAATCTCTAAGGTAAAAATCTGGGGGAGAAAAACCTCCTTCAGTTTCATCCAATTTGGCCTGTCCACAATGGCCTCTTTACTCGCTGCTGCCAAACCCTCTCACTATTCCCTCCAGGTGTTAGGAAGGCTCCTCCTGCCGCCGACTCCTCCTCCTCCTCCTCCTTTCTCTCCTCCTCTTTTTCCCCCTCCTCCTCCTCCTTCTCTTCCTCCTCCTCCTGCTCCTTTTCCATCTCCTCCTCTTCCTCCTCCTTTCCCTCCTCCTCCTTTCCCTTCTCCTCCTTTCCCTCCTCCTCCTTTTCTTCCTCCTCCTTTCTCTCCTCCTCTTCTTCCTCCTCCTCTTCTTCCTCCTCCTCTTCTTTCCCCTCCTCCTCTTTCCCCTCCACCATTTCCTCCTCCTCCTCCTTCTCCTTTTCTTCCTTCTCCTCCCCTTCCTTCCCTTCCTTCTTCTCCTCCTCCTCCTCTTCCCCCTCCTCCTTCCCCACTTCCCCTCCTCCTCTTCCTCTTCCTTCTCATCCTCCTTTTCCTCTTCCTCTTTCATCTCCTCCTCCTACATCCCCACTGCTCTCATTCCAGTGTTCACCAGCACAGGCATGTTGCTGCCACCTGTCCTTGGGAGAGGACTCAGATTGCTGTCACTGCCACTGGACAGAGGGCGGGAAGAACAAGCCCATTGGCCCCCTAGCGTCCTGTAAACATGCCCAGAATAGAACCCGCTCAAATGGCAGCTGTTTCATGAAGCTATCCTAGAAAAGCTCACTTGGCTGAGCCAACTCCTCCCTGTGGATGATGGGAAAGTGGAAAGAGGCTAGACTTGAAGGCTGGACTTGAAGGTGGGAAGGGGGAGCTGAAGGCCAGGTCTACATCTGAATCTAGAATGCTGTGTGACCTTGAATAAGTTCCCGAACGCCCTCGACTACAATTTTTTCTCACATCCAAGGTGATGCTTGGTTTTAAGGGTTAAATAAAACAATTAGGGCGTGGTGGCCTGTGCCTGTGGTCCTAGCTACTTGGGAGGCTGAGGTGGGAGGATCACTTGAATCCAGAAGGTCGAAGTTGCAGTGAGCTATGATTGCACCACTGCGCTTCAGCCTGGGCAATGGAGTGAGACCCTGTCACAAAAAAAAAAAAAAAAAAAAAAAAAAAAAGATCTATCTATCCACCTATCTATATCTATATATACATGTCCAGATCTATAAATATATAGGTATAGACTATATGTAGATATAAGTTATAGACAAAGAAATAGAGAGACAAGGAGCACGAGAACAATCCCTCCTGCCCCTGTGGGCATGCCTTTGAACATGACTTTTTTTGGCTGCACCCATCAAGTAATGGAGTTTATTTACCCTTTCCTTGAATCTTGACTGGCCCTGGGACTTGCTTTCACAACCAGAAATGACAACTAGAATGTGGCAGAAGTGGCATTGTGTGTCTTCCTAGTCCAGGTCTCAACAGGACCTGCAGCTTCCACTCTTCTTCTCTTAAATCAGAACTCTTCCACTGCTGTGTGATGAAGCCTGGGCTGGCCTTCTTGAGGATGGGAGATCTTGAGGGGGAGAGGCAGGGAAAACAGTCAACACCAAGCACCAGATGCATCCATGAGGCCACCTTAGACCAAGGGGCCCAGCTGAGCCACGCCAGGAATACACCCATGTTAGTGACCTCTGGAGAAAGTATCCCCCATGGCACCATCTGCTCACCTTCTATTTCCTGCAGGGATCTTTGTCCAAAGCTGAGCCCTGCTCAGAGTGTGGAACTGCAGACTTGTGAGAAAATAAAATAGTTGTTGTTTTAAGCTACCGAGCTTTGGGGATGGTTGGTACAAAGAAAAGATTATCATACGTGCATAGGTATATTTGTGTGTTGTGTGTATGTGTGTGTGCGTAATTGAATATGTGCATATTAGCATCAGGATTAATGAAGTGAACAATTGAATTAGTGAATGAGTTCAAAGCTTTAATATACTCGACTTTTAGACTTTTGCTTCCTGAGCCATTTGGCACAGAATTTGTTTTGTGAAGTTGACTTTATTCTTTCTTTTCCCTCAACAAAAGAGAAAACTAAGAAGGATCTGAAAGAAACTCACATAGTGCTTAGCAATATCAAGGGTGTAGAGGAAGGCCCACTCTGCCAGTTTTTCTTGGATGCACCAAAATAAAAGTAAATAATCAGAGTTGTTGACAAGAATGTCTTAACTTGACCAGGAGTAGTGGCTCACGCCTGTAATCCCACTATTTTGGGAGGCTGAGGCAAGAGGATCACTTGAGGCCAGAATCTTGAGACCAGCCCTGGCAACATAGTGAGACTCCATCTCTACAAAAATAGAAAAATTAGCTGGGCATGGTAGTGCAAGCCTGTAGTCCCAACTACTCGGAAGACTGAGGTGGGAGGATCACTTGAGCCTGGCAGGTTGCGGCTGCAGTGAGCTATGACCACACCACTGCATTCCAGCCTGGTTGACTACAGAATGAGACCCTATCTCAAAAATATGTATATGTGTATATATATATATATATATATTTTA
This sequence comes from Homo sapiens, assembly GCF_000001405.40. Taxonomy (NCBI): domain Eukaryota; kingdom Metazoa; phylum Chordata; class Mammalia; order Primates; family Hominidae; genus Homo; species Homo sapiens. The sequence continues at coordinate 20,371,547 of NC_000008.11, read as the reverse complement.
ACTCTTTTGACTATGGATGGTGAGTGCCTGTGGGGCAGAAAATCAGACTCAGAGAAGGGAGATGAGACCACTGGATCACACTGTAAGGCAAGAAAGCCAGAGACAGAACAGAGGCACTACTGCTGCGTTTTGGGGACTGGCCTGGGACACCTGGGCCACACTGGGTCCCATGTGCCTGATGGGTCTCAAGTGACCTGGCTAGCACACTTCAGCTGGAATTCACAGGAGATGATGTTTTGTAAGATGATCCTGAGTCAGCCTCAGAAATAGCTATGGAAAAAGATGACTTTTCACCTTGATGTGAGTCTGATTGGAAAGAGCAAGGAACAATCATATCTGTTCTCTCTGCACTTCATCTATGGCCACCACTTTCCTGATGACCATCATGACCAGCCATTATGGAGGGTCCGTCTTCCCAGCCCCCTTACACTCCAGCCATTAGGTATCTCACTGTCTCATTTTAAATTGGAAGAAAGCAGGGCCCAGAGTGATGAGCTAAATTGCCCAATGTCCCACAGTGAGGAAGTTCAAGAACTAAACCAGGTGAGGCGCGGTGGCTCACACCTGTAAACACAGCACTTTGGGAGGCTGAGGCAGATGGATCACTTGAGCTCAGGAGTTCAAGACTAGCCTGGCCAACATGGTGAAACCCCATCTCTACTAAAATACAAAAATTATCCAGGTGTGGTGGCACATGCCTGTAATCCCAGCTACTCAGGAGGCTGAGGCAGGAGAATCACTTCAAGCTGGGAGGTGGAGGTTGCAGTGAGCGGAGATCATGCCACTGCACTCCAGCCTGAGCAACAGAGTGAGACTCTGTTTAAAAAAAAAAAAAAAAGGAACTAAACCAAAATGTATCTGCTTCCCAAACTCCCAGCCTTTTTCACCATGCTGGCACCATCTTCCATCTCCTGCCGGGGTCTTCTTCCAAAGCTGAGGGCGAGGGAGGGAAGGACTTTGCACAGAAGACCGCGCAAGGCACACAGGCCTGTTGTGAAAACTAACCCGGCTGGGAGCAAGGCCATCCTCATATAGCTGCTTGCCATTCACCTTGGATAGGATCTGCTTTGGTTCCACTTCCTCCCAAATGCTTTTCCACTAGAAAATTGAGAAATTGTATAATTGCAGTGAATAGAGATACAGAAAGGGCTACAGAAGCTTGGAGTTTCTATCTGAAGCCTTGTAAGATACTAATCATTTTCATCTGTCCTCCCAAATTAAAAGCAGCCAGACGACCGCTTCACATCAGGCTTTTCTACAAGGGAGCATAAGACATGGTCCCCACTGTAAAGGAGCTTAACCTCTAGTCACATAAATACACACAAAACTAACAATGCTGAGCTTTGCTGTACCAATTTAATACAACAAGAATGAGAAAAGAAAGATCCCAGCCTGGCGCGGTGGCTCACACCCATAATCCCAGCACTTAGGGAGGCCAAAGCAGAAGGATCACTTGAGGCCAGGAGTTCAGACCAGCTGGGCCAACATAGAAAAATCTCATCTTTAAAAATATATTTTATAAATAGCTGGGTGTAGCGGTGTGCACCTGTAATCCCAGCCATTCAGGAGGCTGAGGCAGGAGGATCACTTAAGCCCCAGAGTTAGAGGCTATAGTTTGCTATGATCATGCCCCTGCACTCCAGCCTGGGTGACAGAGCCAGAACTTGTCTCAAAAAAGAAGAAAGAAGGAAAGAAGAAAGGAAAGGAAAGGAAAGGAAGAAAAGAAGGAAGGAAGGAAGGAAGGAAGGAGAGAGAGAGAAAGAAAAAGTAAGAAGAAAGAGAAGGAAGGAAAGATAGAAAGATCCTTAAGGAGAAAGATTTTTTTTTTTTTTCAGATGGAGTCTCACCCTGTCACCCAGTAAGGAGAAAGAATATTTTACAAAACTTAGGGAATTTGAGCCAGATCTTGAAGGAAAATGTGTTTGGGCCAGAGAAGGAAAGGTGGTTCTGGCAGTGGCAACAGCATGGGCAAAGACTGGGTGGGAGGGATGAATGCCTTCTGCAGAGGGCAGTGAGGAGACAGACCACTCTGGGGACTGGGAGGCAGAGAACTGAATAGCCCCATAGTGAGCTGGAAAGCCAGAGGTCAGGGAAAGGGAGGCATCCGCTACCCCAGCCCCATCCATCCCAATTTCCAAAAGACAGAGGCACGTCCCTCTACCCACGCAAGACCCACAGACAGACGTATGCATGTGCGCCCCCTACTCTGTTTGCTCCTGTCAGAAACCAGCCTGCAAGATGATTGTGGATTCCAGAGGAGGGTGGGGAGGGCCAGGATAGCAGATTGCAGAGGCTCTAATTACATATCTTTGAGGTGGAAATTTAGTAAAACCACAGACTTGGAACAACATAAAAGTGCATAAAACAGCCTCATCCATTCATTATGCAAAGGAATTGCTCATTTATGGAGTTTGGATTACAGCAGAGAGCTTATAAAGCAGAAAAATGGTGCTTTATAGAATCCATAAGCAGCAACATGCTAGCTTCACAGAAGCACACCTGTTGGAGGCAGCCTAACCAAGGCAGCCAGTGGCACCCCTAACCAAGGGGTGGCCCCACAGTGCCACTGCCACCCCTACCTCCAGAAGTGATGAGAAAGGGCAAAGTTCAAGAGAAGCTTGGGGAGAGGACAACTGCCTGTCACAGTTCTGGGATCATAGGGAAAGGGGTCTGAAGAGCCATTTATGATGAGAAAAATTAACGTAAATATTGGGGTCATATTGGGGGCAAAGGACTTAGAAAACTATGATAAGGTCAAGCATGGTGGTTCCTGCCTATAATCCCAGCAGTTTGGGAGGCTAAGATGAGGGAATTGCTTGAGTCCAGGAGTTTAAGACATGCCTGGGCAACATAGCAAGACACCGTCTCTACAAAAAAATTAAAAGTTAGTCAGGCATCATGGTGCACACCTATAGTCCCAGCCACTCAGGAGGCTGAGGTGGGAGGATCGCTTGAGCCAGGAGATGGAGGCTGCAGTGAGTTGTGATTGTGACATGCACACCGGAGCCTGGGTAACAGAGGAAGACCCTATCTCAAAAAAAAAAAAAAAAAAGAAAAAAGAAAAGAAAAGAATAGAAAGAAAAAGAAAGAAAGAAATTATCTGAGACCAGCATCCCCTATTGAAGGTTGTGGGGGGAATCTGAATCTAATTTTGCCTTAATTTTCACATTTTATTACCTACTTTCCTTTTCCTTCATATTAAAATTTCTTTAGAGATGATTAAGTCCCTAAAAGAGCATTTCCCAAAGTGTGTCCTTATGAAACACTAGTTTACGAGGGGAAAACTGTTTGGTGGTCCAATACACTGAGGAAATTTCAAATTAAATATAACCTTCTCAGAATTTATAGTGAACATCATTAACATGGTACAGGCTCTGAGAGGTCTTGTGATAAAGAAACTTAAATTTGTTTAACTTGGTATTTCTAAAATTTAAGTAATAAAAAAGTCTAGGGTTTTGTTTTTATTTGAAAAACATCTACTATCATCCGGAGGAACAAGTGGTTTTCTCAAACAGGCTTTGTGAAATAATGATTTTTGTTTGGCTGTTTTTTCAGTTCCTGTCTCTGGAAGTAAATTTTGGAAACCCTCCAGTCATCCAAGACCTATTGCTTGATCCTTTTGTTTTCGTCCAGCATGTGGAGTTCTGTCCTAATCGCTTATATAGGGTTGTATTATTTACTCATAAGGAGACTTCATTACCAGGTTTCTAGGTGGAACCAGGGGACTCTGCAAACGCAGGCTTTCTGGGACTTGGAAAGTCATGTCCTGGTGCCCAGAGGGGGAAATGAATCAAGGTGCTCTGGTCAGTGGCACTCAGCCATACCTGGGTACCAAAGGGAAGACGCATGCGAGTGCCATGTTAAAAACAACAGTAGGGCTGGGCGGGATGGCTCACGCCTGTAATCCCAGCACTTTGGGAGGTCAAGGCCAGTGAATCACAAGTTGAGGAGATTGAGACCATCCTGGTTAACACGGTGAAATCCCATCTCTACTAAAAATACAAAAAATTAGCCGAGTATGGTGGCACAAGCCTGTAATCCCAGCTACCCAGGAGGCTGAGGCAGGAGAATCGCTTGAACCCGGGAGGCGGAGGCTGCAGTGAGCTGAGATTGAGCCACTACACACCAGCCTGGGTGACAGTGCGAGACTCCATCTCAAAAAAAAAAAAAAAACTAATGGTAAACCTGAAGACAGCCCCAAAGTCCATCAACAGACAACTGTATAAACTAACTGTGGTATATCCATACAATGGAATGCCACTTCTAAACTAAAACAGAATAAACTGTCAGTATAGCCACCACCAGGAATAAATTTCAAAATGACTATGCTGAGTAAAATACTCCAGACAACAGCAACAAAAAAGAATATAGATCATATGATTCATGTATATAAAACTCTGAGAATTGCAAACTAGACCAGGTACAGTGGCACACTGGGAGGCCCAGAAGGGAGGATCATTTGAGCTCAGGAGTTTAAGACCAGCCTACGCAACATAATGAGACCTCATTCAAAAGAGGTGTCTTGCTTTTGAGATGGTGTCTTGCTCTGTCGCCCAGGCTGGAGTGGAGTGGCACAATTTTGGCTCACTGCAACCTCCGCCTCCCGGGTTCAAGCAATTCTCGTGCCTCAGCCTCCTGGGTAGCTGGGATTACAGGCGTCTGCCACTACACCTGGCTAATTTTTGTATTTTTTTAGTAGAGACGGGGTTTCACCATGTCGGCCAAGCTGGTCTCGAGCTCCCGACCCCAAATGATCCCCCCGCCTTAACCTCCCAAAGTACTGGGATTACAGGTGTGACCCACCGCACCCAGCCAAAAAATTTGTTTTAATTAGCCAGGGGTGGTGGTGCGGACCTGTATTTCCAGCTACTAGAGGCTGAAGTGGCAGGGTTGCTCGAACCCAGGAGGTCGAGGCTGCTGTGAGCCGTGATCATGCTACTGCACTCCAGCCTGGGTGACAAAGTGAGACCCTGTCTCGACTAAAAACTAAAAATAAGAAAGCAAACTAAAGTAATCTGAAGTGACAGAAAGCACATCAGTGGTTGCCTGGGGATGGGATTATAGGGAGAGAAAGATTCTAAAGGGACACTAGGAAGTCTTTGGGGGTGGACGATGAAACTGTCTGGCATCTCACTTGTGATAGTTTTATAGTTGTATACATAAGTCAAAACTCAGTAGATGGTCCTTTAATGTTGTACTACCATTACATGGCATATTATGGGTACCATTTATTATCTATAAGCAATATCTCAAAAAAATGCCAAAAAATAAAATTGGAAATTTTTCTCTGAAAAAGAACGATGGGAAATTGTGCCTGGCTTCCCTCTCATTAATGATTTCTAAATCATCAGGCTTTGTAAGCAAATGAGTGAATGTGCTCAACTCCTTGATGGGCTCCATTTCTAGACATTGTCTTCTGTATCCTTTTCTCAACCACGTAGGCAGAGATAACTATTCATCTTTGTTTATTTTCTCATCAAAGGAAAGGACTTGAAAGAATTTCATCTGATTCCTAGAAATTGTAAGGATGCAGAAGAAAGAAGCTTTCCATTATTCCTTGGCTTTTCTTGGATCATGAAGTTCTGCCAAAGTTTGTGTGGTCTAGGAGACTAACAAAGCTGGATCTCTCTGTCCAAGCCTGGGCTCATCCTCACTGGCTGTATGTCCTTGACTTGGTCATTTCCTCTCTCTATGTCTTTGGAGAATCAGACACTTCAGAGATGTAATCATTTGTGGGGTTTTGTTTTGTTTGAGACTGGATCTGGCTATGTGGCCCAGCAGGCTGGTCTCAAATTCCTGGCCTCAAACAGTTCTCCTGCCTCAATCTCCTGAATAGCTGGGATTGCAGGTGTGAGCCACTGCACCTGGCTGTAAAAGATTTAAAGGATTAAAAGAACAGCTTTCTTTCTTTTCTTTCTTTTTGAGATGGAGTTTCACTCTTGTTGCCCAGGCTGGAGGGCAATGGCTCGATCTCGACTCACTGCAAACTCCGCCTCCTGGGTTCAAGCGATTCTCCTGCCTCAGCCTCCTGAGTAGCTGGGATTAGGCATGTGTCACCACGCCCGGCTAATTTTGTATTTTTAGTAAAGACAGGGTTTCACCATGTTGGCCAGGCTGGTCTTGAACTCCTGACCTCAGATGATCCGCCCACCTTAGCTTCCCAAAGTGCTGGGATTACAGGCATGAGCCAATGCGCCTGGCCAAGAGAACAGCTCTCTTTGAGAAAACTGAGGCAAGAAATGAGTTTCTTCATTCCTAAAATGAAAAGGTGGGCAAGTTCCTTCTTATTCTGACCTTTTATGATTCTTCAAATTTTTCTGTGCTGGTGAGAATGGCAAGTGAGCGCTCTAAATGAATACATACGAGTTTGAGAGAAGAGGAAAGATGGAGACAAAAAAGGGAGAATTGGCTATATTGAATGCTAAGAGCCTGGTTTTCTGTTGTTTTGTTTTTGTTTTTTGAGGCAGGCTCTTGCTCTGTCGCCCAAGCTGGAGTGCAGTAACGCAATCTTGCTCACTGCAACCTCCACCTCCCTGGTTCAAACAATTCTCCCACCTCAGCCTCCTCAGTAGCTGGGACTGCAGACATGCTCCACCATGACCAGCTAATTTTTGCTGCTTTTGGTAGAGACGGGGTTTCACCATGTTGGCCAGGCTGGTCTTGAACTCCTGACCTCAGGTGATCCGCCCACCTCAGCTTCCCAAAGTGCTGGGATTACAGGCGTGAGCCACCGCTGCTGGCTGAGTCTGGTCTTTGAAGTTAGTCAGCTTCATCACTGGATGAATCTCTGGCAAGTCCTCTGACTGAGCTAATTCACAGCTCTGAGTCTCATCTGCAAGCTGGGGTTCTTGGTAACTACCATAGTTACTCTCAGGAGTAAAGTTTTTTATTTGTAAAAATCTCCAGCACAGTGTCCAGCCTACAGAAGGTCCTGCCTTCTATACCCGCTTCTAGACCATATGGGCAGAGATAACTATTCATCTTTGTTTATTTTCTCATCGAAGGAAAGAACTTGAAAGAATCTCATCTGAAATTCAAAACATTAGTTCCTTCCTCTCCTTCCAGAGACAAATTGCTTATTAAACATTTTGCCCTATAAGTTCACTGACAAATACAGGGCGAAAGAACCCCAAATCCTCAGACCTGATTCCTCGGCAAAACCTAAGCCCTCTCCAAATGACAAGGCGCCCAGACCTCGATTGTTGCTTAACTGACCCACTTATCACCTCAGTCACTTATGACCGAGCCTCGGTGACCCACTGCCTCTGAGTGGCCTCACAAAGGAAGCAGGCCCTTCTCCCTCAGCCCTGAGGCTCTTCATTCCCTCCCACCTTTCCAGACTCAGGAAGTGCTGCTTCTGCCACTTCAACCTCTGTTTCCAACACCCCACCTCCTCTTCCACCTGACTTCCTTTCCTTCCTGTCCCTCTTTGCTTTTTAGGGGACAGGCAGGTCTAAAGCACCTTCAGAGATCAAGGTAGTGAAAGTAGGTGGATAATGTCAAATGAGGAGACAGGGCTTTCTGTGTCCCAGTAAGTTAAGAATAGCAGAGCTGGAAGACTTCTTAGGGTCTATATTAGTTTCCTGTGCCTGCCATACTAAAAACTGGGTGACTTAAAATAACAAGAATGTATTCTCTAACTGTTCTGGAGGCCAGCAGTCCAAAATCAAGGTATCAGGAGGGACTTGTTCCATCTGAAAGCTCTAGGAGACCATACCTTCTTGCCTCTTCCAGCTTCTGGTGGATGAGAGTCTTTGGTGTCCGTTGGCTATAGACCCATCACTCCAGTCTCTGCCTCTGTCATCACATGGCATTCTCCCTGTGGGTCTTTCTGTCTCTGAATTTCCGTGTGTCCTTTTCTTTTAAAGACACCAGTCACAGTGGATTATGACTCACTCCAATCCAATATGAACCCATCTTCACCCGATTACATCTGCAAGGACCCTATTTCCAAATACGAACACATTCTGAGGTTCTGGATGGACATGTATTTTGCCAGGACACCCTTTAACCCTTTACCCAGTGCAGACTCCTCCATGTTTAATTCACCTGAGGACAGTAAGCCCTATAGGTTAAGCTACTTAGCCGGGCATGGTGGCTCACACCTGTAATCCCAGCACTTTGGGAGGCCGGGGTGGGTGGATCGTTTGAAGTCAGTAGTTCGAGACCAGCCTGACCAACATGGCGAAACCTTGTCTCTACTGAAAATACAAAATTAGCTGGGCGTGGTGGCGTATGCCTGTAATCCCAGCTGGGGCAGGAGAATCACTTGAACCCAGGAGGCAGAGGTTGCAGTGAGCTGAGATCTCATCACTGCACTCCAGCCTGGGTGAGACATGGCGAGACTCAGTCTCAAAAAAAAAAAAAAAAAAAAAAGATTGAGTGACTTGGCCTTTATGTGCCCAATGAATGGCAGAGCTAACACTAGAGTTCAGGCTTTTCGCTCCCATATCCAAGGTGATTTTTAGAGCACCAATCAGTTTCTAAAGAGCACAAATTTGACAATAAACTCAGGGTTGGGGCAAAGCGATGATTTTTGTTTGGGAAGCTTCCTGTGCTGAACTAGGCTTATAATGGTATTAGCTACTGTTTACCAGGCTTTACAGGCATAATCTCTAATCTCCACAACAATTGTCACACCCAGAGAGCTTCCTACGGGGCAGCCATACTGCCTAGCACTTAAATGTATACAGTAGTCTCCCCTTATCTTCGGTTCCTTTTTTTTTTTTTTTTTTTTTTTTTTTGAGACAGAGTCTCACACTGTCTCCCAGGCTGGAGAGCAGTGGCGCGATCTTGGCTCACTGCAAGCTTCGGCTCCTGGATTCACGCCATTCTCCTGCCTCAGCCTCCTGAGTAGCTGGGACTACAGGCGCCCGCCACCACGCCCGGCTAATTTTTTTGTATTTTTAGTAGAGACAGGGTTTCACCATGTTAGCCAGGATGGTCTCGATCTCCTGACATCGTGATCCACCCACCTCGGCCTCCAAAAGTGCTGGGATTACAGGCATGAGCCACTGCACCCGACCTTCAGTTCCATTTTTTCCATTTCGGTTACTGCAAAAAAACATTTTGTTTTCCATGGTTTCAATGTAGTCAATCACTGTCTGAAAATACCAAGATATTTTGAGAGAGAGAATACATTCACATAACTTTTATTACCTTATATTATTATAAATTTTTTCTTATCAGTTGTTAATCTCTTACTGTGCCTAATTTATAAATTAAACTTTATTATAGCTACATATGTATAGGAAAAAAACATAGTGTATATAGGGTTCTATACTATTCAAGGTCTCAGGCATTCAATGGGGGTCTTGGAACATGCCCCCAAAGATAAAGGGCCACCTACTGTATTAACTTATTTAGTCCTCTGAATAAGCCAAGTTATGTCTGAACCCAAAGGGTGTGACCTTCCTCCAGCACCAACCTGCCTTAAATGAGAACTTAGAGTGAAAACGGCGCTTTAGGCAAACCCTCCCTGACTCCCTCTAACTGCCTATGAATAATTTAAAGCTAGGAGAACTTTGAAAATGTCCACCTAGGCCAAGAATGGGATAACCACAAAAGACAGTTGTCTATCCAGAAGCCAGCTGGCAGCCAATCAGCTGGGAACCTCCCTAAGCCAAATCTTTAGATGTGCCTACAGATTGAGACAAGGCATGGGCCATTAAGCCCATTCCAGCTGATTGCTGTGGTTTCTGGCCAGGGATGGCCAACAGATGTGCACCAGCAGCCTCCACGGGTCCGTGTACAGATATTGGGCAAATTTCCCCAGCATGATGCAACTCTGAGACAAGGAGGGACCCAGAGAGAGAGAGAGCAGCTCCAGCTACTCGTGTGAACAGCTCAGATTTTTAAGGCCTGCTGGTTGGAACCCCGCGGCACTGGCTCACCACTCATTACATGCTGGGGAACTGTGGGCAGTAATTAAGGATTACCCAATGGCATCAATTAGTGCCAACAAGAGGGCTCAGTTGGACGTGTTGACTCTCCAAGAGGGGATACAGAGGAGGGGAAGGCCATCTCTTACTGGGCATTTGCAGAGAAGAAACACTTGGGGAGGTCACAGGGAACAAAAAAAAAGCAGTGGAATGTCCTTTGCCTCTGCCACTCCCTTTGTAATGGTAGTTCTTATTTGAGACAAGGCACACGTGAGCAATTTGGAATCTGGACAGGATTTATTTTGAGGACACACCCTGTGTTTCTGGACCAGATTTTTTTTTTTAAACAGGGTCTTGCTCTGTCACCCAGGCTGGAGTGCAGCGCTGCTATCATAGCTCACTGTAGCCTGGGACTCCTGGACTCAAGCCATCCTCCTGCTTCAGATTCCCAAGTAGCTGGGACTATAGGTACGTGCCACCACTAATTTTTTTCAACAATTTTTATAGAGACAGGATCTCACTATGTTGCCCAGGCTGGTCTTGAACCCCTGGCATCAGGTGATACTCCTGCCTCAGTCTTCCCAAGTGCTGGGATTACAGGTGTGAGCCACCACACCCAGACTGGACCAGATTTTTAGAGGAGTCTGAACTCAGTGCCACTCTTGGCTGCTTTGCTCATTAAGAAAATGGATGTGCCCCTTTTCATTTGTAAGGATACTTAGGAAGTGGCAAAGAGCACCAACTCAGAGCCTTGAGACCTGTGGCCCCACGACAGCTCCATCATGGCCTTGCTACATGACTTTGGATAAACCAACAACCCAACCATGGAAACTGGAAAAGTCATCAAAAACTCCGACAGTGAATGACAGTCTTGGACCATTAAGTTTTTTGCAAATCTGGTCAAAGCAATGTATCCAAGGTCTCCCAGGAAAATGCCCATAGAAGCAATAATGTTCGCAGATGACCTCAGAAGCTTTTTGTGGCCCTCTACCAAGGCCACAGAAGCCAAGATTGAAAGCGCCTGCCCACAGGAGCCTGACAGCAGCTGCCCAGGGCTCAGCTAACACACCTTGAGAAAAAACATCTTAATGTCACCAAGACCATTATCAGCAGATTGAAAGTGAGAAAATGTGTTATTTGTTATATATATCATCATCATCATAAAACTAATACTGCACATAGTGTAAATATTTTTCACACAGTGTTTGAGGGTAATCTGCTCCCTCATCGCTGGCAGCACTTTCCTGATCATGTTCTAAACTGTAGCTTTTTCCTCCATATGTTCCCTTCTTCTTCCGTCTTTCAGAAATTCACCAGAATCTCTGGGCACAGAGGGCCACCCCTGCTGTTCTCAGCACAGTTACGAGTTGATTTCCTTTTTATATCTTTGCTGTCATGTCAGTGGGATTTAGGAGGCAAGGGAGGCAAACATGCAAACTCAGGCTTGAGCCAGAAGTTGCTAATTTCTTTTAGATTATGTAAAGGACTTGTCTTCTCCATCCCAGAAGGCTCGGATGGGAGGCACTGCCTAGGCTTGCTTTTGTAGGTCCATGTCTGACCATCTACCTCATTGCCCATCAGCAGCCCCTGAGCGCCAGCATCCATGCAAGGCACTATCCCAGCCATTGTGGCCCGGCGAAGAAGTAGGAGCAGGACTGGTCTCAGTTGATGCAGCTTCAGCAAGAATGTCATGACTCACAGGGTACCATTCCCAGAAATCTGCATGTCCCTCCTGTGGCCAGGGGACTGGTGCACTCACCTGAGAGGCTGCACTGTCTCTGTTCTTTGGATAGGTGTAAGCGCTCATTTTATGTTCAGGTATGTGGGTTTGGACCCAAGAGGCAGCACAGCACAGAGGTCAAGAAAGTAGACTCCAGGACACTTACCAGCTGTGTGACTTCGAACAAATTCCCTCAGCTTTCTGTGCCTCAGGGTCACCAACTGTAAAACAGAGACAATAATACTCACGTATGGTTGCATATGATATGTGTAGAACATTGGCTAGTAAGCACAATAAGTGCTCAATAAATGAGAGTTATTTGAGAATGGGGATAACGGGGTGTTACAGACTTAACGCTTGTGTCCCCCTAGAATTCATATGTTGAAGCTCTTAACCCCCAGTGTGATGGTATTTGGAGGTGGGACTTTGGGAAGTAATTAGGTTTAGTTGAAGCCATTGGGGTGGGGCTGCCATAATAGGATTAGTCCCCTTGTAAGAAGAGGAAGAGAGACCAAAGCTCACTTTCTCTCCATCACGCAAGGACACAGTAAGAAGGCAGCTATCTGCAAGCCAGGAAGAACCAAATCTGTGGGCATCTTGATCTTGGACTTCCCAGTCTTTAGAACTGTGAGCAATAAACGTCTGTTGTTTAAGCCACCTAATCTGTGGTATTTTGTTATAGCAGCCCACATTGACGATATAAGGTGGGGTATATTAGTCAGAGTTCTCGACAGAAACAGAACCAACAGGATATGTGTATTACATGTTTAGAGAGAGAGAGATTTATTTTAAGGAATTGGCTCCCATAATTGTGTTGGCTGGAAAGTCTGAATTTTGCAGAGCAGGCTGGCAGGCTGGAGACCCAGGGAAGAGTTAAGGTTGCAGGTCAATTCCAAAAGCGGTCTCCAGGAGGAATTCTCTCTTTCTTGGGAGACCTCAGTCTGTTTTACCTTAAGGCTTTCAACTGATCTGATGAGGCCCACCACCCTGTGGACAGTAATCTGTTTTACTCAAAGTCTGCTGTTTTAAATGTTAATGTCATCTAAAAATTACACTCACAGAAGCATCTAGTCTGTTGTTTCACCAATTATCTAGGGACCATGGCATAGCTAAGTTGAGACCTAAGATCAGCCATCACAGCGGGTGACCAAAGGTTCACAGGGCATATCGGGTATACCTCCATGGCAGGCTTGACCTCATTTTAACTTAATTACCTACTTAAAGGCCCAATCTCCAAATACAGTCACATTCTGAGATACTAGGGATTTGAACATTTAGATTTGGAAGAGACACAATTCAGCCCCAAACAGGGACCCGTTGGTCTCAAGGGTCTTTCCATATACTTAAAGTGCCACAGGAGCCAGCACTGTCTCTGGAGCCAGGGCCCCTGTGTCTAGGTCTGCCAAAGGTAACTGAAGAGGGCTGCACAGGCCTGTGTCATTAGCACACACAGAACAGCACAGATTGTCGAAGCCAGATGGCAGACACCTGCTCTGAGGGCAAGTGCAGACCTGGAGCAAGTGTGTCCTGGATGGCATCCAGCAGGCTTCCCTGAAGGCCCATCCCATCCTAATCATTATGCTTTCCACTTGGAGCTTCGCCTGCACTTTCTTCTTTGGTTCTTATGGCCACCCGTGGAGAAGGCTGGAGGAGGATCACCATGCCCATTTCACAGAGGCCTGATGAAAGCTAGAGGCAACACAACAAATGAGGATGGAGTCTGGACTAGAACTTAGCTTTTTTGACCCCTGCTTCAGGGCACTTTTCCACTACACCAAGCTTTCCTCAAAGCCCACACACTGGGTCACACTGTGGTGTCCCCTTTGGCAAGACGACCAAAGGAATAAAGAAGTAGGATATTATGATCTCAAGAAGTCAGCTTAGCCATCTGAGCCTTGGTTTGTTGATATGCAAAATGCAAGGAGGCCAGAGGTTTCTAAATGATGGAAACCTCATCTCTTCCCTCCTAATATATCCCTGACCCAGCCTGTCATGTAGAAAGCATTCAGCAAATGCTTGTTGGACTGAATGGGTAATACAGGGCTGCATTAGTCTGCTTGGGATGCCATAAAAAAGCATTTGACTGGGTGCCTTCAACAACAGAATGGACGCTCTCACAATTCTGGAGGCTGGAAGTCCAAGATTGAGGTGTTAGCAGGATTGGTTTCTTCTGAGGTCTCTCCCTCCTTGGCTTATAGATGGCCGTCTTCTCCCTTTGCCTTCCCATAGTCTTCCCTCTGGTGTGTATCCTTACCCTAATCTCCGCTTCTTAGAAGGGCATCAGGCATCTTGAATTAGGGCCTGCCCTGCTGATCACATTTTAACTTAATTACCTACTTAAAGGTCCAGTATCCAAATACAGTCACATTCTGAGGTACTAGGAATTAAAACACATAGATTTGAAAGGGACACAATTCAACCCCAAACAGGGACCCACTGGTATCAAGGATCTTTCCAGCTCTGACATTTGATTTCTCTGATGGTGAATAAGGAAATTTGGCTAGGCCTTTCTCCCTGCAATGAACAGTTCCTGGTGAGAATGAGCCGACTGGAGCACTGCAGATACAGATTGGTGTCAGTCTCCAGACATGGCTGGATTGGGCCTGGATGGTGTGACTGGGTAGAGCATCCATGCAGTGGAACAATCCTCAGTGATAGCTTTGGTTTTGTGTCCCCACCCAAATCTCATGTTAAATTGCAATCCCCAATGTTGGAGGAGGGGCCTGATAGGAGGTGACTAGGTCATGGGGGTGGATTTCTCCCTTGCTGTTCTCATTATAGTGAGTTCTCATGAGATCTGGTTGTTTAAAAGTGAGTAGCACCTCCCCCTTCTCTCTCTCTTCCTCCTTCTCTGGCCATGTAAAAGGTGCCTGCTTCACCTTCACCTTCCACCACGATTGTAAGTTTCCTGAGGCCTTCCCAGCCATGTGGATCTGTGAGTCAATTAAACCTCTTTTCTTTATAAATTACCCAGTCCCAGGTAGTTCTTTATACCAATGCAAGAATAGACTAATACACTCAGCAATCACAAGGAATGAACTACGCATGCACACCACAATTTGGATGGATCTCAAAGGGATGTGCTGTTCTTTGCCAGTAGCAATCACAGTAAGGATGATACAGACACAAATTTAACGGACATGAAATTTTTTACCAATTAAATGGATACATTGTTTACTTTCACTTTTTATTATAAATAGAAAATTGTTTTCTAAAACTAAAATATTTGAACTATCAAAGTAATATACTGAGTGAGGGAAGCTGACCAAAAAAAACCTACATACCCTATAATTCTATTTCTTTTTTTGTTTTGCTTTGTTTTTGTTTGTTTCTTTGTTTGTTTTTAGAGATAGGGTCTTACTCTGTCATCCAGGCTGGACTGCAATGGCACAATCATAGCTCACTGCAGCCTTAAATTCCTAGGCTCCAGCAATCCTCCTGCCTCAGCCTCCCAAGTAGCTAGGACTATAGGTGTGCACCACCATGCCCAGTTAATGTTTTATTTATTTTTGTAGAGATCAGGTCTCTCTATGTTGCCCAAGCTGGTCTTGAATTCCTAGCCTCAAGGAATCCTTCCACCTTGGCCTCCCAAAGTGCTGGGATTACAGGCATGAATCACCATGCCAGGCATGTATGATTTCCTATATGTACATCCTAGAAACTGCCAACCAATCTAGAGAGACAGAAAGCAGGTGGGTGGTCACCTGGGGAGGAGGATGTAGGAGGGATGGGCAGAGGGTCACCAAACTGAATGACGAAGCTTTGGCGGTGATGGACATGGTCACAGTTGTGATTGTGGTGATGGTTTCACAGGTGTATGCATGTGTCAAAACATATGGAGGAACACACTTTAAACATGTTAATTACACCTAAATATGTTAATTACACCTGACACTTTTCAAAAGAAGACATTTATGCAGCCAACAAACATATGGGAAAAAAAGCTCATCATCATCACTGGTTTTCAGAGAAATGCAAATCAAAACCACAATGAGATACCATCACGCCAGTTAGAATGGTGATCATTAAAAAGTCAGGAAACAACAGATGCCGGAGAGAATGGGGAGAAATAGGAACGTTTTCACACTGTTGGTGGGAATGTAAATTAATTCAACCATTGTGGAAGACAGTGTGGTGATTCCTCAAGGATCTAGAACCAGAAATACCATCTGATCTCACAATCCCATTACTGGGTATATACCCAAAGAATTATAAATCATTCTACTATAAAGACACATGCACACGTATGTTTATTGCAGCAGTATTCACAATAGCAAAGACTTAGAACCAACCCAAATGCCCATCAATAACAGACTGGATAAAGAAAATGTGGCACATATACACCATGGAATACTATGCAGCCGTAAAGAATGAGTTCATGTCCTTTGCAGGGACAAGAATGAGTTCATGTCCTTTGCAGGGACATGGACGAAGCTGGAAACCATCATTCTCAGCAAACTAACACAGGAACAGAAAACCAAACACCGCATGTTCTCACTCATAAGTGGGAGTTGTACAATGAGAACATATGAGCGCAGGGAGGGGAACATCATACACTGCGGCCTGTCAGGCAATGGGTGGCAAGGGGTGGGATAGCATTAGGAGAAATACCAAATGTAGATGACAGGTTGATGGGTGCAGCAAACCACCATGGCACACGTATACCTATTTAACAAACCTGCATGTTCTGCACATGTATCCCAGAATTCAAGTATAATTAAAAAAAAAAAGAAATGAAAATCATCACACACACACACACACACACACACACACACACACACACACAAAAGAACGTCTGGAGGAAGGGCAATTAATTTATCAGGTGACAAGTCTTACAACTCAAGGCCTGCTGAGAGGAATGCCAGACAGATAAGAAACAATTTGCCAGGAGATCACTGAGAGGTTCCTGACACCCAGGAGGCCCAGGTGCCTGAGGAGGGGCAGCAAGCAGGCAGAGTAGATGAAGTCTACACACAGAGCACCTGTGACCCATGTTCCTCCCTGCCCCATCCGCAGGGGTGCCTGCTCCTCCAAGATTAGACTAAGGACAAAATAACCCAGCCTGAAGTCCCCAGGGACTGGACTCAGGTGTCTGGACTGAGGAAAATCCCTCTGGTACCCACTGTCCTTTCCTCTATGACACTCAACCAGCTGAGTACGGCCCCTAAACCAGCTCATCCGCTTCAAATATGGGCTCCAGCTATGACCAAAAGAAAGTGTCTTAACATGCGTGCTGTGAGTCCTCCGCAAAGTAGGGACAGTAATACGAATAGCTCCTGGCTACAGGACTTCAGTGACATCCACTTAGAGCACTGCCTGGCACCTTGGAAGGATCTGTAGCTGCTGGCACTTCCATCTTAAGAGATCTATACAGAGGAGACGACTTTTACATTTGTTTTTCTTTTCATTCCTGTTGAACTGCATGTTCTCTGGTAGGTCTTCGGACCATGGGGTTTCTTTGTGTCTGTCCTCAGGATATACTCCCAGCTTCTGAATTTAAATCTATGTTCCATGCAGTCTCCTGAATTCCATGGAAATGCCATCTCAACGAACTGGTCACAAATCTTCCAGGAAACTGAATTTCTCTCTTCCCTTCACTCCCCTTACCACTATCCCTGCCAACATGTTCTTCCCATGAACATCGCTCCAACCCACAGCTCCAGCACCATATCCCACTGAGGGTAGGATTCCCATCCCCAGGCCCCTGTGGAGAGGGCAGGGCAGCTGGCTCTGCTGGGTGCACTTCTCAGTTTCTTTTCATCAGCATATCTGATGTCCAATTGTATTTTGAGTACTTCACTTTCATGCAGTTAATTATTTAGTTTTAACCTACAAGATTTGCAGGAAGATCTTTGTTTTCATGAAACCAACTATCATCTGCAAATTAAAAACAGTTGCTGTCAAGTACTCAGATCTGAATGTGTGTGCAGGATGTTACCTGTTACATTCAACAGGGTGTGATGGTTGGTCAAGAGGGTTAGCGATTGCCTTTCACGAAACTGTAAACACCACCCCCTCTGTCTAGCAAATGGCCCAGCTCTAGCTTGTGTGGCCAGTGGGTGGGGACAGGAGAGAGGAAAAGGAAAAGGAGGAGGTGATGCCCCGTGATGGGTCCCCAGCAAACTTTTCCCTCGGCCCTCACCCCACCCCATCCCAAAGCTCTTCCTCATGATGACACAGGATTATTTATTTTGGGAAAATGTGACAGGGAGGGGCTGAACGGTGTGAGGTGGGTAAGATGCTTGCATCGTACTGCCTGGGTTTGAATCCTGGTTCTGCTCCACAGTAGCGACTGACCTTCAGTAAGACACTTATTGACTTCCCTGGGCGTCAGTTTTCTCATCTGTAAAATGGTGCCATGAATAGTACCTGTCTCATAAAATTGTTATAAAGTGTATGTGGGATAAATTATCTAGTCCAAAATTTTAAATTTAGGGACCAGTTGGAGAGTCTAAGCAGACAAAGAGAGAGAGAGATCACTTACCCAAGGGCAAAGGGCTAATTGTAGCTTGGGGACTAAATCCAAATCTCCAGGCTCCCAGTTCAAAACACGTCCCCCCACCAGAGCATGAATGGTCCTAAGCACACTCTATTAAAATGCAAATGTTCCCCAGGAGGTTTAACTCCAAGTTATTAGCACCTTAATGTGAGGGATGTGAATTGGGTTAACATGCTTCTTTTTTCTTTTAATTGAACTCGATCTGGTTCAAAAGGAGTACAGAAGGGGAGTGGGAGGGGGGAAATTGAGCCCATGATTTTGGCAGGGCTCTAATACTGCATCTTGCATCAGGAAAAAAGCATCCCTTTGCCCACTATCAGGGAACAAGGTGGAGATTCAGGCTCCAGGATCAGGCACACAATGAAAAGCACTGCTCCCAAATATTTGGCATCTGAGAAAGAAACTGGGATCCAAAACTGGAGTTTTAGGTGGGCCTGGGTGTTGCCCATGCAGAAGGAGAAGCCTGTGTGCCCAAGCAGAAGGAGACAGAGAGCACTCCAGAGTCCCCAGCAGCTGTCCTGGAAATGAGATGGCAAGGGCAAGACAAGGCGTGAATTCTCCACTCAATCACTCACTCACTCACTCATTCAGCCACATATCGTGATTGTCAGAGGCGTGTAAACCAGAGCAACTCCATCTTAAGTAGGGGCTGGGTAAAATGAGTCTGAGACCTACTGGGCTGCATTCCCAGACACTTAAGGCATTCTAAGTCCCAGGATGAGATAGGAGGTCAGCACAAGATGCAGGTCACAAAGACCTTGCTGATAAAACAGTTTGCAGTAAAGAAGCTGGTCAAATCCCACCAAAAACAAGATGGAGATGAGAGTGACCTCTGGTCATCCTCACTGCCACACCACCACCAGCACCACGACAGTTTACGAATGCCATGGCAACATCAGGAAGTTACCCTATATGCTTTAAAAGGGGGAGGCATGAATAATCCACCCCTTGTTTAGCATGTAATCAAGAAGTAACTACAAAAATGAGCAACCAGCAGCCCTCGGTGCTGCTCTCTCTATGGAGTAGCCATTCTTATATTCCTCCACTTTTTTAATAAACTTAATAAAAGGATCGGGACCCCTTTCCTGTAACAAAAGCATCTGCTCTATGCCAGAAACGAATGGCGGTCTCAGACCTCAGGGAATGGACGCTCTCACATTCCTTAAGCACCGGCAGTCTTGTGAGCTGCTAATGGTGGAAGTGATGTCTAATCCAAGCATTGAAGCCTCAACCCAACAACCAAGATGTAGCCCAAAAAATCCAGTGGCAATCCTGTGGTCCCCTCCTTCAAGGAAGGTGAGGCTACAGTTAAGTCGCTGAAGTTCCTCAGCTTCCCCACTACTTTGAGAGAAAATACAAATACTAGGTTGTTTTTTGTTTTTCTTCTTAATCTTCTAAGTTTAGACCTGCTTCTCTGAGATCCTTACGTAGGGAACAGTGGACTAGAGAAAATACAAGAAGGGAAATATCTTGTCAAAGAGGGGATGCCTTCTTTTCATTATTCAACTCATATTTGCAAGGACTAACTATGACTTTAAAATAATATCTCATTTGATCCTCACGAATTCTATGAAGGATAAAGATTACAAAAGGTGTGTTTGTTACCCAAGGCCTACATAAGGGGCAGAACGGGGAATTGAAGCCAGCTTAAGCTGATCCCAAAGCACAGGCTCTTCCTGTGTGTGGCTTCACACTGCCTCTCCATGGCGCCCCTCAGTCCCCTATGCATTTGTTCCTTCACCTCCTCGCTACTCAAATGCATTCTCTACACAATTTGCCCTGCCCTACAGTAGTGGTCCCCAATCATCTTGTAGAGTTAACAAATCACCCAGCATCCCTACCAAATCATCTCTGTTTAAGAAAAAATTCCTCAAACCAGCCAAGCGCGGTGGCTCACGCCTGTAATCCCAGCACTTTGGGAAGCCGAGGCGGGCGGATCACCTAAGGTAGGGAGTTTGAGACCAGCCTGACCAACATGGAGAAACCCGGTCTCTACTCAAAATACAAAATTAGATGGAGGTGGTGGCGCATGCCTGTAATCCCAGTTACTCGGGAGGCTGAGGCAGGAGAGTCGCTTGAACCTGGGAGGCGGAGATTGCAATGAGCCGAGATCGTGCCATTGCACTCCAGCCTGGGCAACAAGAGTGAAACTCCGTCAAAAAAAAAAAAAAAAAAAAGAAAAGAAAATTCCTAAAACCAAAAGTCACCACGAACTCTGTGATGCTTTACAATTAATTCACATTTTAATAATCACAACAGTATCCATGCACATTTGAGAAATAGCCTCATGGGGAATCATGATATATTCACCCTGTCTAAAATGCTTCCTGTGCCCAGGCATTAGAAAATTCCCTAGAAATAATTCACCACGAAGTCCCCAGAGGTTGGAACTGGCTAAAGATTCTTTCCATCCCATAATCTGTCTACCTACTGGACCAGGGAGATCGGGTAGTTGGAAAGTAGTGTGCATCTTTCTTCTTTCTTGTGTATTCCCAGCTAGCATCCCCCCTCCAGCATGGTCAGTGCTGCCCTACCCTCTCCTGGCCTGGGGGAGCTCATAGAAGGCCCAAATTTGTTCTGACCGTATCTTCTTTTGGTAACAGTAAACAACTCAACAGCAAAAACATTTTATAGTACCTGACAGTCTACACTGCAGATTTACCAATATTTATTCATTTCATGCTCAAATAGACCGCATGGAAGTGGGTGGTAAGCCCGCCATTTTTGTCAACAAACAGGCTGGGTGAGGCTGAAGCAGCTCGCCTAAGGTTGCTCAGCTAGTGAGTGGGAGAACAAGATCTCAAACCCCAGGTGTGAGTGTGACTCCTTCTCTTTCTACACCCTCTAGCTTCCTCTCCCCAGCCACTCCCTCTCGCCCTCTCGCGCTCTCGCGCTCTCGCCCTCTGGCCCTCTGGCCCTCTCTCCCTCTCGCCCTCTCGCCCTCTCCCTCTCTCCCTTTCTCCCTTCAATTCCCTCGTAGCTGTGGCCATGGGAGCTTCCATGCTGTCCCGGAATAGGCACCCTGCTTGGGAGCACAGGCAGAGCTGCTTACCTTCACGGCTCACACGTGGCTTCACTCTCCAGCCCTTTTGATGTCTGAGGCTCCACGCCAGCGTAAAACGACAATCCTATTGGATTGATGGGGGCTGTTCCGCTCTTCATTCCTGCCCCAAGCACCTTTGGGAGGCACAGAACTGCCTTTGTGTGGTGGGAATGACTGCCTCAGAGAGCAAAGCCTGCTGGGACGAGAGCAGCTGCCAAGCTCGCTCTGGCCAGTTAAGCCTGAGCCGTGGCTCTCAGAACTTTTGCTCTGCAGTGCTCCCGGCCGAAGCCTTGGACCGCAGCACACAGAGGCTGGGAAGTGCTGACTTCATTCTCTCTGAGCCATTGTCTTCCCCTTCGGGGCTCCCCTTCCAAATGCCCCCCCTCACTCATAGCTGAAATGCCACCTGTGGTGTCCAGGGGCTCAGCATCCCGGGGCAGCGTAGACACTTTAAGAATGTACTGATGCATAAAGTCCCATCTCTGCAGCAAAGACTCCCCAAGAATGCTCCAACTCTCATCACAGTCTTCTCTAAACTCCCACTGTGGTTTGGCATCTCGTTTTTCTCTTCGTGTCTTTAAACAGGACTGTAAGTTCCTAGAGAGCAGAAATCATATCTTGTTTTTAAATTTCTTCACGGTCTCATGAAAGGCCAAGTGTATATATTTAATTGAGGGATCGGTTTGCATAAGGCCATTTTCCTATACACTCATTCACCCTAAACTCTCTGATGGGTTCTTCTATGTACAGGCAAAATGAAGCTGTAACTCCAGGGAGATGCCCCTGCCTCCCAGGACCCTTCCCCACCCCACAAAGATCTCAGCAGCAGAGATGGCTGCCGGGCTTTGACAATTATTCTGGGTGCCTTCCAAGCTCCCTAGGTTAATCACCAAACAAACAGCTGCCTAATAAAGAGGTGTCTGTCCTCTAGTACCCAAGATGACTGAGGTTAGGACAAAATTCACACCTTGAGGCCCAAAGCCTGTGGCCCATCTGGTCTTTCTCCCTCCCTCTTCTATACTGAATAGTTTCGGGCAGGAGGTGGCCAGCTGGGCAGAGACCTCTGGAGATCCCTCCCCCTAGACTCACTGGAGTGAGAACCCGTGCCCCCCCACAAATCAAGGGCTGACGAGGGCCATCTGTGCCTGAACTCTGAGAATTGAGCAGGCAGTGCCTCAGGCCTCCAGGGGCCTCCAAGCTGTAAGGAAATTCTGCCAAGCCCCCAGCTCCTCCCTGAGAGCCTCTGACACTAAATATAACCAGCAATTTCCCTGCCTTTCCCCACTGCCTGAACCAGATTTCCTACCACTCACCCTGAGGAAAGGCAATTGCATTAGTGAAGCAAAGAAACTTCTGGCTGCTGGTTCTACAGCTCCTAGAAGCAGGCAGGCAATATGGATGGGGACAGAGGAGAGATGTAAAGGAAAGGTAAGCAGCAGAAACCAGGAATTTATAGGTAAACCCACTGACCTCATAAGTCCATCTGTAAAATATGTGCAGAAAAACCAACTTTAGGGTCATTGTGAAGAATATAAGAGATAACATCTATTTTTAAAATACTGCCTTGATAACTGTTAGTTTAACCTGTCCTTTACAGTACACTTTAAATCTGAGGATTTGTTAAGAGTTCTCTATTTTCCTATAGACCCCAGATGTTGTTTTTTGTTTTTTTTTTTTTTTCTGAGACAGGGTCTCACTCTGTCACCCAGGCTGGAGTGCAGCGGCATGATCCCAGCTCACTGAAGCCTCCACCTCCCTGGGTTCAAGCTATCCTCCCACCTCAGCCTTCTGAGTAGCTGGGACTACAGGTGCATGCCACCACACCTGGATAATTTTTTTGTATTTTGTAGTGGCGGAGTTTCACCATGTTGCTCAGGCTGGTCTTAAATTCCTTGGTTCAAGTGTTCCACTCATCTCAGCCTCCCAAGGTGCTAGGATTACAGATGTGAGCCATCATGCCCGGCCCAGGCTTCTTATCTACCCCAATCTAAGAGGAAGGCCTGCAGGTGAATAGAATGGATGCATCTTCCTTTGGTTTGGGATCTCCTTGGGAGGTAAAGTTGCTTCCCCTGGCTCTGTCCATAGATAAATAGGTTATGCTCATCCTTACCTTGATGTCTGCCCTCCTGCTGAAATGATCTTCCTTCCACCTGTCCAGTGTACCCATTCATGAAGTCCCTTCTCTGCAGGGAAGACTCTCCCCAAGAGTAGACCATCCCACATTGATACTCCCCTTCTCCATGCTCCCCTGTGACCCAGCATCTCATTTAAATAATCTTGTCTTTTAACAGGACTGTAAGTTCTTGGAGGGCAGAAATCATACCTTCTTTATTTTTAAGTCTCCTTGTGGTCTAGTGAAAGAACTAGTGTGATATGGTTAGGCACTGTATCCCCACCCAAATCTCAACTGAAATTGTTATCCCCACATGTCGAGGGAGGGACCTGGTGGGAGGTGGTTGTATCATAGTGGGGGTTTCCCCCATGCTGTTCTCATGAAAGAGTTCTCACGAGATCTGGTTGTTTGATAAGTGTCTGGCACTTCCCCCTTCTTGCTGTCTCTCCTGCCACCATATGAGATGTGCCTTGCTTCCCCTTCTCCTTGCACCATGATTGTAAGTTTCCTGAGGCCACCCCAGCCACGTGGAACTGTGAGGCAATTAAACCTCTTTTCTTTATAAATCATACAGTCTCAGGTAGTTCTTGATAGCAGTTTGAAAACAGACTAATATAAACTGCATGCATTAATTGAAGGTCTCAGTTTGCATAAGCCATTTTCCTGTACTGTCATGCACCCTAAACTCTCTTGTCATGGGTTCTTCTATATATAGGCAAAATGAAGCTGTAAATCCAGGGAGATGGGCACAAAGGAGAACTTGTTCACTTGCCTGAAGATCTGAGGCTTTCTATGTTCATTCATTTATTCATTTTTTAATTCCTTAAGAAGACAAGAGTTCCTATACCTGCCAAGCATAATTCACGTGGAAGGAACTCTGGCCAGAGGTGGGCAAGTACCTGGGAGGCACCATCAGACCTCAAGATAGAACCAACAAATCCTGTGAAGTCATTTATATCCACAATGTGTGCTACAAGCTTTTCATGCATTAATAATTCTAAGAGCTTTACCTATTTACACGTAAAATCCTTATAACTGTCTTTTGAAGTGGGAACTCTGATGACTTCCAATTTATTGATAATGCAACTGAGGCACAGAGATGTCAAGTCGTTTGTCCAGGGTCTCATGCTAGGGAGTTAGAGTCAGGAAGCCAGGCATTCTGGCTCAGAACCTGTGTGCTTAAGCATCCCACTGAAATGCTTCTCAGTGGGGTGAATGGAGGGACACTCAGGAAGGGGAGGACATCATTGAGAAACTGCAAAGCCCGAGTGGGCTGGGGGCAATTGGAGGGTGCCAGCACCTTGGTCAGAGCCACTGAAGATGCCTGGGTCCTGCTCTGCCTCTAGCCCCTGTGAGCCCTCTCCTTAAAAGGACATCCTGAGCCTCTCCAGGGAGCGGCCCTTGGGGCTCAACTGACACAGGTTTCTTAGGGGCAACCCGGCAGGCCCATCTGCCTGAGATTAACCAGACCCTGGACACAGGAGTTCATGATTTCTCGAAAACCCACCCTTTGTATTTCTAATGCAGTTCTTATAACATCCTAAAAGACCGCTGCTCCACCTTCAGATCACTAGTGACAACCACAGAGTGTGCTTCATCAGTCCTGTGGGCATGGGCGGCAATGCAAAGGGAAACATTCAGTAGGGACATGAAAGATCATTAGAAGATGCTAGAAAGGAGTGGATGCACATAGCATTCGCTTCTGAGAAAACTGGGGTGGCAGGCAAGGCTTCCACCATCCCTCGTGCAGGTAGGGAAACGAGACTCTCAGGGATATTCTTAAAGAGAAGAACAGAAGCTTACAGCTATGTCTGCAGTACAGCTTGGTGCAGGTGCGGCTGTGCACTAAGACAGCATGAAGACACAGGCCATCGCTATTAGTTAAGGCCAAGCCAATGGCAAGGCATGAAATGAACTGGATGCAAGAATAACAGGACCACAGGCAAACTCAGTGAGAGTGGAAATTGCTGGCATTGCCCAAATAGATTTTCAAAAGCAAAAACTTTTGGAGAAAACTTCACCAGTTGTTGGTACAGTGGTCACTTGAGGAAAATCAGCATTTTATTCATGTTGTCAAAGACAAGCATAAGCTAGGAGGTGGTGTAAGCCCTAGCCAGCTTCACGGCCTATTGATGTGAGATGAGCCAACAGGATAGAAAAGCAGGAGAAGTGGGGCTTTCCTGAAAGAGATTTCACATGAAAAAGAAAGGAGCTGGAGCCACAAGCTCTCAATGCCATCAGGTCATTTTAGGATTTGATTGCAGCCAGCACAGCTCACCCATGGGAATCACCAACTGCAGTGGAGCATGGATTGTAGTGGGTAGTGCGTATGCAGGTACGCCACATTGATTATTTTCCTCACGTGTTTTCCAAGGCCTCTCAGGATCTACCATCTCCCATGACTCCTCCGACTTTGTCCCCTGCCACTCTCCATTCTCCCCAGCCCAGCTCATTTTTCTTTTCTTTTCTTTTCTTTTTTGAGACAGAATCTTACTATGTCACCCAAGATGAAGTGCAGTGGTGCCATCTCAGCTCCCAGCAACCTCCACCTCCTAGGTTCAAGTGATTCTTGTGCCTCAGCCTCCCAAGTAGCTGGGATTACAGGTGCCTGCCACCATGTTTGGCTAATTTTTGCATAGGAACAGGGTTTTGTCGTGTTGGCCAGGCTGGTCTTGAACTCCTGACCTCAAGTGATCCACCTGCCTCGGCCTCCCAAAGTGCTGGGATTACAGGTATGACCCACCGTGCCCAGCCCCCAGTTCATTTTTCATCTATGGCACTGGCCAACCAGTTGTTCTATGAACACCCCACAGGCTTGTGCCTCAGGGCCTTTGCACATGCTGTTTCATCTGCTTAGATGACTCTTTCCCTAGCAACCCAAATAGCTCACTCTCTTCCTTTTGGTTTCACCTTTCAATCAGGTGACCTGATCTCTCCCTTAACACCCCTCAAACACTGCATGCTCCCCTGGAAGCTGCACTCCTGAGTACCCTTCCCTGGCTCGATTCCTTCAGATGCATATCACCACCTGACATCGATGTGTCTACATGTGTGTGTGCATGTGTATATATCATCTATTTGATCCTCATAGAACACAAGCTCTATGAGAACAGGCTATGTTTTGTTTATTGCTGTATCTCTGTGCCTAGACCAGAGTCTGCAAAATCACTTATTGAATTGAATTCTCCTCCTTTGGTTTCCAAATGATTCCCACCTAACTGCGTCTAGTGATTTTCTTTGTTGATATTCTTTGTTTGTTGGTGTACTTTTTAAAAACATTAAAAAAATTTTTTTTAGAGACAGCTCTGTCGCCCAGGCTGGAGTGCAAATGGTACAATCATGGCTCACTGCACCCTCGAACTCCTGGACTCAAGTGATCTTCCCACCTCAGCCTCCCAAGTAGCTGGGACTATAGGCTTGTGTTACCATACCTAGCTCATTTGTTTGTTTTCTGAACCTACAAGCAGAGTGTGAAAGGACCTGCCAAGCAATCAAGGCCGTTGAAAATAAGACATCCCCTCTATTCCTGCCACTCCCCCACGTGAACCTGATTCCCCAATGACAAATAAGTTTCCAACTTGTTCTTGGCTCTGGGCCCCAACTTGTGCTGGGTTCCAAACCAAATATGAACTTCCTTCTGCTTAATTAAATCATACTCAAACTTTCATACTCTGCCTACCACTTCCTTTTTTTTTAATCTGTTCACCAATTTCTCCTTTCTCTGGGTCTTTATGTCTCTTTGACATTGTTTAGCACTAAACGTTTAAAATATGCTAACCTCTTCTTCCTTATCAGACTATTGTTGTCTGGGGATAGAAACCATGGCTTCCACATCTTGCACATCCTCCAGCAGATGCACACCATGCAGGGAGACAGTGCTTCCATGTTGGCCGATTTTCCAAAACATTAATAAAATCATAGGGCAGGGTGGAACGGCATTGCTGCTTCTTGCTGATGTGGCTCCTGCTACCTCCATGTGGGTATCTCTGATCACTGAGTGAGATAGTGAAAAGCACAGCAACGGGAACGTCTGAGGCAGGGATCCTGTGGCCTATTTGTTCAGTCACTCAGTAAGCATTAATTTAGGGGCCAGCAATGCACTAGCTGATCTAAAGACAAATTCTAGAATTGCAGAACACTGAGATAGAAGGAACCTTGGAGAGCATCTTGTCCAAGCCGTGGTGATAGAGGCATGAGGCAGAGAAACTCTACGCAGACAGGGACAGGTCCCCAGTGGAAACCCCACCTTCAAGCCAAAAGTAGCCTGAAACTGGCAGCCCAACGTGAGAACTTCTATTCCTGTTTGCCGGCTCTCTCTCAATTGGTTCTTTCTGAATAAAGTCTTTTTACAAATTGAGTGTTGCCCTTTCCAAAACTACTTTTACCCCCAACCATCCTGTGCCTATAAAGACCCCAGGCTCAGCCAGTAAGAGAGGAGAAACAGCTGGACATTGAGAAGAGGCAACTTGACTTCAGAGAAGCAGCTGGACATTGGAGAGAGATTACCTGACTTCAGAGACATGGCTGGATGTCGGGGAGAGGTGACTTGACTTCAGAGAAGTGGCTGGATCACAGGGAGAGGTGACTTGACTTCAGAGAAGCAGCTGGACATCAGAAAGAGGTGACTTGACTTCAGAGACAGTGGCTGGACGTCAGAAAGAGGTGACTTGACTTTGGAGGAAAGAGGCAGTGATGCGATTTGACTTCATGGGAGAGTGACCCCATCCCATCCCAATTCCAGCTCCCCCCTCCACTGACAGCCATTTTAATCCTTCAATAAAATTCTCTGCATTTACCATCCTTTGATTTGTCTGCATGACCTCATTCTTCTTGGGCACTGGACAAGAATTCAGGAGCCACCAAGTGCAGATACCCAAAAAGGCTGTCACAGTGGCTCTTTGCCCTCCCTGGCAGAGGACAGCTGCCCCACGTGATGAGGCAAAGGGCCCACTGAATTGAAAACACATTGCTGTCCACAGACTGCAGAGCTAAGAGAGCATTGTGACATGCCCTCTGGGGCCTTGGGGTCACAGGCACCCCCACCTGGATGCTGCTACAGGGCCTGCACAGAGTTTGCTCCTGCCAGCACCTAAGCAGCTGGCCAGTTCCTGCACTCATTCAATTCTGTGCTCCCTCCTGTGAATGGTTGAGCATGGCGGGCTGACTAAACAGGGTACCTCTGTTGTGAGTCTCATGAAAAGGTCAAGAAAATATCCTGCACCATTGTTAGTAATTAAGGTGCTTAGTAGCAAGCAGCAGAAACTGGGAATGCTTACATCACCAAAAAAAGGGAACATCTTCAAAGGACAATGTATGTGGTAGGGGAGCAGGAGAACCACGGTCCGGGAGCAAAGCCTGACATCAGAGCAGGTCATGGGAGAAAGCGGGTGCTGCTATCGTGGACACTGGACTTTGCAGCTTGCACTGCAGAGACACAGCCCTGTCTGGGACAGCTACCACCTGCAGGAGGACTCACCACTGTCCTCACTTCCTTCTGATTCATACCCTGTCCAATGGGCTTCTGATCAGGAGAACCGAGTTCACCAATCTCCACCCGAGCTGCAAGGAAGGGCAGGAAACTGGCAAATTTCACATTCTCAATGAGACATAGACTTTTTCTCTGACCTAGAATTTTTAGATAGAGGATTCCTTAAATGGAGAAAGGGATTCAATGGCAAATGTCCTCTTTACCTCTCAAAGCACAGCACTCACAACTGTGTCTAATGCTCAGGTCACATTGGAAGTTACTAGTAGCTGAGATGAGAATCCAGGTCTCCTGACTGAATGATTCACATTCTTCCTACTTATTTGTGCATGCAAGAAGCAACTGGTGGAAAAATTACAGGGGTGAAGTAGGACAAGTCGCGGGGAGCAAAGGATCAATGATCCATGTCCCTGGCAGCTATTTTAGGAAATAACTGCCTCTTAGATTTGATCATCACTCTGCCACCCTTCACAACGCCATAGCTCAGACATCACCTCGTCTGTGAACCTCACTTCACTGGTTCACTGACTTAGCACTGCTGCACCATTTACCATTTATATTGCAGTTATCTGCATTTGTATCAGCTTCCTCATTAGACTGTGAGCTACTTGAGGACAGGCATTAACTAAGGCTTATTTATATTTGAATACTGAGTGCGGACAAATGGGAAGGATGAAGTCTTGTGCTGAGATAGATCCGTGCAAGGAAGCCTGGCAGTTGGTACTCATATCTCATTCCACAATTAATACATTATGTTCATGCTTAACCTTTGTGCCTTTCTTCTACCTACAATGGACTACTCCACCTCCAAGGTCCCTCTAAGAATGGCCATTCTGTGTGTGCATATGTGTTTGTGTACATGTGTGAGTCTGGGGTCCTGGGGCTTTGTTGATTCATTTATTCAGACTAGAAATATTATGGCATATAAAGTGTGTTCAATAAATAAGGATTGTTAAACTGGAGTGAGGAGGGCAAGTGTTAATACCTCCATTTAACAGATGAGGAAGCCAAGGCCCAGAGAGATTATACAAGGTTCCAAGACCTAAGCTTCCATTGCATGTCAGTAGCAGAGCCTGCTTTCAATCCAGTGCTCCTTCTGTGGTCACCACTGAGCCCTGGCCCATGGGTCCTCCAGCACTCAGATCTGCCCTACAATGCTCGCAGTGGACGTTGATAACAGTACCCCCATCTTCCAATACTTCCTGGGTTAATACTACAACTGTCATTCATCTCTTGTATCCAGAGTGCCTGAAATCAGCTTCTTGAAGCATCTTGTAAAGGACCCCAGCCACATGTCACAAGTCACAACTCATAGATGCTGGCACTTGAGGTGGCCTCACAAAGTCATCACCAAAGACTCTTGCTGATGGGTGGGAGAGAGCAAACGGCAGAGTTGGCAAAGTAGGTGTGTGAGACCAGGAGACAGAGGTCTGAGCAGGGCATCCCCCAGTGGGGTAGAAAGTGCAGGCAGATGCCTGACGGCAGGAATCAAGCTCTTGGCATCTAGGCCCCTTGCAAACAACAGGAACAGCCCTGCGGAGAAGCTGAGTCAGCAGAACAAATGTCACAGGGATGAGCTACGAGCTCCTGGAACAAGATGTGGCTTCCTTCACCTTGGAATGGAAATACTTCAATATCTGTTTGAAAACCTTTTCAAGCTCTCTCTGGCACCCTCTACTCTTGATTTCAAGTTTGCCTAGCCTCATCACTGGCCCCCACATGACAGGTGCATGGCCACATGATGTTGCCATGCTCAAAGAAGCCTTCCTCTGAATCCTCACATGCTTTAAAGCCCAGCTTGGGTGTGATCTCCCCCAGGAAACTCCTTGGACACTTGCTGATATCTTAGAGCAATATTTGTCTCTACCATTGGCTTTGATATTTCTTCCTGTTGTATGTATCCTACTCTATACTAAGCTCTGAATATAAGACATGTCTCCAAGACTGCAGTATTATACTAAGCTCTGAATATAGGACCTGTCTGCTAGAATGCAGTATTATACTGAGCTCTGAATATAAGACATGTCTCCTAGACAGCAGTATTTGTCTCCCGATGGCTGATCATCTCAGACATTTCCTTTTCCTCTACAAGCCCCTTGCACAATGTTGTGCACATAACAAATATTAGCAAAACAACCAATTGGAATTGTATCATCAAATTCTACACTCTACAGCATTCATGTGGCCTCCAATAAAATAATCTATTGATTATTAGCAATCTCTTTTTAAAAATGTTACCTTGTTGTCAATTAATACATACTGGGGCAGATGTCAGAGGTTGACTCTACCAAACAATCCTAGACAACTCTCAGTTGTCAATGCTGGAAAAACTGAGATACTCAAGTCCCCAGCATCCCTTGGAGTTGGGGAGAGGGCAGAGGGCACAGGTTCCAGTTCTGATGATAAGACGAAAGTGGTGACCTGCCATGTTGCTGCTTCCTCCTTTGGAGTAATTCTGCCCGGAATGCAGGCATGATCATGACCTCTAGAACTGCAGCATCTTCTGGCTCATGGGGTGAATGTGAGGAAAAGGCTCTAAGACTCTCAGAGATGCTGGTGACATGCTGAGCAGAGACCTCAGGATAAGGAGCCAGCCCTTTGAGAGACTTGGGTGTAGGAAAGGGCTCCCAGTTCCCCCAATGACATTATCAGTGCTGAACCAAGGCCAGGTGCCATCTACACTCAGATTTCCAGTAAATGAAGTGGGGAATCTATTTGATGAGCAACTGAAATCAGCTTTCTGTAATTTGCAGGCAGACAAACACATTCCTACTACACACATACATTGTCAAAAACAGAAAAGCACAAAAATGAAAAATACCCTGTCCCCTACCACCACAGATAGTTTGTTGCCTATGATTCAATATTTTTGTAAATGTTACATTTTTATAAAAATGAGATCTTTTAGTCATATGGTTTTCCACAACTATTTAACATATATTATAAAACTTTTAAACCTTGTCATCAAGAAGTATTTCACAGCATTATTTTAGATAGTATATACTATAATTTATTTTATTGACCCCCTTCCACAGTGATATTGTCCATATCAGTGGACATGAGTTTCTTTCTAATACATCACTTTCATGAATGTAGTTATAGAAATGTCTGGCTAAATTTTTGCACAACTTGAAAATGATTTCAAGATTTTCTCCTAGTAGTAAAATTGGTAAAGATATGCATATCTTCAATGCTTTTCTATTCAATGTTAAATTTTCCTCTATCAATATTATATTACTTTTCTCGATAGCATAAATGATAAATTACAAAATATTTAATATTTATAAAGACCCAAGAATGTATAAAAAATAAAGAGAAAATGAATGCCTAAAATAACATCAAACTAAATTACCAAGCTTACAAGTATGTCAGAGTTTAAGATGTCTGCGTAGGGATTCAGAAACTTATCCCTTCACACCATCACCACCACAATAGCCTCTTGCCCTTTTTCTTACTTTAAAAGAAAAAAAATTCCACACACTTGGATTCTAGAAATAAAAAACAGTCAAAGACGACGAAAAACATTCCCTAGGGAGTTTTGTATGATGAGAGGTTGGAGGGACAACTATTTGGAGCAGAGTTTTCTGAAGAACAGGGCCAGATTGAGAGGTGATAGAAGGAGTAGAACATGGAGACAGGATAATACGGAGAAGAAGAAGATCTTCTGGGTTAGAGGTGTCCAGGAGTTGTTGAGCACTAGAGAATAAGTGAAGACACAGCATGTTAATAAGAGAGTCTCTAGACTGTACTTATGTCTCCCTGAATGAGTTTGGAAGCCGTCAGTAAGAATTTGATTTTCTGTTAAATTGTTCTTTAGGTGCAACACTTTACTGCTAGGTTGTATCAGTTAAGGCTTTTACATGGGTCATGCAAGATACACTTTACTCATCTTTAGCTAACAGCCACTACTGTCACTTATCCCTCCTGCTCTCAACCGTCTCCCACATGATGGCAGAGACCATCAAAACACCACTCCAGGTATGCCTATCAGGCCTCCAGCATCCACAGTCCTAGATTCAGGAGAAAAGCAAGCAAGAAAGAGAGCAGGAAGTCCTCTTTTCTACTCTCACATCTTTTAAAGGTCTACCTTTCTGTTTTCCACCTAAGACCCAAGAGAATTTTTCTCCTCACAAAGAATGAGCACTCACTGCAGGGGATGCCAGACTCACCCAAAAGGTGTGGCCTTCCTCAACAGGCCTAAATTTTAAAAAGTCAGAATGGAATGCAACACAACCACTCCAATATTCACACCAGGGACTAACTAGATGATTTAAAAAAAAAAAAAACATTAGTTTATTTTTCAAATTGACAAAAGTTTTATTTATTTATTGCATACAACCTTTTGTTATGAAATATCTATACATTGTGGAATAACTAAATTGAGTGTATTATATGCATTTCCTCAAATACCATTTTTCTGTGTGGTGAGAACATCTAAAACCTACTCTCTTAGCAATTTTCAAGGATACTATACATTGTTGTTAACTACAGTAACCGTGTTGTACAATAGATCTATTCCTTCTATTTCACTGAAATTTTGTGTCCTTTGACCACTATCTCCCCAACCTTCCCAGCCTCCATAACTGTTCTTAATGCCAAGCCACCCTTCTCTCCATAGGGTCACCTACATGGACCAAATGAATATTCTTTATACTCTTCCTTTTTCTCTCCACCCGAAAATCCATTTCCTGAGTTTCTTACC
This sequence comes from Homo sapiens, assembly GCF_000001405.40. Taxonomy (NCBI): domain Eukaryota; kingdom Metazoa; phylum Chordata; class Mammalia; order Primates; family Hominidae; genus Homo; species Homo sapiens. The sequence continues at coordinate 20,338,104 of NC_000008.11, read as the reverse complement.
ACACCTCCATCACAAAAGCAGGGATATAAGTCTGTTTCGTGTTCTTAATATATGAGTATGTGTGGTAATATCCCTTCTTTCATTTCTGACATTGGTCATTTATGTCTCTCTGTTTTATTTCTTGAGATCAGTCTAGCTAGAGATTAGTCATTTTTATCTTTTTAAAGAAAAAGGTTTTGTTCTTTTCCATTGATTTTTATTTTCTCTAATTTTACTTTCACTGAAATAAATGAAAATGTCTGCTCCTTATTTTTCCTTCCAGGGATTTACTTTGGGTGAGATTTAATTTCTTTTTCTTCCCACTAGCTTATTAAAGTGAAATTGTAACTCACTTAGGAGAGTTACTATTGTCGTGGGTTTTTTGGGGGGTTTTTTTGTTTTTTTGTTTTTTGTTTTTTGAGATGGAGTCTCACTGTCGCCAGGCAGAGTGCAGTGGCACAATCTCCACTCCCTGCAACCTCCACCTCCTGATTCACGTGATTCTTCTGCCTCAGCCTCCCAAGTAGCTGGGATTACAGGTGGCCGCCACCATACCCAGCAAATTTTTGTATTTTTAGTAGAGACGAGGTTTCACCACGTTGGCCAGCATGGCCTCGATCTCTTGACCTCTTGATCTGCCCACCTCGGCCTCCCAAAGTGCTAGGATTACAGGCGTGAGCCACCACACCTGGCCAGATAGTTTCTATTGCTACATCTTCAAGTTTACTAATCTTTTCTTTTGTAGAGTCTAAACTTCTATTAATCTTATTCAGTGAATTTTTCATTTCATATTTCTATTTTTATTCCATGTATTTATTTTATATATGTATATTTCTTTCTTTTCTTCATATGTTCCTTTGAATTTTTGAGCAATTTTATGCTAATTTTGAGGTGGGAGGATAGCTTGACCCCAGGAATTTGAGGCTGCAGCGAGCTATGATCACACCATTGCACTCCAGCTCTGGGTGGCAGAGAGAGGCTCTGTCTCCAATAAGAACTAACTAAATAAATAAATATATAAAAGTCCTTGTCTACTAATTTTATCATTTCTGTCATTTCTGCATCTACTTTCATTGACTGATACTTCTCCCCATTATGGTCTCATCTTTCTGCTTCTTTCTGTGTCTATTAATTTCATATTGGGGGCTAGAAATCATAATTTGTATTTCGTGTGTTGAATTTTATTGCATTCCTTTAAAAAGTGTTGAGAGTGTTACATTTTATTCTGGCAGACAGTTAAGTTCCTTATGGATTGGCTTGCTCCTTTCAAGGCTTGTTTTTAAGCTTTATAGGGCAGATTTAAAGAAGCCCTTATATTAGCACTAGTTTAGCCCCCCTATTATGACGAGACCCTCTGGAGCTTCCATTCAGCCTGGAGGCTCAGTAAGCACTCTCCACTCTGGCTGCTCAGAACTAAAACATCTTGCAGACTGACTCTGGCAGCTATTCAATCTCCTGCTCCCTGGTTGTTCCTTACCTGGCCTGTGAGAGTTTCACCCTATGCTGTGTAGCTTAGTATTGAGCAACAAATTTAGGAGAATTCTTATGTGGGTTTCTGGATCTCTCTCTCTCTCTCTCTCTCTTTTTTTTTTTTTTTAGGCAGAGTTTTGCTCTTGTCGCCCAAGCTGGAGTGCAGTGGCTCAATGTCGGCTCACTGCAAACTCCGCCTCCCGGGTTCAAGCTATTCTCCTGTCTCAGCCTCCTGAGTAGCTGGGATTACAGGCGCCTGTCACCACGCCAAGCTAATTTTCATATTTTTAGTAGAGATGGGGTTTCACCATATTGGCCAGGCTCGTCTCGAACTCCTGACCTCAAGTGATCCTCCCACCTCGGCCTCCCAAAGTGCTGGGATCACAGACGTGAGCCACTGCGCCCGGCTGGATCTCATTTTTTTTTTTTTTTTTTTTTGAGACGGAGTCTCGCTCTGTCACCCAGGCTGGAGTGCAGTGGCGCGATCTCGGCTCACTGCAAGCTCCGCCTCCCAGGTTCACACCATTCTCCTGCCTCAGCCTCCCGAGTAGCTGGGACTACATGCGCTCGCCACCACGCACGGCTAATTTTTTTGTATTTTTAGTAGAGACGGGACGGGGTTTCACCGTGTTAGCCAGGATGGTCTCAATCTCCTGACCTCGTGATCCACCCGCCTCAGCCTCCCAAAGTGCTGGAATTACAGGCGTGAGCCACCACGCCCGGCCGGATCTCTTTTTTTATGCAGCTCCCTCATCTCTTACTGTTCCAGAATTTCTAACTGCGTAAGCTTCCCCAAATTCTATCTTCTGTTTGTACCACTCAGAAAGACTGTCGTGTTCTCTTGGGATCACCTCCCCATGCTAATGTCCAGAAAATGCCCCAGGTAGAAAGCTGGGGAAATCTTAGGGCTCACCTTATTTGTTTCATTTCTCTTAGGACCACAATTCTATGCTACCTATTTTCCAATGTGAAAAAACTTTTGTCTCATATATTTTTCCAGTTTTCCTTTTGTTTACAGCAGGAAGGTATGCATGGTTTCAGTTATTCCAAAAAGGACCGATGTGAAAAGCTTCGTCTGTTTTGTAAACTAAGCCACAAAACCCTCCTAGATTTGAACAGCAGAGAGCTCCAGAGATCCACTATGCCTCCTCCAACAGGAATAAATGAAAACCCCAATATGAAATATAAGGGAGAAAATTCAGGGCTGCTTTTACTGCCACTGTCTTTTACCTAGAGAGCTTTTCTTGGCTAAAACTTCAAAATTCTCTGTACATTATTTGGTTTTCAAATATCTGTCAAGAACCTGATTTCAAATGCCCAAGAGCAAATAGAAGAAGTGAGCTCAGGCTTCATTCGGTGAAAGTGAGATAAAATGAGTCCAAAAATTTTTATTTTTCTTTGCTTAACATCGTAAGTCCTTCGGACTGACTCCTTACTTCAAATTAGTACACGCTGCCTGCCTGTTGGAAGCAAGTCATCGTAACTGCCTTCTGTGTAAGGATCTCATAGAATGAAGGTGATAGCACCAATCTTCATTTCTGAAATATCAAAGAGAATTCACACTGTTATCTTGGCCTGGTTAGACCAGACACTGTTATCTTGGCCTGGTGGTTATCTTGGCCTGGTTAGACCAGACTAAACCTCAACAAATCCTTGCACTGCTTTTATCCTACTTCCTCATCACCTTAGTCCTGGACCATGGTCACCAGTAATTCCCATTCCAATTCAACCTCCTCATGCTGTGTGGTCACGTTTCCTATAATTCAACTCTAACCATGTTATTGCCTAGTTGGAAAATGTTTGTCATTCCTCATTGCTATAAAATTCTCCCTAAATTTGGCCACAACCTTCTTTTCCAATGTTTTTCCCCATGATTCTCCTTCACTGCATTTCAGCATTAATTTCTGGTTACTGTGCATGAATCATAATTTCCCGGCTTTCTCTCCCTCTCCCAGCTCATACTTTTTTCCACCTCTCTGGGAAACTTATACTGAAAATTTGAACATAAAAACATAAAAGTCCCACTGTAAGACTACCACATTCATGAAACTTTTCATATTCTTAGCTACAAGAAATCTCTCTCTCCTCTCTCATAGTACTTAATCTTATTTATTATATGTATCATTTTCTACCTTACATTTTAAAACCACCCCAGCAAACCCCTTGAGCATGGAGTCTGTATTGGACTCTGCTTTGTGGCTCTGTAAGCATCTAATGCACTGATCTTCACATAAGGGTGCTCAATGAAATATTTATTGAGAGTGTGAGTGAATGAATGGTAAACTGAAAACCTAATACAGTCATGAATCACTAAATGGTGGGGATATATTCTGAGAAATGCATCTTTAGGTGATTTTGGCATTGTGGGAACATAATATGTCATATAGAGTACACTTACACAAATCTAGATGGTATAGCCTGCTACACACATAGGCTGTGTGGTATAACCTGTTGCTCCTAGGCTATTAACCTGTAACAAACAGCATGGCACTGTACTGAATACTACAGGTAGTTAGAACACAATGGTAAGTATTTGTGTATCTAAACAGAAATGGTACAGTAAAAGCACGGTACAAAAGACAAAAAATAGTATATGCGTATAGGGCACTTAACATGAATGAAGCTTGCAGGACTAGAAGTTGCCCTGGGTGAGTCCATGAGTGAGTGGTGAGTGCGTGTGGAGGCCCAGGGTATTACTGTACATGACTGTAGACTTTATGAACACTGTACACTTAGGCTACACTACATTTAATTTTTTAAATGTTTCTTTCTTCAATAATAAATTAAACTTAGCCTACAATAACTTTTTTACTTTATAAAATTTATAATCTTTTAAAATTTTTAAGAGTTACAGCTCTCTTTTGTAATAATGCTTAGCTTAAAACACGAACATATTGTACAACTGTACAAAAATATGTTTTCTTTTTATCATTATTCTATGTCTTTTTTTTTTTTTTTTAACATTTTGTAAAAACTAAGACACAAACACACACTTTAGCCTAGACCTATACAGGGTCAGGATTATCAATATCACTATCTTCCACCTCCACATCTTGTCCTGGTGGAAAGTCTTCGGGGGCAGTAACAGGCGTGGAGCTTTACTCTCCTAGGCTAACAATGCTTTCTCCAGGAAGACTTCCTGAAAGACCTGCCTGAGACTGCTTTACAGTTAACTTTTTTTTTTTTTAAAATAAGCAGAAGGAGTACACTCTAGAGCAAGGATAAAAACTATAGTATAGGCCAGGCGCAGTGGCTCACGCCTGTAATCCCAGCACCTTGGGAGGCCAAGGTGGGCAGATCACAATGTCAGGAGTTTGAGACCAGCCTGGCCAATACGGTGAAACCTCGTCTCTACTAAAAATACAAAAATTAGCCAGGTGTGGTGGCACATGTCTGTAGTTCCAGCTACTCGAGAGGCTGAGGCAGGAGAATCGCGGGAACCCGGGAGGCAGAGGTTGCAGTGAGCAAAGATCGCGCCACTGCACTGCAGCCTGGGCGAAGAGCAAGACTCCGTCTCAAAAAAAAAAAAAAAAATCTGTAGTGTAGTAATACATAAACCAGTAACATAGCTGTTTATTAGCATTATCAAGTATTATGTACTATACATAATTGTATGTGCTATATTTTCATATGACTGGCAGTGAGGCAGGTTTACTTACATCACCCTCACAACACCTCAGTAATGTGTTGCACTACATTAGGACAGTTACAGCGTCACTAGGCAGTAGGAATTTTTTAGCTTCTTTATCATCTTAAAGGATCTCCATTGTATATGAGGTCCATTGTTGACTGGAATGTCATTAGGTAGCCCATGACTATTCCTTGCTGTTCCTACTGGTTAACTTGAGATACATTACTCTGAATCATATGAAATTGCTGTAGGTAAAAAATAGTCAAATACCAGGAATTTCAAGCGGTTCAACCTGATACATCTTCTACTCTATTTTAGTGCAAATGTCTGTTTAGCAAATTGTATTACATTATTAAATTCATAGGATATCTAAATTAATCATGGGCAAGGGATGCTCATTCATTAAATTAAAATGTTGTCATTACAGGCACGAGCCACTAAGCCCAGTCTTGCAGTTATGGAGATAACTGCAATAAGAGAACTGAGTATAAAACGGACACATATCTGTTAAAGAGCATATACCTACAAGAGTAGGTGCAGTGGCTCATGCCTGTAATCCCAGCACTTTGGGAGGCTGAGGCAGGAGGATCGCTTGACCCCAGGATTTTGAGACCAGCCTGGGCAACATAGCAAGACCCTGTCTCAAAAAAAAAAAAAAAAGTAAGAAAAGGGGTGTATATGGAAAAGAATAGATAGATCAAATCAAGCTAGCTTACATCTACAAGTGAAGTGTCAGCAGGATGTTGGGGCATCTCAGAGTCTGAACAAGAGGCACTGGTAATGGTGGAGTCCGGGCAACTTTGAAGCCCTCCGCAGCAGGTCTTTCTGGGTTTTTCTTTCTAGAGCTCTAACTTCCAGACTGCTTGAGTTCCAAATTCTTGATGGAGACCACCTGAATGACTCAGCCTGCTGGAGGGGGCCACTGCTGGAGGGGGCCACTGGTGATGAGAAAGCTGTCTGCAGGATGGCCCTATAACCCAGTAGCTAGAGAGAGACAGTAGGTAGAGAGAGATGATTTTTTACAGAAAAAGCGCACAGATTAAAAGAAATTATGCCACTCCTAGGGAGACACCTACTCTGCTTTGCTACCAGGAGAAAAGTTTAGGGAGCATCAAGCTAGATGGTCTCAATGGCGTCTTCTAACTCTAGCTTTTCTCATTCAATAAATCTCCATAGATAGCCCAAAGCTTTTTTTTTTTGTTCTCCGAGCTAGCTCAGGGTTTTTAAAAGTTGGTCTGTAGGTGGCTGGTCTGCTGTTCGGAATGTCTGAGGTAGAGAAAGATACGGAAGTGGAATTATTGGCCCAAGTTGCCAGTGAAACACAAAAGAACTCATTTCAGCTTTTTCTCTATTGTTTTTTCTCTTTTTTCTTTTCTTTTCTTTTTTTTCAGACAAGGTCTTACTCTGTCCCCTAGGCTGGAGTGTAGTGCTGTGATCACAGCTCACTGCAGCCTCGACCTCCAGGCGAGTGATCCTCCCACTTCAATTTCCTGAGTAGCCAGGACCTCAGACACACACCACCACACCCAGCTAATTTTTGTGTTTTTTTGCAGAGATGAGATCTCCCTATGCTACCCAGGCTGGTTTCAAACTCCTGGGCTCAAGCGATCCTCCTGCCTTAGCCTCACTCAATTCTTTATAAACCATTTTTTTCATTTTTTTTTTATTTTTTATTTTTATTCTTATTTTTTTATTTTTTGAGATGGAGTCTCGCTCTGTCATCCAGGCTGGAGGGCAGTGAATCTCAGCTCACTGCAAGCTCCGCCTCCCAGGTTCAGGCCATCCTCCTGCCTCAGCCTCCTGAGTAGCTGGGACTACAGGCGCCCACCACCACGCCCAGCTAATTTTCTGTATTTTTGGTAGAGATGGAGTTTCACCATGTTAGCCAGGATGGTCTCCATCTCCTGACCTCACGATCTGCCCCCTTCGGCCTCCCAAAGTGCTGGGATTACAGGTGTGAGCCACCACGCCTGGCCCATTTTGTTCATATTTTTAAAGCATCTACTGTATGACAAAATCTAGCACTTGACAATACAAAATAGTGTGGATACTGTGAGAAATACAAAGAAATCTAAGGAATAGTCTCTGCATTCCAGAAAGTTATCATCTGATTAGGAAACCAAGATCAACACACTGGAAACATTAATAACCATGCAAGCTTAGTGGCTAAGGGTGCAAGTGTGTCTCCTCAAATGCAAGTGCAAACATATATGTTATTTCATCATCAAACATGACATAGACATGAACCAAAAGAATTATTTATTGCGTGGGATTATTTGCTACCGAAAATTGGCAGCAACCAGACCAACAAAATCCTGCAGGAGCTATTTGCCAAGACTTGGAAATAGAGTTCTTCAAAGCTCACCTCAAAAGGTGACTGGGGCAGGACGTGGTGGTTCACGCCTGGAATCCCAGCACTTTGGGAGGCCAAAGCGGACAGATCACTTGAGCTCAGGAGTTGCAGACCAGCCTGAGCAACATGGTGAAACCCCGTCTCTACCAAAAAATAAAAAAAAAAAAATTGGCCGGGCGTGGTGGCATGCACCTGTAGTCCCAGCTACTGAGGTAGAAGAATCGCTTGAACCCAGGAGGTGGAGGCAGTGAGCAGAGATGGCGCCACTGCACTCCAGCCTAGGGAATAGAGCAAGACTCCGTCTCAAAAAAAAAAAAAAAAAAAAAAAAAAGGTGACTGGATCTTTATTCTTTTGAGTCTGATCCATTCTCAATGCTGAAAAACACTGAGTCGTGTCTAAGCTTTAGGCTGCCTCATCATCCCCTTCCCATTAAGGAAAGACAGCAAGTATTCCATAGTCTCAACACATAGGCTTTAGATGAGAACGAAGGCCCAGACAGGGAGGAATCGACAAGAATCATGAATTAGGAAACAGAAAACCTTGTTTCTGGTCTTACCACTGACCCTAACCTATGGCAGTGCATTGAACAAGTTACTTAACCTCTCTCTGTCCTAGTTTTGGAGCATTTGTAAATCAAGGTGTGTAGGAAAAGCTTTAAATTCAAGCTTAAATTCGAGCTTAAATGTAAAACCCTTGGGGCCTTTAAATTCCATTGTAAGCCCCCAAGGAAATGCCTTGTTTCATTAAATACCTGTGGGCAAAATTGCAAACTGAAGTTCGAATCTTGAACCTCCAGACTGTCTAATCCTAGACAATTAATGGTGCAACATCTGCTCCGTTTTTCTAATCCCCGGCCCTATATCTGACTACACAGAACACATGCCGCCACTCTCTGATGCAGCAGAAGTCTGTCTGAAAATAAGCTAAACCAGATCCTTTTGGGGACTTGCTCATGGCTCCCACTGAATTTTAACTTGCAAAAAGCTCTCCCTTGCGGGGGCGTTAAGAGGATCTAATGTGATACTGTACATGAGAGCACAGAAACCAGCCTGGCTTCAGAAGCGTTTCTACTGGAAGTTTATTGTTGAAAGTTGTGGGGTTTGATAGAGCATTACCCAGGGACTAATCCCGCCGCTCCCAACCCTCCTCCTCTTCCGCCTCTGTTTATGCTCTTAGTTCCGGTGCCTCCGACGATGACAAAGAAGGGTCAGCGCTGACTCACAGCAGCGCTGTGAATACCATGACCCTGGTGGGCTGCAGGGCCTGAGATGTTTATTTCATTTCCCTTTCATTCCGTACTCAGCTGGGCTCTCAGGGAAGGAGAGGGAAAGTAGCCCACACTGACTAACCAGTCAAGAAACACTTACTGAGCCCTAGTCAAGTACTGCGCATTACGAGAAAACATGAGAACACATCGAACGCCCAGGGCTTTAGAGCTGTGCAGGGACTTGATGAGAACCCCATGCCCCGGCTTCCTTAAACAAGGTCACCAGCCCTGAGAAAGAACACTTTGGCTGTGTTGGAGTGTGTGGGGGCTGGGAGAGGCCTGGGATGGAGGTTGCTGGAAAGTGCTTATGACCAAGGGGCCTCAGTGCATTCATGCATTCCATTTAAACATGTCAACATATCCTCAACCTGGGCATAGGGGCATGCACTTGCAATCTCAGCTGCTCAGGAGGTGGAAGTGGGAGGATCCCTTGAGTTCAGGAGTGCAAGACCAGCCTCTAAAAAATAGCAAAAGAATGAGACCCTATCTCTTAAAACAAAAGAAAAAATATATATCTTACCAACATCATCAGTCATTAGTCAGTGGACTGACTTTTCTTCAGATTTGAATGCTTTGGAGGGTATAGATGAGTGTCCTGAACTAAACACTCTTTCACAGAAAGAAGTGGGACAGATGGAAGAAAGAAAGTGGCGACTGTTTATCCCTCACTCCTCTTCTCCAGCCCCCACCCCAGTAACAAATCCAGAAACCCCAAACTCTGAGGGGCCACAGTTACTGTTTTGTGTGTTTGTGCAATTGGGCAGCTGCCTCTACCCTATCAAAACGTGCAGGGGAGACGATTCCCATAAAAGCGGAGGAAGATGTTACAAGTCCAGCCCCATGGGACCATGCCTGACGGCAGAGCCAAGACGCTGGGAGTTCAGCACAATAGGGTGCCTCCACACCACGCTATCTGGGGTGAGCTTTCTGCCCAAAGGAGGAAATAAGAACAGCTGCTATCAATTGCAGACCACTCACCAGGGGCCAGACACCATGCTAAATGCTTTAGTTGCATTATCTCCTTAACTCTTGATACCACCACTACCCACGCCCTCCAGGGAGCTATAATTCTCTCTAATAAAGGCAGAGAGCAGTGAAGTGACTTGGTCCAGTTAACACAGATAGCAAGAAGAGGAGGGAAGATGCTTATCAGGTTTGTCTAATTTCGAATTCTGTGTTGATCTATTCCTGATACTGCTTGCCAGAAAAGAAGTTGGAAGCTCTAGAAAGAGGGTGGAGGAGGGGAGAAGATGATGACAGAGGCAGGAGGGAATATAAGGGCGAAGCCTATTGATCCAGTCTGGGTTCAGCAAGGGGAGAGCTTCAGCTTTGGAACAGGATAGAGCCTGTTTCCCGGAAGCACCCTTTAGGTCAGGGAACAGCACAAAGTGGTAAGATCTGTCTTCTGTATCTGCATCTGTAGACGAAGGTCTTGGGAAGAGATTCTCCAGGAACTGAGAGTAATTAGCAGACTTTCTGAGAACTCGCACTCAGAGTTCATGGAAGCGTCCTAACTTTTCCAGACATAATTGCAGATCGAGGCACTTGTACACGGCTCCCACACCATGGTGGGCAACGACAATAAGAAGGGACCACCAGTGACAAGGGCAGGTCTGTGAGGTAATCCAATGGTGACAGAGTATCCAACAGCCACAGGCATAGAGGGAAGGGGACCGGCTTTCCAGTGCCTGTTGCTGTTGTTGGTATTTCTGGACCCAGCCTTCCCCAAGCGCCTTAAGAAAACTGCCCGGGGAGGTGAACTCTCCTCTGCCCCATGCAGTCTTCAGAAACATCACTGAGAAGGAGACCCTTTTATTGTTTTCAATGCTCTGAAGACTTGAATGGCTGGAGGACCTCAATCAAGTGCAAAATCAGCAAGGTACACTCCTTTACTCATTCTCATTGCACAAAGAAGTGCCAAACATGATGTCTACCTTCAAGATGTAGGCATTTTTGTTTTGTATCATTTTGTTTGTCTTTTAAGAGAGTTACTGAGATGTAATTCACATACCTTACAATTCACACAATTGAAGTGTACCATTTAACGATTTTTAGTATAGTCACAGAATTGTGAAGCCATCACTACAATCAATTTTAAAATATTTCATCACCCAAAAAGGAGCCCTGTACCCATTAGTAGGCAATCCCCATTTCCCTTCAAATGACCCCCTTTCCCTGGTCCTAGGCAACCACTAACCCACTTTCTGTCTCTGTAGATTTGTGTATTCTGAACATTTTGTGTCAATGGAATCACACAGTATGTGGTCTTTTGTGACTGGTTTCTTTCACTGAGCATGTGTTTTCAAGGTTCATTCATGTTGCAGCATATGCAAGCACTTCATCCCTTTTTATACTGAGTCGCATTCCATGGTATGCATATCCATACCACATTTTGTTTATCCATCACCAGTTGATAGACATTTGGGTTGTTTCCACTTTGGGGCTCTTATGAATAGTGTAGCTGTGAACATTCATGCGTAAATTTTTGTGTAGATGTAACTTTTAATTCCTCCTGGGTACATAAAAGAGGTGAAATTACTGGGTCATATGGTAACTCTATAAACAGGTTTTTTCAAGAACTGCGAGACTGTTTTCCGAAGTAGCTACACTCATCAGCAATGTTTGAGATTGCAATTTCTCTATATTCTCATCAACACTTATTATTACCTGTCTTTTTTCCTAGCCATCCTAGCGAGTGTGGTATCTTATTGCATTTTTTATTAACACTTAAACAATTTTTTTTTTTTTTTTTTTGAGACCAGGTCTTGTTCTGTCACCCAGGCTGGAGTGCAGTGGTGCACTCACGGCTCACTGCAGCCTCGACCTCCTGGGCCCAAGTGATCCTCCCACCTCACCCTCCTGAGTATCTAGGACCACAGGTGTGCACCATCATGCCTGCCTAGTTTTTTTAATTTTAATTTTTTTAGAGATGGGATCTCTCTATGTTGCTCAGACTGGTCTCAAATACCTGGGCTCAAGTGATCCTTTTTCCTTGGCTTCCCAAAGTGCTAGAATGACAGGTGTGAGCCACCATGCCTAGACCTTTTATTGCATTTTGATTTATATTTTTCTAATGAGTAATGATATTGAGCATCCTTTCATGTATTTATGGGCATTTCTGTGTCCTCTTTGGAGAAATATCTATTTAGATCCTTTGCCTACTTTTTAATTGAGTTATTTGTCCTTTTATTATTTACTTGTAAGAGTTCTTTATATATTCTGAATATTCTGATATCTTTTTTCAGATATCTAAGAAATCATTGCCTAAACCAAGGTCATAAATATTTTACCTGTTTCCTTCTAAGAGTTTTACAGTTTTAGCTCATACATCTAAATCTACTATTTTGAGTTTTTCTTTCTTTTTTTTTTTTGGTATGGTGTGTGGTGGGGGTCCAAATCCATTTTTATTTTTTGGCACGTGGATATCTAGTTGCCCCAGCACCATTTGCTGAAAACACTGTTCTTTCCCTTATTAAATGTCATGGCACCTATGCTGAAAATCAACTGACTAGCTTACCATCCTGTTTGAGGAGCAGGTTACATCACATCACTGAAAAGGACAAGATACCTATGAGAATTGAGGTAGCCACAGGTGTTGCTGTTAGACTTAACAAAAAACCATTCAGATGATTAAATACTTCAGAGTCCAATTAAACAGTGCTAAGAATGGCAAAAGTTTAGAATCAAGATAAACTAAAGCTTACAAAATGCAAGCATGACAACGTAAAGGGCTTTGTTGGTTTGTTTCTTTTTAACATATCTCTAGAGCAAAACTTAGAGAAAAGAAGGGACGGACTTCCAGTTTGGGAACTCTGTTGCATAGTAGATTTATCAAACACCACTCTTACATTCCTATTTAATGCAACCTCTTCCACATGGATGGGGGGGGCACATCCCCCTCATTCAAGATTCTTCTTACATAGGAAGGTGTGACACTCCTGGACTCTCTGGACTTCTCACTTTCCAGGGGAAAAAGTATATTTTAACAGGATTCATGAATTTGAAGAGAAGAAACTGAGGATGCTCAGCTCAGCTCAGTTCTTCCCTTTTTCATCTTGGGAATGAGCTGCCTATGGGGAGCAGCAGTTTTTTAATTTAAGGAGTTAGGAAGCATACTTGCCCAAAGATGTAAGCCACATCTTAAGATTTTGCCTTCGGCCGAACGCGGTGGCCCACGCCTGTAATCCCAGCACTTTGGGAGGCCGAGGTGGGTGGATCACGAGGTCAGGAGATCGAGACCATCCTGGCTAACACAGTGAAACCCCGTGTCTACTAAAAATACAAAAAATTAGCCGGACGTGGTTGCGGGTGCCTGTAGTCCCAGCTACTCGGGAGGCTGAGGCAGGAGAACGGCATGAACGTGGTGGGTAGAGTTTGCAGTGAGCAGAGATCGCGCCACTGCACTCCAGCCTGGGGGACAGAGCAAGACTCCATTTCAAAAAAAAAAAAAAGACTTTGCTTTCATCTGTATCAGAACTGAGGTAGGGAAAGGAGAAGCCATTGATGGAGAGCACACTCAGAGACACCATCATTTGTTGCATGGGTCAGGAATACTGAGAATTAAGACAGGTGTATTAGTCCATTTTTATGCTGCTGACAAAGACATACCTGAGACTGGGTAATTTATAAAGAAAAAGAGGTTTAATGGACTCACAGTTCCACTGGCTCTGGAGGCCTCACAATCATGGTGGAAGGCAAAAGGCATGTCTTACATGGCAGCAGGCAAAGAGAGAATGAGAACCAAGGAAAAAGGGACACCTTTTATAAAACTATTGAGAACAGTATGGGGGAAACTGACCCCATGATTCAATTATCTCCCACCAGGTCCCTCCCACAACACATGGGAATCATGGGAGCTACAATTCAAGATGAGATTTGGGTGGGGACACAGCCAAATTATATCAACAGGAAATGGAGTTTTGAAACCAAAATAACACATGAAAAGGTTTTTTGGTAGGGCCAGGGTGCATGGGTATTGATCTGGGCAAGGCCCTGGGGCCTTAGGTGGTTGTGGAGGTTTATATTGAGCCAGTTAGATTTTTAGCCATTGTGCATTTGGTTTTTAATTACTGCACCCTGAGCAAAAGCTTATAATGGCTTTGTTCACTGGAGAGAGGCTGTTTCCATAGAGTCGAAACTGAATTATGGGCCAGGCACACAGTGGCTCACGCCTGTAATCCCAGCACTTTGTTCACTGGAGAGAGGCTGTTTCCGTAAAGTCGAAACTGAATTATGGGCCAGGCACACAGTGGCTCACCCCTGTAATCCCAGCACTTTGGGAGGCCGAGAAAGACAGATCATTTGAGGTCAGGAGTTCGAGACCAGCCTATCCAACATGGTGAAATCCCATTTCTACTAAAAATAAAAAAAGTCAGGCATGGTGGTGGGCACCTGTAATCCCAGCTACTCAGAAAGCTGAGGCAGGAGAATCAGTTGAACCCGGGAGGCGGAGGTTGCAGTGAGCCGAGATCACGCCACTGCACTCCAGCCTGGGTGACCAAACAAGATTCCATCTCAAAAAAAAAAAAAGGGGGACTGAATTATGGGCAGCTTCCAGCAAATGCTGCTCAGGCTGTACCTGCCTTAAGCAAAAGTACTCAGGCCATATGATTGGCCAGAGAAAACACCAGCCTAGTAAGTCAACTATGGCCTCAATACAGAAACAGTAGTGTCCAGGCCACCTGCTGCAATTTATTATGCAGAAGCAGCTTAGACCTGCATCCCAGGCTAGGCTGAGATGGGATTTGATCTTTTCAGTCTTTACAGGGCAGAGCAATATCAGTTCCTTTTAAAAAGCAAGGCATCTTAGTTCTGAGTTTGTTACAGGGTACTACTGAGGCTCTAATTTTAAATTATTAGTGCCAGGGCCAGACACGGTGGCTCATATCTGTAACCCCAGCACTTTGGGAGGCTGAGGCAGGCAGATCAACAGAGGTCAGGAGTTCAAAACCAGCCTGGCCAACATGGTGAAACCCCATCTCTACCAAAAAATACAAAAATTAGCCAGGCATGATGGCATGCACCTGTAGTCCCAACTACTGGGGAGGTTGAGGTGGGAGGATCACTTGAACCCAGGAGGCAGAGGTTGCAGTGAGCCGAGATCACACCACTGCACTCCAGCCTGGGCAACAGAGTAAGACCCTGACTCAAAAAAACAAATTATTAGTTCCAGGCCTAAGTTGGCAGAGCCAAATTTGCTTTCCTGAATATCATTTTACATTCAGGTTCAAGGAGGGGCCTCTGGAAGAAGTAATTTTGTATTCATGAGCCTTATTCTAAGATGCAAACAAAAAATAAAATAATAGTATTTCCAGGTGACTTTCAAGGTAATTCATGTATTGTACGTAGACACTGGGCACTGCTCAGGCCCTGTGGCCATGTGTCCAAGACATGTATAGAATTTAGAAGTCTAGAAAATGCAGTGCCTTGAGAAGTCAAGGTGGAAAAATTCGTTCTTTCTGGGTCATGGAGGCAAAGCGTTTAAAAGCCCATAGCAGCTCCTCGCCAGAATCATCAGAGGGTAATTTTTCCAGCTTAAAAAAATGTGGACATGAGGTCAAAACCTTCTGTAGAAGGTTCTTGGTCTTAAACAATTCCAAAATAAGAATCAGTGGCAGCCCTTGTTGTGGCCCAGAACTGAAAATATCTGCTCACTTGATAGAACGGAGGCCGTGTTACCCATCAGGGCTCACTCCTCAATGAAGCACTGAAATTCCAGAACTCAGGGCTACAGAGATAATGTAAATGCGAATTTGCAAGCTCTGCAAGCATCTCGATGTCCTTCTCATACAGTGCAGACGGTGTACACAGATGGAGTCCCGCCCCAGTTTAGGTAAATTTATAGTGCTGAAAATAATGCGTAGTGCCAAAATTAACCTTTTGCTAGGAGATTTCTTCCAATTGAGATTACGTTCTTCAGATGTGGATCCCAGACAACTGACATCCACTGAAAAGCATGATGGTGAAGTAGAAACCAAGGTCTCCTCTGTCTGTTCCCCTGCCCTCAGAATGGCCCTGGGACAGCACTAAGTATTAGAGTCTGAGAATATAACTTTACCTGAGATAAGTGCTAAAAGTTGGCTGATTTTCTTAACTGGGGGTGTAGGCGTATGGAAAGTCTCTAACTGTGATCATCTTATGTGTCCTGTTAAATGATCAAGCTCTTTAAAAGTGAGGTGTTGCCCGCTGGGCATGGTGGCTCATGCCTGTAATCCCAGCACTTTGGGAGGCTGAGGTGGGTGGATCACCTGAGGTCAGGAGTTTGAGACCAGCCTGGCCAACATGGTGAAACCCTGTCTGTACTAAAAATACACAAATTAGCTGGGCGTGGTGGTGGATGCCTGTAATCCCAGCTACTCGGGAGGCTGAGGCAGCATAATTGCTTGAACCTAGGAGGCAGAGGTTGCAGTGAGCCAAGATCGCACCACTGCACTCCAGCCTGGGCAACAGAGTGAGACTCTGTCTCAAAAAAATAAAAATAAAAATAAATTTAAAAAAAGCAGCCGGGTGCGGTGGCTCACACCTGTAATCCCAGCACTTTGGGAGGCCGAGGCGGGTGGATCACAAGGTCAGGAGATCAAGACCATCCTGGCTAACACGGTGAAACCCCATCTCTACTAAAACTACAAAAAATTAACTGGGCGTGGTGGCACCTGTAGTCCCAGCTACTTGGGACACTGAGGCAGGAGAGGAGAATGGCGTGAACCCGGGAGGCGGAGCTTGCAGTGAGCCGAGATAGCGCCACTGCACTCCAGCCTGGGCGACAGAGCGAGACTCCATCTCAAAAAAAAAAAAAATGTGAGGTATCTAAGACTTGGCATTGCATTAATAAAACTCCTAAGGCCCTGCAAGGATTACATGATCTAATGAGAATCCAGGTTGAGGCTGCTGAAAGAATCCCAGCTCCACCCAGCCATCCTGAACTCTTCTGGCTGAGTCTGAGCAGAATAAGAAATCGAAGACGATGAATTTCAGACTTTAATTTCCTTGAACTTTAACTCACACAAGCAAGTGAATTTGATGATGGAGATTAGCTTCTTTGAACTTTGACTCAGCAAGGGAATTTAGACTTTGAGCTTTGAATTCTCCTTGGGAACTCAATAATGAGAGGCATTTATATTTGAATTTAGGGTGTTCTGAAATTGCTGGCATTTTATTACTGAATTGTCTTCATGCAGTTTATAACTAGAAGATCTTAGTGGATCACTCAATTTTATTCAAGGACTTCTGATGTACTATGTTGAAAAATGGGGTTGAACATAATTTGGGATGGGAAAGGGAGTCAGTTTCAACCACGGGTACAGAGCAGTTTGGGGTTTATTTAACCAGTGGACTGTTATGATTTATTTCAGAGCCTTCAGGGAAAAGCAAAACTGTCCTGTAGAAGCACCAGGAAGATGTCCAACAGTGCTGTAGCTGAAACCTGGGAGATGGGGACTAAGCTGGGAAGCTGGACTGCCCTGATTGAGTGTTGATCTTCACCCTTGATGGAGAGAGCCATATTCTTAGTTGGCCCTCAGCTTCATGGCTAAACACTGTGGGTTAAGCATCCAGGGTTTGTTAAGGAGAAATGCTTTGTACCTGTTTTTGATATTTCCTTCCATGTGATGTGTGGCTTTCCTGATTTGCATTTCCTCACAGGAGGGTTTCTTGGGGTACTTTTCCACAGACT
Source organism: Homo sapiens (assembly GCF_000001405.40). NCBI lineage: Eukaryota > Metazoa > Chordata > Mammalia > Primates > Hominidae > Homo > Homo sapiens. The sequence continues at coordinate 20,320,732 of NC_000008.11, read as the reverse complement.
CACATTTTCCACCACATTTTCCAACCTAGTCTTTGTGAATAATAAATGTGGAGTTTTGATTTTTCTTGCACCTCCATTGTTTCTTTATCTTATTGATCAATTGATTCTGAGTGCAAAGTAAAAAAAAAAAATGGTGTTTTTTAACGCCCAAAAGACCATCATCTTCAAACTGCATGTAGTTCACAAGGTCTATTTCAGGTGCTTACACTAACATATGTACCTATGAGAATTATATTAATATAGTACACAATGTATAATAAGTACATATATACATGAAATTACAAATATATAAGTCTATATAAACTTACACACACAATTGTGTAATTTATTATAAACATCTACAAAACACATTTATTTTACCCTTTATTTTGATTAGTGGTATTTGCAAAAGTAAAAATGGCCCTGATTTCTCAGATTAAAAGCAGTGATTCTCAAACTTCAGTGGTGCCACAAAACCATCCAGGCTGCTTGTAAAGCACAGATCGTGTCAGGTATGGTGGCTGACGCCTGCAATCCCAGTACTTTTGGAAGCTGAGGTGGGAGGATTGCTTGAGCTAAGGGGTTCGAAACCAGCCTGGGCAACATAACAAGACCTCATCTCTACTAAAAATCAGAAAAATTATACAGGCATGGCAGTGCATGCCTTTGGTCCCAGTTACTCAGGAGTCTAAGGCAAAGATTGTTTGAGACAGGGAGGTTGAGTCTGCAAAGAGCTATGATTGCGTCACTGCACTCTATCCTGGGTAACAGAGGAAGACTCTGTCTCAAAAATAAAGAAAGAAATAAACAAAACACACATTGGTGGCCCCATCCTCAGAGCTTCTGGTTCTACAGGTAGGGGAGGTGCATGAGATGTTGCATTTCTTTCTTTTTTTTTTTTTTTTTTTTTAAGATGGAGTCTCGCTCTGACACTCAGGCTGCAGGGTCACCCAGGCTGGTGCAATCTTGGTTCACTGCACTTCCACCCTACCCTGGGGTTAAGCGGTTCTCGTGTCTCAGCCTCCCAAGTAGCTGAGATTACAGGAGCGCACCACCATGTGCAGCTAATTTTTATATTTTTAGTAGAGTTGGGGTTTCACCAGTTTCAGGAAACTCCTGACCTCTAGCAATCCGCCCGCCTCAGCCTCTCAAAGTGCTGGGATTACAGATGTGAGCCATCAAACCTAGCAGAGACGCTGCATTTTCTAACAAGTCTCTGGACGTTGAATATCACAGCATAGACAATAGGGGCACATTGATTTCACAGCCGTACTTAAATTTCATACTTAAAGAACTTCCGCTTTACCGATCTCAATGCATGTTTTAATGTCTATAGCCAAACGGAGATTTTATGGAGGCTAGCGCTAGTTGACTTCAACTTCATTCCTGGCTTGCAAGCAACTCAAAGACGAATTGTATTTCATGTTTGAAGTAGGGAGTAGCCAGTGGACCCTTGGTGAGGTATGATTTTGAGTGGCAGCCTTCGAGTCCTAAAGATACTATAAAGCTCGGTCAAAAAAAGCAGGTCTTAGAATAGCTGACTGCAGGGACCGCAGATGCGTACATCTCCATCCCTTCAGAGAACCAGCTCTGAGTCTTCCTTTTTGGTTATCCTTCAAAGGCTAAATGTAAAGACAAAAAGATAAGGTATAGGGCAAGACACCAAGTGACTGCCAATTTCACCACAAGTTTGGGAACATCTTTGTTGATGCGTAAGACATACCTGTTATAACAGGCATCATTTAGATTAAAAGTAATAAATCTCTACTGGTTCAAGTGACAAGTGGCTGGGATCGTGATTTTTGGCTCTCAACACACACATGAAAACTAGTTATTTTGTAAAGGAGGTACCATGTCTGAAACGGAGACACAGAAGGATAAAGTCCAAGAAACTTAAAACAAACATTTAAATAAACTAAATCCCTGTATAGATGAGGAGCTAATTATGAAGCACTCAGACACTTTTAGTATATTTAAGAGTCTGTGTTCTGGCCAGGTGTGGTGGCTCACACCTGTAATCCTAACACTTTAGGAGACTGGGCATGGTGGCTCATGCCTGTGGTCCCTGCTACTTGGGAGGCTGAAGCAGGAGGATTGACTGAGCCTGGGAGGTGGAGGCTGCAGTGAGCCGTGATCATGCCACTGTACTCCAGCCTGGGTGATAGAACAAGACCCTGTTTCAAAATTCACATCTCTCTTCTGAGAGATTCTTTATGTGCCAGTGAGTGTGCTAGCTCTCCCACGACGCCATAGCCCTGTCCATAGCTGATCAGGACAGAGATAGTGCCTGATCCAAATAGCCAGGACTATATGGACACATGATTCTTAACACAGGTAGCTGACTCATTCAGATCTTCTGAGCATCAGAAGCAGCAAATACAGGTGACAGAAGAGTACAGAAGTAGAAAGAGGAAAATAAAAGATGACAGGAAGAGGCCAGGTGTGGTGGTTCATGCCTGTAGTCCCAGCTACTCAGGAGGCTGAGGCAAGAAGATCACTTGAGCCCAGGAATTTGAGGCTGCAGTGAGCTATGATCACACCATTGCACTCTAGCCTGGGCAACAGAGTGAGATTCTGTCTCTTAAAAAAAAATAAAGGGAAAAAGAAAAAAAAAAAAAAGGAAAAGGCAACAGGAAGAAATTATGAATAGAAATCACAGAGAGAAGGAAGAGGGAAGAGGGCTGGGCGAACTGGCTCACACCTACAATCCCAACACTTTGGGAGGCTGACGCGGGAAGATCACTTGAGCTCAGGAGCTGGAGACTAGCCTGGGCAACATGGAGAAACCCCGCCTCTACAAAAAACCACAAAAATTAGCCAGGCATGTTGGAGCATGCCTGTAGCCCCAGCTACTCAGGAGGCTGAGGCAGGAGAATCACTTGAGCCTGAGAGGTGGAGGTTGCAGTGACCGGAGATCTGGCCATTGCACTCCAGCCTGGGAAACGGGAGTGAAAACCTGTTTCAAAAAAAAAATAGGAGGAGGAAAAAGAGCAGAGAATAAAGCAGGAAGAAGAGGTAAAGGAGGGAGAATACTTCAGTGGTAGACAGGTCCCAAGGCCGTTCTCTTTTTTGCAGCTGCTGAGGTCACCTCCTCATTTATGAATAATAGTCCTTTCTCTGGGAGCCCTCACTGGGAGTCTGCAGAAGTTTTTCTTGTCTTTACAATAAACTCCCATGAACTCAGATAACCTGAGCATGTTTCTAGTTCTTGCAAACATATCTTTGTTAACAGGAACAGAGACAAGAAGAGATTGTTACAGACTAGAATCTTGAGCCAAACCAAAAGGATGAAATACAATATGTGTAAATTGTCGATTCCTTCATTGCCACTAAAAACATTAAACAGATCAGATCTGACTGGACAGTAGATCACATAGATTTTAGGTGAGCTCAAGCTACTAGAAGCCAGCAATACCGTGTATCTGGGGAAAATGCAAACTCAGCCTTAACATGCCTTAACAAAAGTATAGTGTGTGCAAAAAGAGAAAGAAGGAGAGAATGGCTGCTCTCTGCCTTGAACAAATATTTGAATTGATACAACCTTTTCAGGGGCCCACACATTAAAAAGACCTTAACGAGATGGCATGTGGGTACATAAGCAACAAGGATGGTTAGTAGCAGCACAGATTGGGTGCCTTCCCTAATATGGCTTCTAGATGTCCCTGTCCCTCCAACAGCATAACACTTGCCTTGCCTAATCTCCTCCAGCATTACATTCACCACATCTTATTTTATTTGTTCAATGACTACATTCCCCACCAGACTGTAAGCTTCATGAAGACAAGGACACACCTGAATGTTTGCTACTCTGTTCCTGGCATGTAGCACACGTTGAGCAGAGTTGGTTCTCCAGAAGTACTTGTTGAATGAATAAGAAAATCACATCACACAATAAGGATGAAGTCAAGTGGAAACACTAAACTTGACAGGAGGAAACTGCAGTAGACGGGATTGTCACAGTGCCATTCACAATAGCAAAGACGTGGAATCAACCTACATACACATCCATAGTGGATTTGAGGCCAGGCGCAGTGACTCACACCTGTAATCCCAACACTTTGGGAGGCCGAGGTGGGTGGATCACAACGTCAGGAGTTCGAGACCAGCCTGGCCAGCATGGTGAAACCCTGTCTCTACTAAAAATGCAAAAAATTAGCTGGGCGTGGTGGCACGAGCCTGTAATCCCAGCTACTCAGGAGGCTGAGGCAGAAGAACTGCTTGAACCTGGGAGGCAGAGGTTGTAGTGAGCCGAGATTGTGCCACTGTGCTCCAGCCTGGGAGACAGAGCCAGACTCTGTCTCAAAAAAAAAATAGTGGGTTGGATAAAGAAAATGTGAAATGTGGTACATAGACACAATGGAATACTCTGTGGCCATAAAAAATGAAATAATGTCGTTTGCAGCAATGTGATACTACTGGGGGCCATTATCCTAAGTGAATTAATGCAGAAACAGAAAATAAAATGCCACATGTTCTCACTCATAAGTGGGAGGTAAACATTGGGTATACATGAACATAAACATCGAGTACACATGGGACATCTTATTGTTCCCCTGAGATGGGAACAATAGGCACTGGGGACTGCTAGAGAGGCGAGAGAGTCGGGGAAAGAGTTGGAAAACTGCCTAGTGGCCATTATGTTCACTATTAAGGTGACAGGTTCAATTGAAGCCCAAACCTCAGCATCACGCGATATATTCATGTAACAAACGTGTACATGTACCCCCTGAATCCAAAAAAAAAAAATTTTTTTTTAAAAAGGTAGACTGGGTTGTGGTTTTCTTTATTTTTTTATTTTATTTTACTTACTATTATTATCTTTTGAGACCGAGTCTTGCCCTTTTGCCCAGGCTGGAGTGCAGTAGCGCAATCTCAGCTCACTGCAATCTCCACCATGCTGGTTCAAGTGATTCTCGTGCCTCAGCCTCCTGAGTAGCTGGGACTACAGGCCCGTGCTGCCATACCAGGCTTTTTTTTTTTTTTTTTTTTTTAAGTAGTAGTAGAGATGGGGTTTCATCATGCTGGTCTTGAACTCCTGACCTCAAGTGATCCACCCACCTCGGCCTCCCAAAGTGCTGGGATTACAGACATGAGCCACTGCGCCCAGCCTGGATTGTGATTTTCAAATCTCTGCAGGTGGAAAGTAGGCTCATCAAGGTTGCTCAGGTGGGCAGAACTAACCTGGTGTAGTCGGGCTAAGAGGACCAGACTGGCAGGCAGAGCCCTGAGCTCACCCACCCACTCATGGTAACCCCATCACTTAGACCTGAGCCATCATTGCATCATTTCTAAGATCTGTTCCGGCTTCAACATTTAATGTACCACTGACTGATGGGTAAACATTACCAGGAGAGAGATTTTTGTTTTCATTTCATCAAAACTCCCTCAACATTTACAGACGTAAAAAAAATAGAATGATCTGTCTCATAAAGTAGTGAGTTCTTTGTTAATATACATCTTCCTGCCGATTCGGAACACCACCTGCTATGTGCCTGGTAGTGAGGATTCTTGCATTGGGTGAGATGTTGGACAGGAAGACATTTAGCCTCGTCAGATTCTATGAAATTCTAATTACAGGCTGGGTGTTTCGGTTTTGGTGCCAGGAATGGGAACCAAAGAAACAAGTGATTTCTGCCTCATTCTGTGACTTGTAGGTATGTGACTTAATCTCACTGAGCCTCAGTGTTCTCATCTGCGAAGTGGGGATAGTTAACACCTGTCTGTCCTGCATTAAAAGGTTGGCAAAGATCAAATGAGAGACTGTTTGGACTTCGAACGTATAAAGTGCTCTACAAATATATTAAGTCTCTGCTCCTCAGGGAGAAGAGAAAATTCACAACGACACATCCCCCAATATCCAGGCCAAGATTCTGTCAGTCCAAAACAAGAGTATTTTTCCCTTAACCTCTCTCTCTTTCCCTACTTGGTGATAATAGGGCTATTAACTTTTCAGTTGTGGTGACTTAACTTGCTGCATAAATGTCAAGTTCCACTCAACTAGAAGTTAATATACAGTATCTCTTCCCTTCCCTCATGAGTACAATCCTGTTAAATTATCCCTTTATGCTCACATTGATTTTTTTTTTTTTTTTTTTTTTGCTTTTCAGTTTTAAGTCCTAAAATAGCATCTTCTACCCAACCGCTTTACTGCTTTCAAGGCAATGAGGATCGTGCCTGGCAATGTGGGAGTTTAACGCAGATCAGAGTGAAGTTGGCCGTTCTTCAAGATAACAAGAGCACCGCCAAATGGGCATTTATCAAGGAGAGCCGACAATCCCAGGAGCCTAAATTACCTTACGTTTTCAGCTTTTCATTCACAGTCTCCTGTCACCCTCATGCAAGCCAAATGGAAACACAAGATGAGTTTTATTATCCCCATTTTACTGGGAGGAAAAAACAAGATTACGGAACCCTGAAGAGCCTGCACAAGGATCACCGGGCCCGACCGGTGCTGAACCCAAGTTTGGCTTCCTCTTGGCAAATTACTCTTACTACAAAATCTTCAGATGCCACTGGAAGATTCTGCCTGTCCTGGGGGTCGATTCTATCCCCAATTCACTCTCATAATTATAGCACACCAGTCTCTCAATCACTGGCCAGCCTTGCTAAGAAAGGCTGGGACCGCCTCCACGGTACCTTCACAGATAGTCAGAAGCAGATCCAGCGAGACTGTCCCCAAAACAAGAGGAAGAAACAAGGAACAGCAAGTTTGTCTCTGTTAAAAATTTCAGCGTTTGACCCTTAAAGCAAATGGGAATATTGGGTAAAAGTATCAGCCAGAGGCTTAAAATCTGCACGAGAGAGGAGGAGATTCCCCAGTGAAAGGAATGCATCTGCCATGTGTTCACAGTGACTTACAGGAGCAGGGGGCTTCTCTCCATTTTACAGAGAAGTCAGCTCACAGTAAATGACCTATCCACCATCATGCAACTGGTAAATGTCAGAGCTGCCCAAGAGCTCTAGTCTGCAGATAACACCTGCCCACAGATGAACCCCAAGAATTGACTATCAATTACAGGGAAATATTTAGTGGGGAAAAAGTCTCTTTTCGGCCTCTCAGAAATAACGCCACAGAGGTAAATATTGTCCACTACTCTTTCTCTGCAAACGCTGGCTCTACATTATTCATCGCAGGTTCACTCACACATTTCCCCTTCAAGGTGAGGAAGGCCCCAGTTCCCTAGATCTGGCCCCTCCAGGAGAACCTCAAAGAGGAAGGCTGGGAATATTTGTTCCTAGTTTTCAAAACCAGCTAGAGACCTCCCCATGCCCAGAGGGAGAGGGAAATTCCCAGAAAACACTCTTGCACAAAATCCCCCCACTTTTTTTTTTACCCACTATCCACGGCACTTCAATGGAGAGTCACCTTTCTCCAATATTTCTTCATCACCAGCTGGCTGGCCAGCCCACACCTGCTGCCTTCTTAGCAAACAGCCTCTCCCGCAACAAAACTCAGGGTCAGGGTCGGGCGAGTCAGAAGCAGGTCTGAGGCGAGGGGATGCCTAAGCAGCTCTCCTGAGGGGCTGTCAGAGTCAGCAGCAGTGGCCCTGAGAAAGCCCCCTGCCCCTCCCAGCACTGGGCTCAGCCCTGCATCAACAGCAGAGGCAGTGGCGGCAGGGAACCTCACCGCTGCAAGTTGAAACAAGACTCCCCGCCTCCCCTCTCAGCAGCCGGGCTTTAAATAGGATTAATGAGAGAGAACATTCTAAACACCGCTCCGAGAGGTTCCAGAACAGGCAGCCGGCTACTTCCTCTCAAGCTGCCATTTTGGATCGGTTCCCCCTGGCTGTCTCTCCTAACTTGGAGCAAGGGCTTTCGCTCTCTGCCTTCCAGCTCCGCTCTCTACCTAACCTTGGGGTTTCAAGGACGAGATGACGCTCCACTGTCCAACCGAGTACCTCCTCCGCCCACTGCTAATGCCAGGAAGTTCAGTGCTGCCTCATTCATTTAGATTAATTGATTATGTCCATTGATAAAACGAAAAGACCTTAGGGAGGGGGTAGGGCTGTAGCTGGGAAAGAAGCAACATTTCACTGTCACTGTCCTTCGCAGTAGTGGAAAGTCTTCTGTCGTTCAGCCATCACTATCCTTGATGTTAGTCTAAGTGTGGTAAATGTTAGTCTAAGCGTTCTATCGTATAGCAATCACTATCACCGAGGATTGTGGTGGATTTTAGTCTGTTGTACGTTTTTCCTGCGTCCAATCCCGTGGAATATTATCGTTAATATCACTCAAGAGGGCACAAACTTAAGCTTATGGAGGCAAAAGACTACGCCAAGGTCACTCAGCTGCTAAGTGCAGAGTAGAATTCCAACCCAGGTCTTCCACTGGTCCAGGTCTATAGACTCGAAATGTTTTTTTCCACTGCGTCATGCTGAATGGGCTTCAGGCCAAATCATGAGACCTTTTCTAATTAGAAGAAATAGGGTAGAAAAGGCTCTGGGTTCATGATTGCGGGAGAGGTGGCAAAGAGAACAACCACAACTAACACTTAAGAGTTTTCCTATACATTTTCCTTGTGCTGAGCTCTGCACAAGTAATTAGCCCATTTAACCTGCACGGCAACACTGTGAGGTAGGCACAGTGACTGGGAAACCTTAACCAAACGGATGCTACTTCGCAATATGGTTTCCATTGAACCCTGAAGGCAAAATTTGTCAACAATTACCAAGAGCCCTTTCTGGATGGACCACTCAAACTAGCTGCCATCACAAACCCTCTTTTTTTTTTTTTTTTTGCTGTTATTAGAAACTGGGGAAAAAGAGACAGAAAATTCTGGAGGCTGGGCCCAGTGGCTCCTGCCTGTAATCCCAGCACTTTGGGAGGCTGAAGCAGGAGGATCACTTGAGGCCAGGAGTTCGAGATCAGCCTGGGCAACACAGCGAGACTCCATCTCTACAAAAAATTAGCTGAGTGTGGTGGTGAGCACCTGTAGTCTCAGCTACTCAGGAGGCTGAGGCTGCAGTGAGCTCTGGTCATACCACTGCACTCCAGCCTGGGTGACAGAGGGAAACAGAAAAACGAGAGAGAGAAAGAGAGGGAGGAGGAAAAAAGGAAAGAAGGAAGGAAAGAAGGAAGGAAGGAGAGAGAGAAAGAAAGAGAGAGAAACAAAGAAAGAAAGAAAAAAAGAAAGAGAGAGAGAGAGAACATTGGAAATGACCTCAGTGTTGACCTCAGTGATGACGTTATGCAACCACCCGCCCCCTTATGCTCCTCCCAGATTAAGTGATTGGATTGAGTCCATCTTTTGGAGACTACAGTCAGTCTTGGGAATAAAAGCAAAATATATGGTCAACACCTATAAAATTTGATATGCAGAGTAAAGGCAATGTAGTTAATGCCAGAAGACATGAGAGAAGAATGGAGATGCTCATTGAGAGGGGCAGTGACCTGGAGGATTCAATTAGAAAACCAAGCAGGCCAGCAGGACCCCAAGCCCAGGGCAGCCCCTTGCCCCAGACAACCAGTCTCTGATCTCCCCAGCCCTTTGTGTGCAGCATCCTCTCCTCTAGGACTCCTGGAGCCGCTTCCTGAGAAACCACTGAGTAAATGTGTAAATGAAATTGCAGCACACAGGGTTTCCAAAGCCTCTGCTATTTTTTTCTCCCCCCTGGGGAGAGGAAATGAGCATGCCAGCATTCCCCATAGGGGAACTAAATGATTTCCCAGAAGTCATGATCTCATATGCTCTATTTGTTTAAATGAGTTTAGGGCTACAAGCAAATGTGAGTTTGACAGGGCCCATTTGCAAAAGACCTCCCTCAGAACTGACAAGGGCCGTGCCAGGTTCTTTGTCTGCGTGCCATTCCTTAGCCCTGGGGGGATATAAGCCCCAAGTCAATTAGTCCATTAGTCACCAGCCATGTGCTCAGCAGCAGGCGGAGTGTTATTAAAGATATAGAAAAATAAGAGGTGGTCTTTGTCCTCATGTATTTCTTTAATGTTTATTGAGTGCCTATTATGTACTGAGCATTGAGCAGAGCACTTCAAATCCAGTAAGAAAATGAGCTTCATTCACCTGAAACAATACCACCTAAGTTACAAAGTGGCAATAAAGCAATGAATAGTAGGATGTGTATGTGTTGTTCAGTGAAACTTCATTCAATGGGGTGGGAGTGGGAGATTAAGGAGGGTGGGTCAGGACCTGGCGAGGGCCTTGAAAGACACTTCCATCTGGCTTGAAGGAGGGCCAGGACATGGACGGATATGGACGTGGCCTTGATGGTGGGGAGGCAATGTGGAGCTCTGGGGTGACGTAGGAGATGTGCATGTTGGAAACGTGAGGGTGTGGGAAAGCTGAACACGGCCGTTTCAACTTGATGCTAGAGGGGAAGCTATCCTATGCCTTGCGCTTGCAGTGGTCCTAGAAGGGTCTCATTCATTTGGGGCAGGTGGTCTCCAGCCTTGGGTAGAGCTGAAAAGATAGACTCTGGAGAGACAGCCTGGAAGACTAGAGAGAGCAAAGGGTGTGGATAAACCTGAATTCCAATTCTTTCTCCTCCACTACTAGTAGTGGGATTTGAGGCAAATTGTTTAGCCACTCTGAACTGCAGTTTCTGCATCTGGAAAACAGAGATAATAATTTCTGTGATTATTAAGTAAGATACTGTAGGTAAAATGTCCAGCAAAGGTGTGGCATGTGATAGGCAAGCAATGGCTGTTAGTTTTCTACAGGGCTTCTTTCCCCCTTCTTGAAGACAAAGGTGAGCTACACAGGTATGTTCCAATATCTATCTACCACCAATGGACTGGTCGAAGCCAATCAGGGTAATTTTACTGAGTGAACCCATGACTGCTAGATGACATGGCCAGGCTGTTTAGGGTCAGCTGAAGGCCTTCTGGGAAAGGTTTCCTTGATCTTGAAAAAGAGATGCAGGAACAAAGGTCCTTTATTCCTCAGCGCATTGCTAGTTCTGGATGTCCCGACTAGACCGAGAGATTCAACCCATGATCATGAAGCAACCATCCCAAGGGCAATCCAAGCCCATGCTCTGAGGATGGCAGAACAGAGACATGGCAAGGCCTGATTCCTGATGCCACTGGGAAGCCAAGGTACAAAAGAACCTGGGACCTGATCTCTGAACTTATTAATTCATGAGGTTTTTTTCTATTGTTTAGGGGATTTTGAGTCAAGCTTTTCTGTTACCTGTACATGGAAACATCCTCACGATTTATAATTTTGGACAAACTTGCCAAAACCACAGAGGAGATAAATTTCAGAACAAGTGATAGGCCAGACCTTTCAGAGATTGGATGTTAAATTAGAACTAGTCTGTTGGCCGGGCACACTGGCTCACACCTGTAATCCCAGCACTTTGGGAGGCTGAGGTGAGCTAATTGCTTGAGCTCAGGAGTTTGAGACCAGCCTAGGCAACATGGCGAAACACCGTCTCTACAAAAAAATACAAAAATTAGCCAGGGGTAGTGGCACATGCCTGTAGTCCCAGCTACTGGAGAGGCTGAGGTGGGAGGATCACCTGAGTCCTGGGAAGCAGAGGTTGCAGTGAGCCAAAATTGTACCACTGCACTCCAGCCTGGACGACAGAGTGAGACCCTGTCTAAAAAAATAATAATAATAAAAATAAAAAAAAAAATAAAAAGAAAGAAGAAGAAAAGGAAAGGATATAAATAGTCTATTATACACTATTGAAAAAGATGGAGCGAGGGAGTCAACTCAAAATACTTCCTTCTCATTTCTCTGTAATTTAGTTCAACCGTGAGTTTACACATCAAAGGGCTTGCTACTTAACTTTCAGATGAGCTTTGCCAGCTGGTACCTAAACAAAACCGATTCACACTGGCAGCCCGTTAGTGCCATTTGAGCCCTCGCATTGCATTAGCCAAGTTAGCTGTCTCACTATTCTCTGCTCAGGAGAAGGCTGCCTGCTTGTGGTCAACACTGCCCAGATCAAACCACATTCAGGCCCTGTGTCAGTTACAAGGTTTCTGAGGCAGGTAGGAGGCATGTGCCCTTAAACCCTGAGGTCCCAGCTCCAGTGAAGCTGGGTCAATTTCTTGTCTTGCACTTTGACTCAGTTTTCCTTTCACTGAAAGAGTAGGGTGGACATATTTCCTGATATAACTTGAGTGTCTTAGTAGGGAGGGGTCATCGTTGAATAGGAATTGTATGTCAGCAAGTTCTCCCAGGGCATCTAAGGCTATTTGTTCTCTCTGTAACTTCTCTGGTCTCCCTAACCTGAATACAGGTGAAGACTTAGAATGAAGTTATGAATCATAATGCTAGTGATGATGATGATTAACAATTTCTTGAAGTCATGCAGCACTTTCGAGGAAAGTAGAAAAACTACTTTCATTTTATCTCATTTGTCTTTATAACATGCAGAGAAGACAGAGGAGAGATGGTCCTGGCCAGGCGTGGTGGCTCACGCCTGTAATCCCAGCACTTTGGGAGGCCGAGGTGGGCGGATCACAAGGTCAGGAGATCGAGACCATCCTGACTAACACAGTGAAACCCCGTCTCTACTAAAAATACAAAAAATTAGCCGGGCGTGGTGGTGGGCGCCTGTAGTCCCAGCTACTCGGGAGGCTGAGGCAGGAGAATGGCATGAACCCGGGAGGCGGAGCTTGCAGTGAGCCGAGATGGCACCACTGCACTCCAGTCTGGGCGACAGAGCGAGACTCCGTCTCAAAAAAAATAAAAAATAAATAAATAAATTTAAAGAAAAAAGAGATGGTCCTTCCAATTCAGAGACAAGTCTCCTGAAGCCCAGAGATAAGAGATTCAAGGTGGTCAGAGACCTACAGGTAAGGAATGAAAATTCTTGTTATAAAAGTTGCACATTCAAAGCAACTCCACGGGAACTGTTTTCTACCCTGGAAAAAGACAGGGATGGTAAGACATCTTCTAAGGTCATGGGACCATTGGCTCTGACTGCAGAAAAACTGCTCTCCCTGGACCTTTACTGGGGTCACTGGGAAATCAGGAGTGGCCTCAGTTGATTCCTTAAAGCTTTGCTCAGTTGTCTAGGCTCATATTTTTTCACCGGCTTTTGGAGATTATCCAACCTCACTTAAATATAGTCAGCATTTCTTTTCTCTTAACACAAGGCCCTGGATTTTGAGACTTGAAATAATATTAAAAAATTATTTGATATTTTGTATTTTTCATAACACCTTTGACTTTATTAATTCTTTTCATTTTGTATTGTTGCCAAAAGATAGATAGGGAAAATGTTATTAGGCTTCTTTCACTGATAGCAAACTAAACCTCCAAAGGGTTGTGAGAAGACTGCAGATTGGAAGAAGTAGGAATACACGTGGATTTTCTGAATTTGAGTCAATTTATCTCTCTGAAACATCATCTCGCCTCCCTCCCCTCATAGCACTCATTCTAGTATTTTTTGAGCGCTTGCTTTGTACCAATAATGTGCTGAGTTCTGTGGATTCAATGTTGACTAAGACAGACATGATCTTTGAACAAGAAACTTGCAGAAGAGATGAACAGACAAACAAGAAGCCAGGGAATTAATTAAATTGTGATAGGTGACAGTACCTTGAGGAAGGCAGAGTTGTCTGTAATCCAAACAAGCTGCTGGCTTAACTGGTCTATGGGTCTGGTCCAGTGTGGCCAATCTTAGGTCCTAGAGATGAAGCATGATGCTCTGTATCTCAGGTGATGAATACAGGAGGAGGGTAGGAGATTTTTACAAGAAATGTTTTGTGACCCAGCTTTCTAGACTCGACTCAGGCAAGGGAGAGCCTGAGGGATGCAGAGTTTCACATAAGACACCTCTCGGGAACCCAGACACTAAGGAAGGGCAGCGCCCCTTCACTAGACAAGGAAGAAAAGGAGCCACACTGAGAACCTACCGGTGGTGTTGGGGGTAGACACACCCAGCCATTGCATTACCATACCCAACTGCTGAATCAGGGAGCTAATTATGGCTTTGTGCTGCTGGAGACCACATTCCTGAGGCTTTCATGCACACATACGGAACCATAATACATACACACATGCTGTGCTGTCCATCACTGGTCTCCTTCTCCACTCTGCCTTCTCATTTCCAGCCCCACTCTCTATGCATTCTGTCTCTAAAGTATCCCTTCCACAGGGTGTTTCTGTTGTTCCATAGGGTATCCCATTTCCACCGCTCATACACAAACCAACACACTGCTCATACCCTTTGCCTGACTCAGTCATTCCAGGAAGGCTGCACATCATACCCAGCTTTCACCTAGAATGTCACTGACAAAGGTGTCAGTGCTGAAGGAGGGTCCTTAAGGAGTATCTTCTCATCCAAACCATCCACTTTCCAGATGAGGAAACTGAGGCCTCATCAGGGACTCCAAACCATCCACTTTCCAGATAGGAAACTGAGGTCTCATCAGGGACTCCAAACCATCCACTTTCCAGATGAGGAAACTGAGGCCTCATTAGGGACATGGCTTGTCCAAGAGCATATAGTCAGCAGTAGGGCCAGAACAAAAAGTGGGCTTCCAGAGTCCTTTGTCTCTTCCATGGAATCTCACCTCCGACGATGTGAAAATGAGTTTGAAGTCTGGAGCCCACCTCATACCTTAATCTACCTTCCAGGAGTCTGCTCTTTCCTTAAAGCGCTGGAATGTTTGATCGATATTAACTCATTCAGCTAAAATTCTTGAGATACTCTCACCAGCAAGCAAGAATACATGTTCTCTGTCAATAAATGCAACACAAAGAAGCATGGCGCTTTAGAAAAAGAAGACATTATTTTGCCCTGGACGATAAGAGAAGGTGTGAGTAAGGGTTCCATATTTTGTCTCAGATTTTGAGAGGTAGAGTTAGAAGAGCAGGAGAAAAGCTTTTCAGACTGAGGGGCAGGTTTATACAAAGGTGGGGAAAAGGAGGTGATGTTCAGGAAAAGGCTGAGTAGCCTTTGGGGTTGACACTTAGAAATTGTCGTATTGCTTGTAATTACTGCCACGTGTATGTACTTACCGCAAGGCAGTGGGTTTCATTTAATCATCAGAACAAACCTATACATGAGAAATTCATTCATTTAACAAATACATATTGAGTGCCTACTATGTTGCCTGGCAAGTTCTAGGTGTCGGGGATACATCTATGAATAAAACAGACCAAGTCCCTCAGCCACCAATAAAAGAGAACAAGTTCCTGCCTTCAGGGAATTTACACTGGGACTTGTTACCTCATTTCACAAATAAAAAAAGAAAGAAAGAAAAAGAAAAACTGAGAAAGAGGGAGGGGAAGGTAATGGCTCAAATAACAAGCAGCGAAGCCTGTCTGTGTTCTTAAACCCTCGCGGTGCCATCTTTCAGGAAGCCTAGATTCGAAGGTCAGAGTCTTCAGGGTCAACAACCGAAGGCAGTGAGATTCCCCTACAGGGTTTTGAGCAGGGGTGTGGCAGAAACCATATGGCTTGTTTTCCTTTGAGCTGTCCCCCCTGCCACCACAATTCTATTTAATTTTTTTGTATTTATTTATTTATTTATTTATTTTGAGACACGGTGTCACTCTGTCACCCAGGCTGGAGTGCAGTGGCACTATCTTGGCTCACTGCAACCTCTGCCTTCCAGGCTCAAGCAATTCCCAAGCCTCAGCCTCCCAAGTAGCTGGGATTACAGGCTCCTGCCACCACACCCAGCTAATTTTTGTATTTTTTTTTTTTTTTTTTTTTAGTAGAGACGGGGTTTCACCATGTTGGCCAGGCTGGTCTTCAACTCCTGACCTCAAGTGATCCACCAACCTCGGCCTCCCAAAGTGCTGAGATTACAGGCATGAGCCACCGCGTCCGGCCCCCATGCTATTTATAATCAGATCGGCTATGTCAATCCTAATCCATTACATCTATCCCCCACCCCCCAACACACACACACACACACACACACACACACACACACACACACAGGCTTCTTTCAAGATGAGGCTAACACTCCTTGGGCAGAGCTGCCATCTTCCCGCCAAGCCTGGTTTTAGAGGATTAGCCTCAGTGCACCCTCAAGCCCCCAAGCCTCATGCTGCACCTAGCACTCCGGTTAACTGACCCTTTGTCCTACAAAACCTTGTAAGCTTGAATCCTCTCCTGGCTCAGTTGCTAGAAGTTAAAAGTGAGGGTGGTTGAGAAAATGATAGTATTATAAGGGGACTGGGTGAGACTAATAGCTATAAACTTGAAACAGGCCTCTGCTGTCACCTGAAACTCAGCTCCCTCAGAGCTGGAAAAGTTTGCTTTTGACATGTTTTGGGAGTGGGAGTCCCGGTGCTCTGGACTCTAGCCTGTAATCCTGGTGTGGTTCGCAATGCCCCTCACTTGGGTGCTAGTCCAGTCCTTGAACAAAACACACGCCCTTTAGTGCGAGTCGGGAGCGGGAGAGACGGTATTAAGAAAAATAAACTGGCGATTAAGAGGAAGGGGTAATGAAGAAAGGGGAACATACACAGAACGGGAGAAGGAATGGATTTTAAACAAAACTGGAGTAAGAATTTCAGGTAATGAAAGGGAAAAAAGGATGCGACAAGAGCAAGACAGGAACAATCGGAGAAAGGGGGCCAGGCAAGAAAGGAAGACTGAGGGGGCAGGGTCGCCCAATGGGGCTGATGGAAGTGAGAGCAGAGAGACGGGACCCGGGACCCCGCGCAGGCCGCGGGCGCGAAGGAGCCGCGAGGTCGCGAGCAGCCCCAGCTGTCAGCCCGGAACAAAGGCCGCCGAGCGGCACAGACCAGGCTGCCGGCAGCTCGCTGCCAATCAGCGGCGCCGGCTCTGGCCCCGCCCCGGGCCGGCCCCGCCCCGCCCCGCCCCGCCCCGCCCCGCCCCGGCTCCGGGACCCGCGCAGAGGCCGGCGCGCCTGGAGCTGGCGGGTTGGCAGCGGCCGGGCGGGGAGGCCGAAAGTTTCTCTGCCCGCCTCGGCCAGTGAGTGGGAGCCGGGAGCTGCATCCCGCGCAGTGGGACCGGCCCGGCCCGCTCAGCAGCTCTGGAAAAAGAGAGACGGGAACACACCGGGAAACACTGGGAAAAAAAAAAAGTCTCAAGTGCGCCCGAGGCGCAGGGGGCAGGTAAGGTGCGGTGGCCGGGGATCTCCTCGCCCCTGGAGGGTCTGCTGCCCTGGCTGCGGGAAACCGCTTTCCCCTCGCCGGGCCGGACCGTCCGTGCGTCCGCGCGTCCGTCGGTCTTTGTCTGTCTGTGTCCGTGGCTGTCGAGGTGTCTTTGTCTCCGCGTGGAGCTGTCAGGGTCTCCCCTCTGCAGGGTGGGCGCCGCTTCTCCGGCCCGGCCCAGAGGAGGTGACTGTGCGTCTGTCCTCCTGTCTTTGTCTTCGTGTCTCCTGCAGACGGGGTTCGTCTATTCCCAGCACCGATGCTGATCCTGGCGGGGACGTCAGTGTTAGGTGACACTGGTGTCGGAGGTGAAGAAGTGGGAGGTGGGGACGCGAGGCCGCAGGAGCAGGGGCCGCAGGAAGAGGGTCCGGCGGTCGGTCCGGGCCGCTGAACTTCGCCGCCTGGAACTTTGCAGATGAGCTGTGTCCACACCGGTGGGGAGGACACCGGTGCGTTGCAGCCAGAGATTTGAAAGGTTTCCCTCAAGGAATAAGTCACACGGGCGGAGGTGGTTAGAGAGGAAGGTGGTAAATCGAAGTGTCTAAGTGGCTCCCTGGGGCTGCAGCTTCCTGGGGTCGGTCCTGGATGTGCAATTCAGGAATTTAGTCAAAGCACCATGCACACACAGACAGCCCCACACTACCTTCACTTCTTCCACCGCCACCCTAGGCAGCCAGACCTCACCCCTCCACCCTGCCACAGGCTTTGCTCTGGCTGGAGGGGCTTCAGAGGTCGCAGCTTGGCAGCAACAGGCATCCCCGAGACACCAAGGGCCAGGTGATGTCTCTTTTTCGTGCTCCAAGTGGAAAGGTTTGAACTGTGGAGCAAATGAGCCTTGTGCTCGCCCACGAGTATGTCAGGCCTGGGAAAGTGCTCCAGACTTGTTAGCTTCGCAGTCTTCAATTTCCCAGGAATAAGAAGTGCTTAGGGATCTGGCCTCCTAAAGTGTTTCCTGTCTCACTTATTCCCTCCACACCGTCCCGCTGCCATCAGCCCCTCTACTCTCTGGTCCCGGGCGCTGGGAAAGTACTGAGGAGGCACTGAGTTCTGGACCATGCCGGGCAGGCGCTGCTCCTAATAAGGATCCCACACTCTGCTGGAAGTGCAGCCTAATAGGAATGCTGGGAGCCCAGGAGCCCAGCCACAAAGAGATGAGCTATCTGCTTGGCAGTTCCTGCACCAAGACCCTGAGAAGAGTCTGCGGGTACCGGCAAGAGGGTGTTTGCAACCTGAGCTTTCTCTAAGTTCAAAAACAATTTTCTGCAGGCATCCAGAGGGAGAATGGAGGTGCCCGAAGAGTGTGCGCATATGGGTATTAGAGATAGCATGTACAGACGGGAAAGGTGTTTGTGTTTAAGAGTGGAGTGGAACATAGTCTGTGGGTAGAAGTCTGTGGGCAGAGAGCATGCAGGCTAATCAGGCGTGGCGTTACACCTTGTATTTATCCAGCGCTTTTCTTTGGAGGCTCTTTCTGCTCATCATAGACGTTATCTCATACGTTATCTCCTTTATCCTCACAACATAACTACCAGGTTGGTGCGGTGGGCTCTCTGTGCCTGCCAGTGAAGAAACGGAGGCGTCAGAAGGGAAAGGCTTTCCCTAAGGTCCCACAGCTAATAGGATGGAGCAACTGGGAGTCCTAGTAAGAGGTCTCAGCTGGGTGGATGTGAGTGTGGGGCGCTCACTCTGCTTAAGAAGAGAAGAAAACTAGTAGAAAAAGAACGGGCATCTCTGTGGGTGTCTATATGCAAGCAAAAGGGAGGGCGGGACATTTGATGTGCTGAAGATGGTTGTTAGTTAACATTTATAGCAGCGGCTGTGTGCTTCACGAGGTAAACCTGTCTCAGCAGTTCAGCTTGTGCATTTGTGTATCTGCAGGAGGTGCCCCCAGCTGTGTGTGCCTGGGTCGATGTGGGGCAGGGGTGCTGTCATAGAAGGAGTGCTGCTGCGTGGGGTGCCCTGGGGAAAGCCAATGCTTTGGGAGTGTGTGAGGGAAAGATGTGCCTTTCAGTTTTGAGAAGCCGTGGGTCAGCGTGTATAGCAAAGCTATACATGGGCTCCAGACGTATATAAATGGCTTTCTAATCCTGAAAACTTATTTATATGCCTTTGCGCTTATTCAACGTTCATTTCATAAATATTCATTGGGCGCCTACCAAATGCAAGGCTCTGAGCTGTGCAGCGAGGCTAGGAAGATGAATAATGTAATGATGACAGACCTATGGGTAAGCACCTTATAGACCAGTGTAATGGATAATACCGTAACACTTAATGCCAGCCACTAAATCCACTGTGTGCCTGGAACTTTTTATTCATTATCTCATTTAATTTTCACTGCAGCCCTGCGGGGTATGTATAATTATTAGATGAGGAGAGTTAAGTAATTTAGCCAGGCTACAAAACCGAGGGGCAGGGATTTGAGATCAGCTTAGTAAGGTTCTGGACCCTGGCTCTGTCCATGTTATTCTGCTACCTTTGAACATAGAAACACTGTTTCTTCTGCATGGAATATTCCTGCCTGGTCTCTCTACCTTCTCCACTTAACTGGCTCCCACTTTTTTTTTTTTTTTTTTTTTTTTTGAGACGGAGTCTTGCTCTGTCGCCCAGGCTGGAGTGCAGTGGTGCGATCTTGGCTCACCGCAACCTCCACCTCCTGGGTTCAAGCAGTTCTCCTGCCTCACCCTCACAAGTAGCTGGGACTATAGGCGCCTGCCACCACGCCTGGCTAATCTTTTATATTTTTAGTAGAGATGGGGTTTTGTCATGCTGGTCAGGCTGGTCTTGAACTCCTGACCTCAAGTGATCTGCTGGCCTCAGCCTCCCAAAGTGTTGGGATTACAGGCAGGAGCCACCACACCCAGCCCCACTGTGGGTTTTAACCATAGGGATCAACTCCTCCAAGAAAGTTTCCTCTGTTTTTTCCTCAATTCTGAGTCAGGTACCTTCCTCAGAGTCCCTACCATCATACCAGTATATTATGGCATTTACTCACTGGCTCCTGAGGAGTCTACAAAACTCCTAGAAGCAGAGATTGCATCATGAGTTCCCAGCTCAAAATACAGTGTTGGCGGCGGGGCGCTGTGGCTCACGCTTGTAATCTCAGCACTTTGGGAGGCTGAGGCAGGTGGATCACGAGGTCAGGAGATCGAGACCATCCTGGCTAACACGGTGAAACACCGTCTCTACTAAAAATACAAAAAATTAGCCGGGCGTCGTGGCGGGCACCTGTAGTCCCAGCTACTTGGGAGGCTGAGGCAGGAGAATGGCGTGAACCCGGGAGGGGGAGCTTGCAGTGAGCCGAGATCACATCACTGCACTCCAGTCTGGGCAACAGAGAGAGACTCCGTCTCAAAAAAGAAAAAAAAAATACAGTGTTGGCTTTCAGTAGATACTATGAGTATGCCCTTAGTAAATGCTTGTTTAATAAGGTAAGGGGAAAGATGAGAGCTCTCAGAGACCTTTGGCAGGGAGCACTGTTCCCAACAGTGGATTTCTGCATGGGTGCCCTTTGCTAGTGTGGCCACTGACTTTCCTTCCTCTGTTACTGGGCCAGCTCCTTCAAGGCCTCTCCCTAGATGGGGCCATCTCAGGCCCCACCAACAGTTCGGGAGTCCGAGGGAACACTCGCCCCCACCCACTCTATCTCCAGGTCAATCAACCCACAAGCACAGTTATGGAAGGGGACCATTCTAGGTGTGACCTAGACCTGGGGTTTTAAAATCCTGCACTTTGAGCCGCCACATGGTTCCAGGGCAATGATGAGATGTTTCTGGGATTTTGCCAACAAAGAAGTATCCAACTACGTGGGGAATCTTGAGGTGATTTACATATTAGCTCTTTGAGTTTGCTGTTGAATAGATCTTTGTGCTGCTACAGTTTGAAGCCTGAAATGGACACTCCTAGGCTTGCAGTTGAGAGTGTGAATTGCTACCATGTTTGGGGAGGTAATCTGGCCATGATTTCTCCGAGGCGACGCAGTCAAGTGATTCTCCTTCCATCTCCTTTCCATCGCCCTGTTATTTCTCATATAGGAATTACTACCTGTGTTCTCGGGGCTCCATGGCGATTTAAGTTTTTCTTTTAAAGATCATTGATCAAGTTTGAAAAACTCTGCATTTCACTATTTATTAAAGGTCTTATCCGTGTGAGGTGCCAGGGAGTGGGGAATAACAGCAAAAAAGACGAAATAATGCTTAGAGACTAAAATTTGTGATGACAGTTGGGAAGAAGAACTGGCACACCTGAACCAATGACAAGTAAGTTGAAAACTGGATTGTATTAGGTTGCTGCAAAAGTAATTGTGGTTTTTGCAATTAAAATACTAACTTTGAATACAGCAGTTTCTCAGCAGGAGGCAGGTGAGCCAGAACCTTCCTTACCAGGGAGGAGGTGGCTGTGAACTGAACCTTGAAGTTGAACCTGAGGAGGGTATGAAGGGAGTCAGCGAAGCAGGAGCCAAGTTCATGGCTCCAAGATGCAAGCTGAGAGCTGAGGAGACAGGGCTCTCTCTTCCAAGAACCTTAGCCAGAGCCTGTTGCCTCCTTATGCTGGGTTTGGCCAGCCACCCAGACCAAACAGAGGTGGTGCATAAAAAATGGGAGGTTTTCAACCTCTCACCTCTCACCACTGCCTCCAGCCAGCGTGCAAATTAGCCTCCAGATCCCTCCTCCCAGGGTTGGAGAAGTTGATGGGGATGTGTCAGCTACAGTCGAGCATAGCTGGTGAGCTTACGGCTAGTTAGCTCCTTTTGCCATTTGGCAAAGCCCTCTGTTTTGCTGCAGTTTTCATCCTGTGTCTCTCACACTGGTTTTTTGTTTGTTTTTTAGAGACAAGATCTTGCTGTTTCTCTCAGGATGGAGTGCAGTGATGTGATCACGGCTCAGCTTACTGCAATCTTGACCTCCTAAGCTCAAGTGATCCCCAGTCCTCTCTCCTCAGACTCCCAAGTAGCTGGGACCACAAGTGCATACCAACACACCTGGCTAATTGTTTTTAATTTTTGTAGAAATAAGGTCTCGCTATGTTGCTCAGGCTGGTCTTGAACCCCTGGCCTCAAGTGATCCTCCCACTTTGGCTTCCCAGAGTGTTGGGATTCTAGGTGTGAGCCACCGCATCCAGCCTCACACTGTTGCTTCCTGCTGGACACTGACTTCCACCATCCCTAGACTTCCTTAATGGTGATTTCAATAGCGCTTTTTACTTGTACAGGACTTTACACTTTAAAAAGTGGAATAAAATTATTATTATTATTATTTACACCTCACAACAACTCTGTGAGAAGATTCCCTTTGCCATTTGGCAGATGAGGAAACCAAGTGCGCCTTTGAAAGTTGAAGGAGGGCTGGGCACGGTGGCTCATGCCTGTATTCCTAGCACTTTGGGAGACTGAGGTGGGCTTATCATCTGAGGTCAGGAGTTCAAGACCAGCCTGGCCACCATGATGAAGCCCTGTCTCTACTAAAACTACAAAAATGAGCCAGGTGTGGTGGTGCACGCCTGTAGTTCCAGCTACTTGGGAGGCTGAGACAGGAGAATCTCTTGAACCCGGGAGGTGGAGGTTGCAGTGAGTGGAGATCACACTGCTGCACTCCAGGCTGGGTGACAGAGCAAGACTTTGTCTCAAAAAATAAATAAAAAACAAAAAAAAAGAAAGGTGAAAGAGTTTATGCAAGATTTTTAAGAGGAATGCTGAGATATGAACACCAGCTGTTCTGAGTCCCAATGTTGGGCTGTAACTACCAAGTCATTGGGGTTCACCAATTAAATGGATTTAGGCTCATCGAATTGTTGGCAAGTGTTTAATATGCAGGAAAAAGAGATTTTTAAAATTATAAGAATGCAGTTACTTTTGTATTTATTGTAATTCAAGCATGATGAGGGCATTCGAATCTTCCTCAGTTTTTCTGTGCTCACTTCACCCCCCATCTCCCTTTTCCCTAAGTGCTTGTGATGCATATATGTTAAGCTCAATAAACAATAAACTAGGGCCTGGCGTGATGGCTCATGCCTGTAATCCCAGCAATTTAGGAGGCCAAGGTGAGCCGATCACCAGAGGTCAGGAGTTCCAGACAAGCCTGGTCAACATGGCGAAATCCCATCTCTATTAAAAATACAAAAAATTAGCTGGGCATGGTGGTGCACGCCTGTAGTCCCAGCTACTCAGGAGGCTGAGGCGGGAGAATTGCTTGAACCCGGGAGGCGGAGGTTATAGTGAGCTGAGATCGCACCACTGCACTGCAACCTAGGCTAAAAAGCGAGACTCTGTCTCAAAAACAAACAAACAAACAAACAAACACAATAAAGTAGGATGTAGCTAGGATAATGGAATGTCTACTTGGCATTTGCTTTAGAGAATGAAATTTATCATATGTCAGTTCTTTCTTTATAGCTTGTCAATTCAAAAGGTTTAGTCCACTCCATGTTGAAATTAGAGCAAATGTTGCCTCCACAGAATTTGAATTAATGACATTTCATTGGAATACCAACCTTAATTGCATAATATATTTCAGTGTTTCCACCTTGTCCATGAGCAAGTACGTTCTGAACTAAAATGGGATAGCAGTCTCTTCACTGGTAGCTCAAGCAATTTGTGGAAACCAGACTTCAGGGGCAATCACACATGGAGGCTGCCCCCAGGGGAGAAGAGAATTGGATGGAGCATCGTGGGAAGGAGGGGAGCGAAGGGAGGCGGAAGACGGAGACAGAAGACAAGCAGAGAGGGAATGTGTGTGTTAGCTAACAGCTAAAGCTAATTGATCTAATCAATCCAGCAGAGAGGTGATTTTTCTTACTAAGTGACAGGCCAAATCGGTGTCTGAACAGATGTGATGTGGGTTGCGTCCAGCACCTGGAACAAAGACAGCAAAGAGCTGCCCCATGGAGATCGCCAATAGATGTGCTTCATGTCAGTTAATCATTGTGGGAGAAGATAGGGCTGCCTTCAGGCCAGTGCCAGAGCACATGCACACACATGCACACACGCACACATACACACATACACACGCACACACACGTATCCATTTCATTCATCCACTCTCATTGTCTCTCCCTCTGAGACGTGCTTTCTTGTGATACCCAAACTCACAAGCCCAAGTACATCACATTACACAAATCTTCAGAGACTCCCAAGATGTCAGGACCCGGGAGATCCACACCTCTGCCTACCTGGGCTGGCCAATCTGTGGCATGGTCTGAGGTGAGCTCAGACAGCCCCCTCCCCGATGCCATGCCTGGGGCAGTCTTTAGGTGGCCACGAACCCATTAGAGTTACAGATCCTCTGGAGGAAGAGGATGGGCCAGTCTAGGTGAGACTTTCAGCCTAAGAGGGGTACAAGAACTGGGGCCCCTCAAGGAGGTTGAAAGTGGAGGTGAGATGGGGTTGGGAGTGGGCATTGTTCTCAAACCCTCCCATTCCTGTGCATGAATCTGACCTCACAGAATAACCTCTCAGGTGGCTGAGGCCATCCCCGCCCAAGGCATCAGGGCAGGGCTGTGCACTTGGCTCCCTGGCCTGTTGGCTTGGGGGACATTTTCACTCTTCTTGCTGCTGCAGAGCCATTTGCTGCTAAATCACCCTCCTCTTGGCACCATGGACTGCTAAATTGGTCTCAACTTGCTGTACTTCCACCCACCACCTTAGTCATTATTCGCTGGCAGCATTCAGAGAGTGGGTGTAAGGCAGCCGAACATTATATTCCTGCTGTAAAGAGGGAGAATTGAGTATAGACATGCAAGGAGAGGGGAGAGAGGGAAGGAGGGAAGACAGCGTGAAGGAGGCAGGGAAACAAGGCCTGGGGTTTGCCAGCACCTTTCCCTGGTGACCCCAGTGACACTGGATTGGGGGGGCATTATAGGTGAGTGGGTCCTGGCTCAGTGGGAGGAGACAGAGGGGTCCACCTGCTACTGAGTGTCTTCCCACCCCTGGTCTGGAGGCAGGAAAGGACATTAGCCATGGGAAGAGAAGGGTTCTGCCCTCTGTGAACTCCCTGTTCCTTGAATTCTACAGTGTATAACGTACTTGTCACTCCCATTTGAGCACTTGTTCCCATGTATTCATATTTAGCTTTTTATCTCTATCCTCCCTCCCAGCATAGGTTATAAGCCCCTTGAAAGAGAATGTGTGTCCCGCATCTGATATATAGCACCAGGCCTTAGGAATGGTCTAGGGCTCGGTCCCAAATGGCAGAGATGGATGGCGCTAAGGCCCACAGTGCTTCTTTCTACCCAGCCACTTCAGATCTCTCTGTGCCACTCAAGGGCCACAGAAATTGGAAAGCCAGGCAAGCAAGAGGAGATGGAATCACAAGGGAATCTACAGGGCTTGGTCTGCAATCTCAGTGGGAAACTCCAGGGAGGGAAAGGGTTACACTGCAGAACAGACCAGCCAGGAAAGCAGAAACTTAAGAGACCTGTGGTCCTTGTGCAGAAGGCTGGGGGTGATCTCCACCTGGCACATGGGCTCTCCTGATAGCTCATCCATTGCCCAATGCCCAGGCATGGTGCCGGGGCTGGCAGGAGGTAGGAAGCAGAATCGGTTCTCACATCGGGCAGCAGTGACAGCGTCAGGCAGGGCAGACTGACCTTGACAGGAGGCTCCCTGAGTCACTGATAACATTTGTTTGGGCACCCAGGGAGAGGTTAGAAAGGGAACTCATGCCATCCCAAGCTGGCTTGGGACCTCTTGGGGCCCCCAACCCAGGCTCCTTGCCTCCCACACTCTGCTTGGGGGAGATAATAGGAAAATGCCAAGAACAGAAGCCTCCCTAGCTAGGGAGATGGGGAGACTCTTGAGGGATATGGGGATGAGCCCTGAGGCTGCCCTTGACCTTCCAGAGAGGCAGCCCCATGCCTGGTGTCTGTAGGTACCTGTGTGGGGTCTGCCCTCCCCTCTGTCTCCCATGGTCATCCCCAGCAGAGGTCCAGAAGGACAATCTACACACTCAGGGTAGCTTCCCTTATTTATTGCAACCTTCAGACACTCCAGCTTGAGCTCTTCCCTGCTCCCCGCCACCCCCAAAGGGCATTTCCACAGTGCAAGGGGAGGAGGGAGGGAAGCATGGACTGGACAGCGCACACATCTTGAGGAGACAGCCTCCCCCTCCTTGCCTATCAAATTCCCCCAGCCCCAACGCCTCCGTGGCCCCAGCAGACAAACCACACTGCAGGCAGGTGGGGAAAATGAGAGGAGCCAGGCGGAGCCCCCAGCCTCCACCTGCACTGTAAAGCGAGCCGGCCCCTGAAGGAGGCCTGGGAAGGACTCCCCAGCTGCCTTCGGCTCCTCCCCTTGCCAGGCCCGCAGCTGGCCCTGCTCAAAGGCTGTGCAGCCGGCTGGTGGCTGGTGGGGCAGGTGTGGGCAGGATGCGTGGCTATTCCCAAGACAGGATTTCTTCATCTATCAAACTAGAAGCACCAGGCATTTGGCTTCTCTGGGCTTCCACCAGTACCTCGGACATCTGTTGACTTAGAAACTTTTTCTTGATGTTGGACTTACTTCTATTCTAGAGCCGCAGACAGGACCTCCAACTCTAGGGTCCTAAGATTTGTCAGGACACAAAAGAGCCTGTGCTGAAAAAACTTCAGATACTCTACATGCAAACACAACACCTCAGGGTTGAAAGGATGCTTAAAAACCACTCTATCCATATCCTCTCCCTGTCTCCCCTACACACACACAAATACTCACTGCCAAGAACTTTTATTTCACACCTCAGGAACCCAGTTCTTTCCATTTTCTTTTTTCTTTTTATTTTATTTATTTATTATTGTTATTTGTTTTTTTGAGGCAGAGTCATGCTCTGTTGTCCAGGCTGGAGTGCAGTGGTGCAATCCCTGCTTACTGCAGCCTCGAACTCCTGGACTCCCACATCAGCCTCCCTGGTAGCTGGGACCACAGGTGGGTATCACCATACCTGGCCCATTTTTAAATTTTTTTGTAGAGATGAGGTTTTGCTACATTACCCAGGCTGGTTTTGAACTCCTGGCTTCAAGAAATCTCCCCAGTCCAACCTCCCAAAGTGCTGGGATTATAGGCGTGAGCTACTGTGCTCCATCTCTTTCTATTTCAGCTCCATCCTTTGAAAGTCACAGAAGGCTAGGTTCATGTCCAGCCCTGTGCTACGCTCAGGTGCAAGATGAGCAACCACAGACCCTGCCACAACGAGTCACTTGTCTGGTATTGGGGGTGAGACAAAACATCCAGAAAAACATCATTCTACAAAACAGAATCAGCACCGAGTCTTCATGGAAGATACAGAGCTGGAGAAGAGCCCCAAGGGCTGGGTGTGATTTCCAGGCAGACGAAGTGGAGGGGTGGCCATGATAGGGAAGAGCAGGTGGTGGGGAAAGAAACCTTTCTAGAAAGGCACGTTGGAGTCAGATTGAGGAGGCGCTTGCACACCCACCTTGCATACTCAGCTGGGGAGAGTGCATGCTATTTGGTAGACAGCAGGGAACCACTGAAGTCAGAGGCAGAGGGGCGGCCTAGAGCAGACCCTGGTTTTAGAAAGTGAATCTAGCAATGGAATATAGAATAGATTCAAGGGTGGAGAGACTTCTTTCTAGAAATACCATTATTAGAATACCTATCTTCATCTCGTATCTCCTAGTTGATAGCACAGTTTCCCAGAGACCTCTTGTAGCCGGGGAATATCTGGGGTGACCGAGGCTTCAAAGAGAGGGAAGTTCCTAATCCAAGGTCAAGATGCTGGGTCCAGGATTATTTATTTAATGGGACACATGGATAATACCTCCCTGCTTTGGACCTGAAAGAAATCACAGAGGGCTTTTATTTTTTACGTAGATGAAGACATAGAGGCCCAGAGAGGGGAAGGAACTTTCTCAGGGTCCCATGGCTGAGGGACATGGCAGAGCCAGGATCGATGGTCCACATCAGGGCTCTTTCTACTAACGTGCTGTGGGGCTGGTGGATGAGGACTCAAGAGCCAGCAGAATTCATCAGGCCCTCAGACCTCAATGGTAGGCAGGTTTGCCCCAGGGGGCATACAAGAACACAGCAGTAGAGAGACGCTTTCAGTCCTGGTGGATTTTCCTCCCTACCCCAATCAAAGGGGCCCCTGGACTTTTGTGACAGCTGATACAACGCTCTGTATTTTTCTCACCACTCTTCTGTCTTGTTTCTCTGAGTGCTTGAGGCATCTTATTTCCGTCTGTTCCTCTGCCTTTTCTGTCCTAAGGGTTCTGTGACAGCAAAGGCTGTGCTGGTCGCAGTTGCTAACAGTCGGTACTTTCAAAACTGAAAAGCAAGTTCTCTGCCGCTCTCATATGTGCACAGCTTAAGCCAAACCCAAACAAAATGGAAGGGTTGCTGGGTGCCAGTCAGCAGGGCTAGCTACCCATAGAGCGACACTACATAGGGAGAGATTTCCAGACAGGAGGCAGATACGTGTCCTGATGCCAGGTGGGATGTCAGTGACAGGGCAGAAGAGGTGGGACATCCCTCAATCTCAGACACACTGGGTGCCAGGGGTTCCTTTGCCTACTGACATGAAACTCTCAGAACAGCATCTCCCACCTTCCTCTGGAAGATTCCTCAGCCTGGTACCCGCTCAGGCGTTTTCATCTTGCCTTCTAAAAACCTGGCAAGCCAAGGGAGGGGACAAAGCTGTAGCAGTGTCCCATGAGGTTTCCAGAGAGGGGACCCCTGGGGGCAGGGCCTTCCTCAGGAAACACCTCCACCCAGGTCAGGCTTCCCTGGTCTCCCAGAGGAACTCACCCTCACCTGGCTGGCAGTCTCAGAAGCAGGTGGAGAGAGCAGGTAAGTTCTAAAGACAAGGCATGAGGTTTTTCCTGTGTGTTGATCCTGAGCCCAAGTTTGGGGAATGGACAGTGGCAAAAAAAACCATGATTTTGGAAATCAGATAGATCAGTGTTCAGATCCTAGCTCTGCTACCTGTTAGCTGTGTGACATCAGGCAAGTCACTTGGCCTCTCTGAGCCTCAATTTTCTCATTTGTAAAATGTGTTACAAATAGGTAATTGGTGCCGTGAAGAAAAGTCAGCATGGAGACAAAAGGTCTCTCAGCAAGGCAATCTTTACTTTCTGCAGAAAGGGTGCTCAATCGCAGATGGAACAATGGCGAGAGAGATCCTGGCTCTGCTACCTGTTAGCTATGTGACATCAGGCAAGTCACTTGGCCTCTCTGAGCCTCAATTTTCTCATTTGTAAAATGTGTTGTGCCTCATATAGAATTTTTATGAAAATTATATGGCCAGTAGAAGTAAAAGCACATGAAGCATAGTAGAAGCTCAGTTAATGTTAGTCTCACCCTCTTCCCCTCAGTTCCAAAGGGAGGAAACCAGGCATGAGACTGAGTTGCCTGTGTGGGAGGGTCATGAGTGCTTGGTAGAGGCAGGTGTCCAGGGGGTCAGGGAGGGACAACTTTAGGGTCAGGTTGTGCTGCCTGCGGAGCTACCTCCTTACCCTCTTATCTGTTTACCCTGGCAAAGGGAGACGGTTTAACTGGAAACAGTATGGGAAGGAGTCGTTGGTACCTTGATCACTCTGGATCTCCATCTATGTGGTCAATCTGACTACGTTAAAATAGATTGAAAGCCTATGAAGTTATGTAGAATGGGCGGCTGTGATACCATTCAGTGTCCTGAGGTCAGGACTCAGCTCTGAAAGTGGGTGTCATGCTCAGATTGGCTTATGCCAGATGTGGTGCAGGAGTGGAGGAGCTGAGGGGAGAAGGTTGGGAGGCCATCCAAGTCAGCTGGGCTTCTGTCCTCCCTCGGGAAGGACCCCACAATACCATCTCAAGCCCGTGCATGGGACAGACTTTAGGGGAGGGAGATTTCTCCCCAAGGGCAGTGGCTGGACAGAAGTGGGGTTATTCTCCTTTCCTTTCTTCCTTCCTCCTTCCTCCTGCTTCAAAGCCAATGTCTTTCCCATCTGGATCATTTTCTGGATTATGTAGCACAAAAGGTCAGGAAAGGGAGAGAAAGAAAAACAAATAAAATGAAACTTCTCTCTTAGTTCAGTTTATGGGGGTTGTACACGTGGGAGAGGACATACATCCGGCTGAGTCTCACATAGGAAAATGCAGAAGTCAAGTTAAAGAGTCTAATTCTGCACTGGAAAATTGGAGAAATAGTTATTCTGCCTAAACGGCATTAAACAAGATGGGGGCAGCCTGGGTGGGCTGAGAAGAAGATGCTGGTGTTTTGGACACACATTCCCTACCAGGAACACATATACGAGTCCTCCTACGTGAAACAGGCAGGCTGGCATTTAATGATTTAATGTACCTTCCAGGAGAGCTCCGTATTGCCTTCCTTCTCCTCTTTGTCTTTTTCTTTCTTTAAGTGGAGGAAACTTTTCCCTGTTAATGGTGTGGCCCAGACAGCTGAGACACACAGCTATTAGGGCTCAGATCTGATGTTAAAACCTGCATCGTCAAAAGTCCATCAATTTCTCCATTCTCCCACCCAAGTCCTAAGCAGGCCCGACCCTGCTTAGCTTCCGAGATGAGATGACATCCGGCGTGTTCAGAGTGGTAGGGCCATAGACAGTTTCTCCATTCTAACTTGTTGGTGTCTGCGGTGGAGAAGGCAGTGTCTCCACCAACACGGGGCTCGCATGGCTTGTAGGAATGCCCAGGAGAGGGGATGCTGAGTTTGTTACTTGTGTCAGTTCAGTTGAGAGCTGTCTGGTTCTAGGACCAGGAGTGCTCCAGGAGATATCAAAGAGCTGCCTCGAACCAGGTAGCCATGGGACTTCCCCCCAGGCAGTCTCGGCCCTCCCTCTCGAAATTACGCAGTGGTGGGAACCTCCCACCTGTGGGATTGAGACACTGAGTTCAAAGGGCTGCCCTCTGCACAGTCCCAGGAACAGCTATTAAACTCCCACTTGACCTTGCTTCGGGGAGTCAGGAGCTGATGAGAGATGGGGAGCTTGTTAAACTCAGGCAGCCTGGAATTAGCCTCAGTCGCATTGGCATAAAATGCTTTTAGGGAAGCCTGCCAAGAGTTGAAAATCATGGTGCTGCGATAGGGTCCCTGCTTAATAAGCCTCCACCCAGGAGGGTCTTAGGGAGGTCCCAGGACAGGAGACAAGAGGAAATGGCCACACAAACCCAGAGCCCTCCCTGCTTTCCTGCCAGCAGCTGAGAACTGTGCTCCATTGCCTGACCCTGGAGCAGTTGAGGGACCAGGAGGTGGGTGGGGATCTTCTGGCAGGGGCCAATTGTGGATGTGGTTTAATTGCAGTGCTGGTCTCAGGGTCTTGCCCAGACCTGAGCTTCTGAGGGAGCAGGACAGAACTCTGCAGGAGGAAGTGGCAGGAGGACCCCCACGATCAGCCGCTTGTCTGCCTGGCCCACTTCTAAGGATCAGGGAAGGCTCAGCCTTTGCAGGCAAACCTGTTACATCCATACCCAATGATAGAAGGATGCCTCCAGAGGGGAGGGTCTGTCCTCAGGAAATTTTTTGTCCGTTGGTTAGATCGGTGACTTCCAAGCACTTTAAGAGCAATTCCTGCAAACAATTGATACATGATTACAAATCTGTTTTCCTAAATCTAATCTCTAAAGGCCCGAAATGGAATTGCTGTGAGTTCTTTAGATAAGCAGCCAGAAGAAATAGAGCCCACGGCCTTGTGAAGTTGGAAACAAATGTAAAAAGAGTTTGAGGCCAAGCAATCCCACTGTGTCTTAAGTCACCAAGTCCCATATGTCTAAAAAAAAAAAAAAAAAAAACCAGCTGCTATTTTTAAGCTCTTAATTATATCCTTCTTTTACAAATAAAATTTTACTCAATACTTACCAAAACCCTATGAGGTGGGTACTACCCATAGCTCCAGTTTACAGACAAGGAAATGGAAGTAGTGGCCCAAGACTTGGGGGAAGAGGATTAAATGAAGGGATTACCTGAACCCAGAGGGGAGGGTTGGAAGACGCAGGGGAGGCAGAGGAGGGGCAGGTTGGGCGCAGAGTTGGGGTGAGTTCTAGAGGAGCAGGGAAGCTGTGGGGAGAGGGGTGCCAGGGGCCCCAGTGGTGGGAGAGCCATGTGCTCGATGCCTGTGCGTGTGTATTGCTAGACGGCTGTTGACCGCAACCTAGGTTTGAAGCCAGGTACTGCCACTGGCCAGATATAAAACCTGAGGCATCATTTTTTTGCATCCATCAGTTGGGGTAGTAACAGTGCACCCTCTTGGGGTTGGGGTGAGGCAGGCACCAGATCATGTGTGTGTCGTACATCGTCCCATACCTAGTGCACAGGACACATGCAGTGAATGGAAGCCCAAGAGGAAGCTGTGTCCTCCCCGCCCTGGACTGGGCACTGCTGTTTCCACTTGCGCATCGCCTCTGGCCAGAGGTGATGGCGAGGGAGGGAGGCTGTCTCCAGGCAGCTTCTCCTGAGCAGTGGCCACCCACTTCCTGAGACGTGGGATGCTGGCAGTCAGCCTTTGCAGAGGCTCCTGACAACATCCAGGTCTTGATTCTGCAGCGAGGCGGTGATTTCAGAATCCCCCAGCTGTGTGGGGGAGGGAGGGAGACAGTGGGAAGACAAGCTCTGCTCGGCTGAGCTGACAACACCAGGAAAGCTTCACTCCTCTTTGAGAAGGAGAAGGAGCTTGTGAGGCTGAGACGGAGCAGGAGACAGGATTGCACCTGGGGCAGGGAGAGGCAGGAGGTGGGGGCTGGGCAGACCCACAGTCGGGATTCCCCATCCCCAGCAAAGGAGTGGAGGACCCCACCCTCTGCTTGGGGGTGGCCCATCTGCAGGTGGGCTGGGCTAGGGAAGGGGAAGAAGCCAGGAACCTTTTTTTTTTTTTTTTTTTTTTTTGGCTGGAGTGCTTTGGCGTGATTAGCTTACTGCAACCTCTACCTCCTGGGCTCAAGCAATTCTCCTGCCTCAGCCCCCCAAGTAGCTAGGATTACAGGCATGTGCCACTATGCTTGGCTAATTTTGTATTTTCAGTAGAGATGGGGTTGCACCATTTTGGTCAGGCTGGTCTCGAACTCCTGATCTCAGGTAATCCACCTGCCTCAGCCTTCCAAAGTGTTGGGATTATAGGCGTGAGCCACCATGCCTGGTCCCGGGCAGCAGCATTCTTTCTCCCCTTCACTCACTCTTCTCTCTCTGGACTGAGTTCTGGGAGCATTGCTGTAACCTCCCTGCCCTGAAGACGGCACAGATTCTGCAGAGGAGCAAGGCAGGGTCAACAGCCAGGGCAAGCTCATAGACCCTCTGTAGAGCCAGGAAGGGAAAGAGAGTTGAGGGTGGGAGCGAAAGAACGAGGTGGGCAAGGGTTTACATTTTACTTTCACCTTTTACTTCTTGCTGAGCATCTGCTGAGCAGCAGTGTCCAGCCCTGTGCTGACAGCAAAGATGTGGGAGTTTAGAGTCCCTGCCTTCCAGGGCACGAAGCTCCAGTGAGGAGCTGGGCCCCGTGAAAGGGTGGACTTTACTCCATGTAAAGTCAGGAGATGGTGTTTAGGAACTCACATAGTGTGGGCTTGAATTCTAGCTCTGCCTCTCATTTCCAAGTGACCGGCACCGAACACCTTTCTCGTCCTCTCTGAGACATGTTTCCTGATTGGTAAATTGGGCAGAAAGAACCACCTCGTAGGATTATTGTGATAATCTTTTAAAATCAATGTATTGAAGTATAATATACATGCAGAGGTGTGCACAAACCATAGGTGAACAACTAGACAAGTTTGCAAATTTTTCATATACATAGAAGCCTAGTCAAGAGAGAACATTAAAAGTACCCCCCGGAAACCCCTTGTCTTCCTCTGCTAATCCCTGCTGCTCCCCATCCTGACACCATAATTTTTACCTCTTTTTAAACATCTTACTGAATGGAATTGCACAGAACGTGTCCTTTGTGAAACTGGTCCATGTTGTGATTGTAGCAGCAGTGCTGTCATTCGTGCCCGTTGCTCCCTGGGATCCCCTCTACACATGAACCCCAGCCCATTCATTCTACTGTGCATAGGCATTTAGGTCTCCGGATATTTTGAGTTTGGGACTCTTACGCACAAAACTGCTAGGTCTTTAAGTGAACACATGTGGCCATTTCTGCCAGGTGTACCTCTACGAGTGGGATTGCTGGGCTTGTGTTCAACTTGGATAGACACAGCCAAACATTTTCATAGTGTGGCTGAGCATGTCTGCACTCCCTCCAGTGGTGTATGAGAGTTTCACTTGCTTCACATCCTCACCAGCACTTGGTATTATCAGACTTTTTCATTTTACCATTGAATAGTGGCCTAGCGGTAGGTATTTAATTATGATTTTAACTTACATTTTCCTAATCAGTACTCACAGTGAGTATACCTTTTTATATATTTTTGTCCATTAGCATGTCCTATTTTTGTCCATTAGCATGTCCTAGCCTGTTCAAATCTTTTGCTCATTTTAAATTTGGTTTCTGTTTTTCTATTAGAGATTTACGAGAATTGTTTTCTATGTTCTGATATGAGTACTTTGTCAGGTGTGTGTATTGTAGATATCTCCTTCTATTCTATGGCATGCCTTTTCATTCCAAGTTGAGACCTTTGATGAAGAAAAATTCTTAATTTATTAATATTTTTCCTCTAGAATAGTGCTTTTTTAATGACCTGGCCAAGAAATTTTTGCCTATCCAAAGGTCAAGAAGATATTATCCTTGGTTTTCTTCTAGATGCTTTAGGGTGTTAACCTTTTGCATTTGTATCTACAATCATCTGGAAATATTCGTGTGTGGTAGGAAGTAGGAGTCAATATTTACTTTTTCCTCAATGGATCCTGGTTGACCCAGCAGCATTTTTTTGTCTCACTTGCCTGCCATGTCTCCTTTTTCATAAATCAAGTGATCTTATATATTTGGGTTTGTTTCTGAATTCTATTTGGTTCCATTGGTCAATTTATTTACCTGTATCAATACCACATTGTTTTAGTTACCATTAAGTCTTGCTGTCTGCTGATATACACCCTCCAGCTTAGTTCTTCACCAAATGGTCTTGGTTATTCTTGCTCCTTTGCATTTTAGTATCTAAGCTGCTAGGATGTTGATTGTGATTGTATTGTCACTAGGTCAATGTGCATAAAATGTAAATCTTTAGATTATCAAGTCTGTGACCCATGAACCTGGCATATCTCTGCATTAATATAGATTTTCCTTAATTCATCACAATAATACGTTAGAGTTTTCAGTGTAGAGGTCATACACAACTTCGGTTATATTCATTCCCAAGCATACACATTTTGTAAATTACATGTTTTTCAATGTCTTTTTTGATTTATTTGTTGCTAGTATATGGAAGTTCAGTTGGTTTTTGTATATTAATTTATTGTGAGAAGTAAATGAGATTATGGATAAGCCCCAGAGACATAGTGGGGCTCACTAACTCGTATCTACACATGGAAGAACTGAGGCAGGTCAGGGTGGCAGGCTCAGTCCTAAAGGATATGGCCAGTGAAGGAAGGCATCAGGGTGTGGAAGTTGATGAGCTCACAAGGGCAGGATTTTCATGATGAGTAAAAGGAGGGAGAATCTCTACGAAGGGAAGCAATGTGAGAACCACAAGAAATCCATCTTGCAGAGACTTGAATGGATGGGAATGTTGGTACTGCACTTTAGAGTTTGTAAAGCCCTTTGCGTCCATTGTATCATTGATCCTCACTGTGTGCCTATGAGGTCACCACCTGTGAGCTCTTTATGTCGTTTTCAGAGATAAGGAACTGGGCTCAGAGAGTAAAGAGGCTCGGCCGAGTTCTCCCCATGAGGAAGTAGTTGTAAGATCAGTTTCGATCACAGCCTTTTCATTTCACCACTTAGTGGAGGGGTTTTCTAAGACTATCGGATGGGAGCATGGGTCTTGATGAGATAGGCTATGGGAGCAGGGAAAGGTTATCAGGCAGATAAGTGACCCAAGTGTTGAAATCTGTGTTTAGAATGACCTTTGTGTAGAATGGGTTGGAGGCAGAAGAGGTAAGCCGGCTGCCTTGGGGGTTGTCATTACATGCTAGGCATGAGATGATGCAGGCCCCAAGGTAGGGAGCAGAGAGGGTGAAAATGAGCAAATGCAGAGGCGAGAACCACAGAGTGTGGCTTAGTACCCCGAGGTCAGGTCTACAGGTCTCCACGGACAATGTACACGTAAAAGTGAAGAACACTCTCTTGGGCTTTTGGTTCTTAATACTCTCTCCATTAAAAAAAAAGTGAAATGTGCATGCCTTTACCTTCTCTTAACTAATCTTGTGATTAAAACAAAAACAAACAATAAACTCCTTCTTTCTCATCCTCTGCTCTGATGGCTGCGGGCTCCCAGCTCTTATTCCACACTGACCTGGTTATCTTCAGAAGGGCAGCTGTGCTCTGGTCTCCCAGAGATGGTTTGCCTTGGCTGTGCTCATCCTGTTAGCTCAGTCCTTCATCCAGTGACTCCCTTTTAAATGGCCCTGGCATGGCCGGTGCTTCTTCAACATGAGGCTGAACTTGCTGGTGGGCATTTGCCAACAATCCTTTCTCTCTTCTCAAAGCGTGTTTGTTTGCTGATCCAGCCAGAGCCTCTCAGTTGGAAAGAGCGGTTATGAAGCTGCCCATGGGGAGATGATGAAAGGAAGCCCCAGAGAGAATGACTCACTCAAGACCACACAACTAGTCAATGGCCAAGCAGAGCAAGTTCAAGTCCAGGATGCCTGACCTCCAGTCCATTGTCATTTCTACTCCACCATCAAGAAAGAGGGGTTGGAGCATCTATTGCTTGGGCAACCCTGAGATTTCCTATATTCAGTTGGTTTTGCCTCTGGTGGAAGCCTGATTTGCTGACTTGGAAGATTTCCATTGATCCTAGGCCTGAAGGAATAGACAGGCCTGGATTTGGGCAGGCAGGATGCACATTAGGCCAGATGTGCAGTGGCCACAGCTGGTTACTCTCTCCTCTGTGACCTGAAGTTGCAGCCAGAAGACCCTGAGTCCCTCCATCCTGCACTCCAGCCAAGCTAACATCTCAACAGTGTGTCTCACACTCTCTCCTTGCTGGTAGGAGCTGCTACTCTACATAACTCATATTCCCTTCTCTAGAATGGACCATCTGTCTCCCCAGAACAACCAGGTGTGGAGGAAGAACTGAAGTAGAAACAGGCTGTCTGCTTGGAAATGGCTCTCCATGTAAACTGCTGAAATTGTATCCCTCTCCGGGTTTCCAGAACAGACTCCAGTCTGTTCGGGCGGCTATAAAAAAATACCATGAACGAGGTAGCCAATAGGCAGCAGAAATGTATTTCTCACAGTTCTGGAGGCTGAGAAGTCCAAGATCAAGGTGCCAGCAGATTCAGTGTCTGGGGAGGACCCACTTTCTGGTTCATAGCAGGTGCCTTCTTGCTATGTCTTCAGATGGTGGAAGGGACAAGGTAGTTCTCTGAGGACACTCATCCCATTTATGAGGGCTCCACCCTCATGACCTAATCACCTCCCAAAGGCCCTACCTCCTAATACCGTCAC
This sequence comes from Homo sapiens, assembly GCF_000001405.40. Classification (NCBI taxonomy): domain Eukaryota; kingdom Metazoa; phylum Chordata; class Mammalia; order Primates; family Hominidae; genus Homo; species Homo sapiens. The sequence goes on along the minus strand of NC_000008.11, from coordinate 20,283,246 downwards.
ATTGGTCACTAAGTTTCGACATATGCATTTTTGGGGGACACAAACATTCAGACCATACAGAACATCCCTTTCTCATGAGACAGTTCCAGAACACATCTGAGCATCCATGAAGTGTCTTCTTTTCAGTCCTGACCAGTGAAGCCACTGGGGAGATCACTGGGTGGAGATACCTTCTCCAGAGCTCTTCTCAAGCCCAGTCAGGCTCTATCCATCCCACTTCTGAGCCCCCAGGGATGCTCCATGGTGCATGAGGATGGAAGAGAAAGTGTCCTATTTTATTCTATTCTATTCAAAGAATTCTATTCTTGAAATATCCAGTGGGACCAACATGTATGAGTATCTACTACTATATGCTAGACATCATCAGACAAGTCCCATGCACTATCACATCCTCTCATCTTTAAAACCCCAGGGTGTAAAGATCAGTGATTTTTAACTGAGAAAGATTTTGCCCCCTACCCACCCACCTAAGGAATATTTGGCAACATCTAGAGACATTTTTAAAGGTAACTACTGGTGGAAAAGGGGAGTGAGTGCAACTGGCACATAGAATGTAGGGGCCAGGAATGCTGCTAAATGTCCTACCACACACAGGACAGCCCCTTACAACAGAGAATTACCTAGCCTTTGTCAATAATGCCAAGGTGGAGAAGCCCAAGCACAACTTAAATGCGAAAGGAAAAACTACAGTTCAAAGCAATTAGGTAGCAGTTCTTACAGCTAGTCAAGAAGGAGCTACGTTACAGTCCTCATCTGTTTGACCTTAGAGCCTATGCTTTTTTGGTCACCAAATGCTCCTGGTGCTCAGTAGCAACTGCCCCCAGGTCATATCTGTCATATCTGTGAGATAACTCATTCTACTGTTTTCCACATGGCCAGCAAACACCATTCTGCATCTGCCAGATCAGAGGCCCAGCAGGCTCAGAGAGCAGCTGCTCAGAGGCAAGCCTTTCCCACCAGTGCTCTGGAGGGCTACAGAGGCATGAGTCGCCACCTCTTCCTCTCTGAAACTTGAAGTCTCTAATGAGTCATTATGGTGTGTGCACATGAAAGGCCTTGTAAGTGCCAGTGAGGGTATTGCCAAGAACCCCATGGCTGTCAAAGGACTGTGGACCCTCGTGGTGACTAGAAAAGGCCCTCTTCATGGAAAGGCAGAACTAGAGTGAGTCTTGGAAGGCTTGGTGGTGGGATTGCAGTACTCAGAGGAGAAGTTCAGGTCCTAACATCAGAGAGAACGGAGCCTGTTTCTGAAGGTCAGGGGGTGGCCAGGGGCTATACTCTGGGGGGCTGGTAGCAGAATCAACTATAATGATAGCTCCATCCTTCCACCAACTCTTTTCTCTCTTATCTCCTGTATTAGTCCATTTATTTTTTCATTGCTATAAAGGAATACCTGAGACTGGGTAATTTATACAGAAGAGAGGTTTATTTGGCTCACAGTTCTGCTGGTTGTACAAGCATGGCCCCAGCATCTGCTCAGCTCTGGTGAGGTCTCAGGAAGCTTTTATCCATGGTGCAAGGTGAAGGGGGAACAGACATATCACATGGTAATAGAGGGAACAAGAGAGAGAGAGGAGATGCCAGCCTCTTTTCAATGACCAGCTCTTGTGCAAACGAATTCAGCAAGAACTCACTCATGACTGTGAGGAGGGCACTCAGCCATTCTTTTTTTTTTGAGACAGAGTTTCACTCTTGTTGCCCAGGCTGGAGTGCAATGGTGCGATCTTGGCTCACTGCAACTTCTGCCTCAGGTGCAAGCGATTCTCCTGCCTCGGCCTCCCGAGTAGCTGAGATTACAGGTGCCCACCACAATGCGCAGCTAATTTTTTTTTTTTTTTTTTGTATTTTTAGTAGAGATGGGGTTTCACCATGTTGGCCAGGCTGGTCTTGAACTGCTGACCTCAGGTGATCTGCCCACCTCAGCCTCCCAAAGTGCTGGGATTACAGGCGTGAGCCACCGTGTCCAGGCCACTAAGCCATTCTTGAGGGATCCACCCCGGTGACCTAAACACCTCCCACCAGGCCTCACCTCCACCCTTAGAGATCAAATTTCAACATGAGATTTGGAGGGGACAAACATCCAAATGATATCCTCTCCCATCTCACAATCTTACCCTTGTCCTGCTTCTGTAATGATTTTCTTCAACCATTCCTATAACCATTACGTTAAAAAATACTGAGTAGACACCGTCTTTGCTGAGTAGCTCAGGGAGAACAACTGTTCTTGCTGCCATTGCAGCCACCCAGGCCCTGGGGAATGATTTGAAAGAACAGATAAGCGAACTGTGAGCTGCAGATCATCAGCCTAGACCTGGCTGGTTAGAGAAGAATTCAGCCTAGAGAGGAGGTAGAAGGTAAGTCTGGGAGGTACTTGTGAGCGGTTTTTTAGAGAGCCTTGAATGCCAGGCTAATGTCCAGGTGGAAGGTAGGGAGTGCAGCTCCCAGAACTGGCTGGATCTAAGGAGGAAGGATGGGAGGAGGAGAGCTGGGTCTGTCCGGAGTGATGTCGCTGACAGTGCTTTAAGGAAGGGAACTGTCAGGACCACCCTGCCCCTTCCTCCCTCCCTGCTCTGCTGTGCCCACCAATTCTCCTGGCACTTCTTGAAATAACATTAGCGCAATCGACTCCCCAGCTATTAAAGGGGAAGGCAGTTCCACATTCAGGCGGTGCTGCTTTTTTATTTCAAGTGTTCTCACTGCTAATGGGACATGGGGTCTGAACACATGTGCACGCGCCTCCGTGCATGTGGCAGCGGGAGGAATTATCCCCATGAATGTCAATGAATGGGCAGGGACAATGAGGTACAGTGAATGAGCAAGTTGTAAGGGGGCCTTTCACAGAGGTCTGAATGACAAGTGAACTCTGAAGAAGACTGCCAGCAGGAACACGAGCCACATCCAGAGAATGAGAGAGGACTGTTACGCCTGACAAAGCCAGGCTGCGGGAAGAGCCAAAGTCCTTCCAATTAGCACTATTACTGGGCAGATGAAAGCAGAAGGAAGGGTGCACCCTTATTGTGGGCTACTCTAAGAAGATCAGGGCCGATTCTTCGAAAGAAAGAACTGAGAAAACGAGGGAAATCCAGCCTCATCTGGGGTTGGGGTGGTACCTAAGGGAATAAGAGCAAGCACTTTCACTGTCTCCTGTGTAGGAGGATGGCCTAAGGCCTCCTTCACCTCTTTTCTCGGTCAGTAGCAATTCTACTTCTTGGGATGGAAGTGAAATCAGGAAAAGAAAATTCACTGGCAATTTCAGCAATTTTTTTTTTTTTTTTTTGAGACACGGTTTCTCTCTGTCACCCAGAGATCATGGCTAACTGCAGCCTCAACCTCCTGGGCTCAGGTGATCCTCCCACCTCAGCCTCCTGAGTAGCTGGGACTACGGGCATGTGCTACCATGCCCAGCTTATTTGTTTGTTTTTATTAGAGTTGGGGTCTCACCATGTTTCCCATGCTGGTCTCAAACTCCTGAACTCAAGCGATCTGCTCACTTTGGCCTCCCAAAGTGCTGGTATTACAGGCATAAATCACCATGCTCAGCCTCTTTTTTTTTTTTTTTTTTTTTGAGACAGGGTCTTGCTCCATCACCCAGGCTGGAGCTCACTGCAGCCTGGAACTCCTGGACTTAAGCGATCCTCCCACCTCAGACTCTCAGTAGCTGGGACTTCAGGTGCATGGCACCACGCCCAGCTAATTTTAAAATGTTTTGTAGACATGGGGGGTCTCACTATGTCACCCAGGCTGGTCTCGAACCCCTGGCCTCAGGCGATTCTCTCAATTCAGCCTTCCAAAGTCCAGCAATTTCTGAGGCAAATAGCTAGATGTCTGCTATTTTTTATTTTCCTGTCACCAGCCCACTAACACATCTTCCAACTTCTTTGAGCCTCTCTGATTTCCCTCCCTCCTTCCTTGGATGGCTGTTTAGCTGGGTAAATGGAGACAAAACAATGTTAGTCTTCAAGAAGCCCAAAGACTAGCAGAGGGGATAGACAGATAAAGAACAGGTTACTTCAGAAACAGAATGAAATCAATTCTCTAAGAGTTTCAGTCTGCCATTGTACAATGACAGACAAGGCAGCAAAGAAAACATAGGATGGCTTCCTGGAGGAAGTGACATTTGAGCTGGACCTTGAAGGATGGGTTTTCACAGGCAGAAGGCTGGAGATATAGGGAGAAGTTTTGTGAAAGAGATTCTAGGTTGTGCCTGTGGCACATGAGAGCATTATGTGCTGAGTGGCATTTGGAAGAAATGGTGAGAAAGCACTGACAGGTGACAGGACAAATAAAACTGGCAATTGGGGTTGGGACCCAGGGCATAAAGGGTCATGAATGTACTGCAGGGAGTGAGTACAGATCTCCGAGGAAGGAAATTAAGACAATTATTGGAGAGAGGAGAGGCTGGAAAAGAACCTGAAGCTGTCAAGTCTGTGTTTTAGAAAGGCAGTGCCTAGTTGCTGCAATGTGGAAGATCTATTTGAGCTAGGAGAGAACTAAGGCAGAAAGTCCATTCATTCATTCATTCATTTGATGAATATGTATTGAGCTCCATATTAGCAGCAGCAAATCCATACAGGCCTGCAGCAACCCCAGTTCTTGCCTCCTCAGAGAAAGAATTAGACAGAGGAGGTATAAGGCAGAGTGAGAAACTGAGGCAAGTTTTAGAGCAGGAGTGAAAGTGTATTAACAACTATCAGGGCAGGAATGAAATGGAGTGAAGCACGCTTGTAAGAGAGCCCGGTGGGAGGCCTGTGAGAGAGTCAAGTGTACGGTTTGACCTTTGACCTGGGGTCTTATGTTGGCATCTTCCTGTTGCGTTATTTCCTCCTGATTCTTCCCTTTGGGTGGGCTGTCCACATGCACAGTGGCCTGCCAGCACTTGGGAAGGGCAAATGCTGTACCTGCACCGTGGGTTTACTGAAGTTGTGTGCATGCTCATTTGAGGAATTCTCCACTTACCTGTCTCGTTCCTAGAGGAAGGTAATATACCAGTTATACCATTTTGCCTCTTAGTGCGCATGCTTGAACCCACACACCCAACTGCTGAGATCTTATCAGGAAGCTGCTGATCACCAGCTTCAGGTGTTTCTATCTACTGGGAGACTGCCTGTCCCTGGCACCAGCTGTGACCAATTATTATTTCAGCGACACACTGTAACAACCACCTGACCATCTGATGGTCACCTGACATTCCTGGGTTGGGGACTCTCCTGCCCTGCTCATGCCTGCCCGACTACCTACTGTAACACAACTATGTGCCAGGCGCTGTGCTAAGTGATACATACAGTGGTGAGCAAGACGTTCCAAGGTGCTCATAGTAGATGGGAGTGTTTCCACACACACATTATCCTGCTCCCAGCCTTCCCTCCAGTCCCAGGGTTCCCAAGCTCTGCACCAAGCTGGAATTGGCATTAGACACAGCAAGTCCTACTGGGAAATGGCTAGGAGGCTGACAAATCCTGCTGTTTTGGATCTTGCACCAGATTCTTGGCACTATGGTGCACAGAAACAGAGAAAAGGGTGCTTTTAGGACAGTTCGCCCACCTGGAGTTGCTGGAATTTTCTAACACCCCACCCTACTTCCTCCAACTCATAGATCAGCCTACAAAGTGAAAATCCACAGTTAAAGGCCCAGTTCTTAAACCATTTCTTGGTTTGTCCTGTTGGAATTAATACCAGCCTTATATACTTGTTACTGGAAAGAGGTCCTAATCCAGTCCCCAAGAGAGGGTTCTTGGACCTTGCTCAAGAAAGAATTCAGGGCAAGTCCATAAAGTGAAAGCAAGTTTACAAAACAAAAGAATGGCTACTCCATAGGCAGAGCAGCAGCATGGCTGTTCAGCTGAATATACTTATAGTTATTTCTTGATTATATGCTAAAAAAAGGGGTGTATTATTCATGAGTTTTCCGGGAAAGGGGTGGGTACTTCCCAGAACTGAGGGTTCCTCCCTTTTTAGACCATATACGGTAATTTCCTGACATTGCCAGGGCATTTGTAAACTGCCAAGGCACTGCTGGGAATATCTTTTAGCATATTAATGCACTATAATTAGCATATAATGAGCAGTGAGCACGACCAGAGGTCACTCTCATCACCATCTTGGTTTTGGTAGGTTTTGGCCTGCTTCTTTACCACAGCCTGTTTTATCAGCAAGGTCTTTATGACCTGTATCTTCTGCCTACTTCCTGTCTCATCCTGTGACTTAGAATGCCTTAACTTCCTGGCAATGCAGCCCAGTAGGTCTCAGCCTTATTTTACCCAGCCCCTATTCAACATGGAGTTGCTCTGGTTCAAATGCCTCTGACATGCTTACCCTTAATCCTAATGTCCAGTATTGGGAGCACCTTTAATAAATAAACCGTTTTCCTCTGATCTAACACCGTAACAATCAACCCAGAAGACTTCTATTACCACATATGTGGGGTTTTCCCAACCAACAAGAAAACAATCAGCTCTGCAGAGGACCCTCTGATGTTCTCTCATTCAGTTCATTTATGGCACTACCTACCTGGAGATTAATTCACCAGGTTGTTTCACCAATACTTCTGACTGGCTATAAATTGGAGTTCCCATGACCCCAGCCTTGGGTTTGATTAATTTGCTAGAGCAGCTCACAGAACTCAGTGAAACACACTTACTGATTGATTGTACAGGATATTACAAAGGATACAGATGAAGAGATGCGTAGAGAAAGGCAGGGGAGAAGAGGTGGGGTGCTTCCATGCCCTCTCTGGGCACGCCACCCTCCAAGACCCTCCAGGTGTTCAACTATCCAGAAACTTCCTGAGCCCTGTCCTTTTGGGTTTTTATGGAGGCTACATTGCATAGGCATGATTGATTAAGCCATTGGCCATTGGTGATCAACTTAACCTTCAGCCCCTCTCTCCTCCCCAGAGGTTAGGGGCAGTGGCTGAAAGTCCCAACCATCTAATCCTGCCTTGGTCTTTCTGGTGACCTGCCCTATTCTGAAGCTACCAACCATCAGTCAAAAAAAAAAAAAAATCACTCTGGAGACTCTAAGGATTTTAGGATGCCAGGAAATGGGGTCAAAGACCAAATATATATTTTATAATATCATAGTCATCCATTCATTAAACCAGCGTATCTTAAAATGAATCTATCCCAGGATTATATTATTTCTTGATAACCTATAGGCCTCTTAAACATTTTCTTTATTTTTTGGAAGTAGTTATAATGGGGGAGTAGGTAGGGGGCTACTAGCTTTATAGACTTCTCCTCCCATTAAAATGTGCTCCAGTCCCAAAAACCTGCCTTCATTTCTGCAGGCTACACCATTTCTTCTACCCATGTTGAAATGCACTCAACCACATACCTCCTTTCTTGCAGCTAAGCCCTGACTCCTTTTAGTTAATAACAGTTCACCCCGGCACGTGACATCTGCAAAAAAGAAATCCAATCCTCATAACCAGCAGTTATGATACAGTCACTGCAGTAAGCTCCTACTGCTGTCCTTGCCCTGCACCCTCACCCTTCCCCACAGGGCCCCTTCTCTCTGCCCAGTCACTCATTTGCATCACAATGGAGGTCCTCTCCGGAGTCCCAGTCTTAACCCCTCCCTCTGCTGCTAGGACTGGACCCACCAGCACTTTCCATCTTCCTCGTCCTTCCTTGTTTCCTTCTCTTTCTCCTCTCTTACCCCGAGATTGCCCCTTACCCTTTAGGATTCCCTCACCTATGCCTTCTTAGATTTTTTCTCCTGCTTAGGCCCTTCCCCAACTCCCAGCCCACCTCTCTCTGGGGTCTGCAGGAAAGCTTCTCCCGGGTGGGGGAAGTAAGGCTGGGAGCTAACCCATATGGACAATTCTTTTTTTTTTTTTTTTTTGAGATGAAGTCTTACTCTGTTGCCCAGGCTGGAGTGCAGTGGCGCGATCATCTCGGCTTACTGCAACCTCTGCCTCCCGGGTTCAAGTGATTCTCCTGCCTCAGCATCCCAAGTAGCTGGGATTACAGCTGCCCGCCACCACACCCAGCTAATTTTTGTATTTTTAGTAGAGATGGGGTTTCACCATGTTGGCCAGGCTGGTCTCGAATTCCTGACCTCAGGTGATCCACCCGCCTCAGTCTCCCAAAGTACTGGGATTACAGGCTTGAGCCATGGCGCCCAACCATAATTCTTTCTGTCCCCAGTTAATGAGTTATCCATCTCTTCCACACACATTAGTATCTGTCCCCCACCCACTGCCCTTCAGAGACTTCCCTCCAGGAAGCGAATATCACAATCCTGAGAGGTAATCCCATTGAGACACACACACACACACACACACAGTATCATGGCAGCCACTCTATCTTTGTTTTTGATCACAGCGCTCCAAGGAGCCCACTCAGTGAGGGACCAAGGGTTAGGTCGAGGGGTCACTGAGAACTAATTCAATCTTTTGTACAAATCCTAACTTCCAGTTTAGGTGGGGCCACCAATGCATCCCGCTTTACGAGGACTTTCCTGGTGATTTAGCACTGACATCCCACATCCCAGAAATTCCCACAGTCCCAGGCAGATCAGGACAGTTGGTTGTGCTGTGTCCCAGATTATTTTCACAAAGTGGAGCTTGGAGTGCAGAAAAGCTCGACACCAAGGGAGTGTTGACGCTGGTACACGCACTTACGCCCCATTGGGTTACGCTGTCCAGCTGTAATCTTATCTCCACATAAGGGGGGTCTAACACTCAGGCCCACAGACTCCAACACGCCCACAGGCTCGGACCCAATGCTCAGGCCAGAGTGCCACTGAGGCATGAGTGCCCACATGGAGAAGCCTCCATCACACACCGGGATGGAGATGATTGCCGCTATGCTCCAAGCTACCTAGTGTATTCCAAGGGGTTCCCTAGGATGAGGAGAAGGGATGAAAAGTTCGTAAACACCCACTGTGTAGAGTGTTTTATGGTGTTGCATTTGGGAAAGGGTAGCTGGTAGAACATAGGCACCATAAAATAAAATACGATGCATAAACACACGCTTATCCATTCATTCAACAAACAAGCACTGAGTCTTGGGCCAGAAGGTACTGCGCTCGAAGCTGGGAGTACAGTGTTGGGTGAAAAACAGTCTTGCCATCTACTGAGAAAGAGCTCAAAGTAGAGAGCAGCTGTGCTACAGAGTGATTAATGCCCACTGTAAGAACACGCAGAAGGGGCCTCACAGATACGGGAAGGCTTCATAGCAGAAGAGTGCCTTCTGAGCAAAGTCCCAGGGGCTTTGGGCCTAGGGAGCAGCGTGGGAAAACCTAGGGCAGGGTCTGAGGGAGAAAATGACAGATTTACAAACTCCAGTCTCAGAATAGAGGGCGGGCAGGCCTGGGGAGGGGAGGAGAGGAAGTGGTGGCGGATGACATGAAGATACAAAGATACAGAAAGTCCCAGTCATGAAGGCCTTCTCTGCCATGTTAGGACATTTGGGCTTTATTTTTGGGGCAATAGGGTAGCCTTGGGAGAGCTAGGAAAAAAAAAAACAAATATAACAGGTCTATTAATTTCCCAAGGGAACTATGATAGCAACTTAGACTAAGACAGTGGCTATGGAATCTCAGGGAAATGCTGGTTTTGAGGAAAAGCAATAGTGAGACAGGGCTTGGTGGCTGGTCAGATGTAGGGTGAGGGCTGAGTGGGAATCAAAAGTTCCTGGTTTGCTTAGGTTTCTTGGGACCGGTTTCTGGCTTGATCACAGTTGTGCTGTTCACTAACACCGGGATTCCAGAAGGAGGGGCACGCTGAAGGCAGATGGATCCTGGCAAGCAAGAGAGAATGAAGAATTCCACTGTGGATGTGCGAGGGTGAGATGTGGCCCCTCCGAGGGAAGCGCAGTTGGATGTTTAGGGCAGGAGCTCAGGGGAGAGGATTTGGCTGCAGATAACGATCTAAAAATCATCCCCATGTGGATGCAGCTGACGCCGTGCAGAAGGAGCAGAGGTCAGGGTCTCAGATACAGCCTGAAAAGCATCCACATTTAGAGAATGAAAGAGGTAAAGGTGACAGAGGACAGGCTGCGCAACAGGAGGAAAGCCAGGCAATCACGGTATCACATAAGCCAAGGAAGCAGTGTTTCAAAAAACACAGACCGAAAAAGAAAGAGACAGAGCCGCCGAGAGGTCAAGTTTGCTAACTATTGGGAAGGTCCATTGGATTTAGCAACATCCCGGAGGGCAGTTCTAGTGGATTGGTGGGGACAGAAACCAGGGCCTCTGTGGATTGAAGAGCCAATGAGAAATGATCGAGCAGCAATAGTGAGTATGATGTTCTGTCTCTCTCGAGAAGCTTGGCTGTGAACGGGAGAAAAAAGACAGTGGTCCCTGGAGAAGAAAATGGAGTCCAGGAGCTTGTATGTTATTTTTGAATTGGGAGACTTGTGCACGTTTAAATGCTCATGGGAGAGAATAATAGAAAACTGGAAGTGAGAAGGTTGGCGTTGACGAGAGTCACGCCATGGCTGGAAGGATTAGTCTGAGATGAAGACAGACTTCTGTTTCACGGTGACAGGCACAGAGGAGGCAGCAGTCATGTCAATTGCAGGTTTATGAGTTCAGGGAATTGAGGGAGTTTCCTCCCAATGATTCTACTTATCTCTGTATTATAGAGATGAAGTTGTCTGCAGGGAGTGTGGCAGCAGAGGTGGGTACAGGGCTTTGTAAGTGGCAAAGGACTGATAAGATTTGAGAAATGCAACAGGGAGCAGGAGAAGCACAGGGCAGCTAGGGGGTCTTGATTCTAGGGTCCCCATCGGCATCTGGGCTCAAAAAAGAGTTCCATGTCTAGTGGACAAAGGCACCACTTCAAAATACAAAGACCACCCAGCAGGGAAAACCAATGAGGACCTGATCTGGGAAGGGGGGTCAGGCTCAGAAGGGAGAATTGGGCATGAGCAAAGCCACAGGGGAGGAAAAAAGCAAGACAGGCCCTTGAGGGTGGTCAAGGGACACCAGTAAGGTCACTCTGGAGGTCAGATGCGACCCAGAGTATCAGCAGCTGCACATCGTGGATCAGTCAAGAAGCAGGCCCAGTCATTCTAGCCTGAAATAGTGGGAGATGACCTGGGAAGACAGGTTGGGCTTAGATTGCATCGGACCTTGAATGCCAAGTTAAATGTGTCCATTGTCTGACATGATTCATGACATGATTCTATTAAGGCAGATTCTGTTCTGCTCAGTGCTATGCCTACAGGGCCCTGATGGAGACTGTGCACAATAAATGTTCAATAAGTACTTGTGAATATTGAAAAAATGCACAGGTGCTCCCAGCAGCTCACCCCTCCAGTGGCTGTTCTTTCTACCTGTCAAAGCCTGTGCTGACACATATACTGGGAGGTGACCCCCAGCTGCGGCTGCCCCACCAGGCACATCAAGCCAGGCCCCGGCCCTGCTTTCACCTGGCTCGCCTATGGCTAGTCTGTCCAGCAGCCGCTGTGCACCCACCAAACCACAGGCAATGGAAATGCATAGTCTTGGGTTTGAATTCTTAACAGAGCATAGGACTGGCATTGCTTTATTCAGACACAGTCAAGGAAGGCAAGGGGGAGGGAGAGGCGCTTTTCCACCATCCCTGCACTGGTGAAGCAGCCGCGGTCAGGGAGGTTGTTCCTGGCAGAGGGAAGAGTAGGTGGGAAAGAACCGAGAGGATGGCAAGTGGGGCCTATGAGTCACTCAGCGTCACCGGGGCCAGAAGGGCAAGGAGGTTCAGAAGCAAAGTGGGAGTGACCCCGAGCATCTACAGGTGGCTCTTCGGAGCCTCTTTAAGCACCTCTGGCCTTGCTGCTGGTAACACTCACCAGGAAGGTTCATGGAGACAGAGGGGGCACAGCTGAGGGACTTAGGTGGCAGCTGGGGGTCAACACTGCAGGAGCCCTGGGCTTCCAACAAGAGGTTAATTATCTCACTGTCAGGGGCTGTGGGGTCCACAGACTCCAGGAGAGTGGAAACACGGCCGGATGCTCAACCCAGGCTCAGCGGCTCCTGGGCTAAATGTGAGGCTCTAGTTCACTGAGAAGCCTTGCAGGAGGAGGCAAGGAGCTTGAGGAATCAGGGCAGAGGTGACACAGAAGTCAAAATTCCTCAGCCAGACACATCAAAGGGTACCAAGAGAGCTTTAACTCAGGACAGGTAGAGACTCGTTGGGAATGGCCACAGGCTTCCTGGCTTGTGCACACAGACTCCCATGCTGTTGAGCACACAAAAATACACTCAGGCACACACAGACAGTGCCAGGTACCCAAAGCTGCCCTCCCTGAGGGACCAGGTTAAACTCTTCGTGCCACGCCAGGTCATTTCCAGCACCCAAAGTCAGGAATCTGAGCTGTGCTTCCTGCTGGGGCTTCCTCAATTCCAATCCTTTCTGGGTTCCGAAACCCAGAAATGTGAAATCAACCAGGTCTCCCTGTTCCACCCCTTCCCTCTCCACACACACAAACACACACACACACACACACACACACACACACAGAGGACACACTCGGTGCATCTAAAAGATGAGCCCTACTGAAGTAGGGGTGAGGGGTAAGGCCAGAAGGGGAGGGAGTGTCTTTAAGACTTGTACTGTGTTTCCCCCACCCTTCCTCCTGTCCCACACCTGCCCACCTCCTGGAGGAGTCTGCGCCTTTTGTCCTAAGTTCTCCCTCTTCCCTGTCCAAACCAAAGCCCTCCTGGGTATGGCAGAGGTGGCAGAGGGCTTTCCAGCCTTCCTGCTTCTTTCTACTCTGTCTTGCCACCTCTGTCCTTCGCCATACTCTTGCCCCATCCAAACTCACAAGCTCCAAAGTTCCCTTAATTTTCCCTGGAAAGACAGCACTTATCACCTGCCCTCAGCTGCTGTTGATGGCTGATGACACGGGAAGCTGCAGGCTGCTGGGGTGCAGGGTGGGGGACTTGGCTTCATCCTTGGTCTGATGGGAGTATTTTTGTAGCAGCGCCTCTCAGCATAGAATGCTCTTCCCCCTCCACCTATGCCTCCTTCCTGCTCTGTTGTGGAAGAACGATGTAAGAGGAAAGCACTGGAGAGGGAGCTGGGGGGTCAGGCTTCCAGCCCAGCTCTGCCCCTGCCTTGCTGAGTGGCCTAGGACATGCCACCTACGCTCTGTGGGCCTCGCGGCGCACTGAAGCATCGCTGGCCTTAACAGCTTTTCTCCATTCTGTGGTTCCATCTGTGATCTGGTGCCAACGCATTTGACTGCCTGGGACGCCTGGTCTTGCCCACTCAGGAAGGGCCTCAGGCATAGATGGAGTAAGGAGGTGGGTACCTCTGTAATGCCCTGAAGGGGCCCCAACACCCTCTTTCTGCTTGAGGGTGCCCGTTAGTGAGAGGCTCCCATGCCCATCCCATCTCCTGGCATGAAATGGAGAGTCGTGCACCTGCTGCACTTCCCTCCATGGAAGACCCTGGTCTAGAGAGTGAAGAGGACCACAGTGTGGACCTGGGGACAGTGAAGGAAGATCAGAATTTTGGAGAGAGGGGAGGTACAAAGGCATCCCACAAAGTCAGAGATCTGCTGAGAGAGTTCCCATCCAATTTAGGGTTGTCGGATTTGCCAAAGGCTAACCAGGTGTCAACCTGCCTAGGGAGCTCACAGCAGCTCCACTCCCCTTCTCCTTGCCCATGCATGCCATCGCTCAGTTTCCATTGATTCTTCCGTACTGAACCTGAACTTGGCCTCAGAATACCGACTTGATCAATGGGTAAAACCTATGTTTCAGTCTCTGTCCAAGGCCCTGTTGGTTCATGTCGGTTCATCACTCAGACTCAGACCTGGGATCTTTAAATTCACCTTCCAGGGGTGCCCACTTAGTCTCCACTCTGGGTGTTAAAAATCTGGCAGGCAGGGGGCCATCTGCCCCCAACATGCTGGCCTCCAGAGTCCCATCTGCTCCTAGGTTGCAGTCTCTGTCTCTCCAGGTAAGACGGGAGGGAGTCTAGCCAGATGCCCAGCCCTCCTCTGGAGATTGCACCCACTCCCCTGTTTAAGATCTGTATCACGGGTCGTCAGAAGAGGCTCCCTTTATCCAGCGGTGCCCGGCTCACTTGGGCCCTGGGGTCCAAGCCATGAATGTGGATGAGCCTGCCTTCTGCTCTCTCACGTGGGACCAGCCGCAGCACAAACAGCAGCAGGGTGAAATTTGCATGAGCTTTGCATGTAACTGTGGCTTTATTTTTGGAAGGGGGAAGGGCAGGCTGGGATTGGTGGGTAATCTTGTTCTTGGGGAGAAATGTCAATCAATGCTGCTAAGACACAAGCTGCCCACCGGGATGGAGGAAGACTCCCCGGCAGCTGAACGCTGACGACCTGTGCACAAAAGCCCGCCCGGCAGAGTGGCTTTTGATTCCTCCAGAGCAGTGGGAAGCCGAATTGCTTCCGATTGTTCGACCCGATGGAATGACTCAGCCTGCCAGCGATTTCCCTTTCACTTTCTGCCTTTCCATGGAATCCAAGTGCACTTAATTGAGAGCTGCGTGGGCCCCTGCTCCCAACCCACCAGCAGCCTCTCCCCCCAGCACCTCAGCAACCTCAGCCCCTCCTCATGTTGCCCACGTTCCCCCACCCCCTTCCTCCTCCACTCTCGCCTCTTTTTCATTCATGCATTCACTCAGAAAATCTGTATCGAGCTTTGCTCATGTAGGCCTTCAGGCGTCTGCAAACTGAGCACGGGGAGGTTTGCAGCCTGGGCTGAGATGATTAACTAGCTCAAAGGCTCACCCCTGCCCCAGCCCTGGCCCCCAACCCCTTTCCCCCTCATCTAGAGCAGCAAATGGGAGGAAGGGTCAAGGACAAGGAATACAAACAGGAGGAGGAATTCCAGATAAGGAAAGCTGAATCGGGCAGAGTATGTATGGGGGGAGGGGGAACGGGGAGAATCATCATAAAAGGGGAGTCAATTAGCCCTGGGCACGTGCCCCATTCAGCCCCAGAGAGACCTCTGCTGGGGAGCTGGCTGGAGGCCCGCCCACCAGTCTGGTGCAGCCTGGGCCCCCCAGCCCCAGCTGGCAGATGCCTGGGGACTGTTCTCACATCTCTGCAAGAGCAGCTGCCCTCCTGGAGGCCCAGAGGCAGGCCTGGTGAGATGGGAGTGGGGGTGGGGGTGGGGGTGGGGGTGGGGAGTCCTTCTAAAGGACCTGCTCTTTTGACTTCAAGAAATGCGAGGATCTAATTCTAGCATCTTTCCATACTGCTCTATAATTTCACATGCACTTTGGTTTCAGTGCATCCCATGTGTACTGTCCTCACTGGTCAAGCATTTTTTGTATCTGTGATTTCATTTAATCCTGACAGTGGCCGGGCTTTGGTATCAACTGTGCTTATCTGACACATGAGGAAATGGAGACCCTGAAAGATTGAATTGTATGCCTGATGATACAGCAGATCCGTCGGTCTGGGATCTTTTGTCTAGGGCCTAATGCAAACATGCAAGTAAAGTGTGTGCCAAGTGTGAGGTCTGGGCCGGGCGCAGTGGCTCACACCTGTAATCCCAGCACTTTGGGAGTCCGAGTCGGGTGGATCATGAGGTCAAGAGATCGAGACCATCCTGGCCAACATGGTGAAACCCGTCTCTACTGAAAATAAAAAAATTAGCTGGGCATGGTGGCGTGAGCGCCTGTAGTCCCAGCTACTTGGGAGGCTGAGGCAGAAGAGTCACTTGAACCCGGGAGGCAGAGGTTGCAGTGAGCCGAGATCACATCACTGCACTCCAGCCTGGCGACAGAGTGAGACTCTGTCTCAAAAAACAAACAAGCAAAAAAACAAGTGTCTGTTCTGATGAATGATGACTGATGGTTTCCTCCTAAGGCCCTACAACTGTGCTGGCCACATGTAAGAGTAGGCAGGGCCCAGTAAGTGGGTTGAGTGTCCCAGAGCAGGAGTGAGGCAGCACCAGAATTAGAGCTCTGGTTCCCTGACTGCAGCACCGCCCTCCTACCCCAACTCCCGCACCTCTGCTATCCAGCCCCCAACATGGAGACCAGGTCTACACTCTTGGGCTCTCAGCACCCTGGGGACAAAGAAGCAGGAGGAAAAGAACACAAGGACGATGCCAGAAACCAGGGGACCCGACAGCCCAGACAGCATCCTCCACCAGGGTGCCTGAGAGGTGAGGCGGATAAGAGAGTAGCTGTTTTCTTTTTTTTTCTTTTCTTTTTTTTTTTTTTTGAGATGGAGTCTCACTTTGTTGCCCAGGCTGGAATGCAGTGGTGCGATCTTGGCTCACTGCAACCTCTGCCTCCTGGGTTCAAGTGATTCCTCGGCCTCAGCCTCCTGAGTGGCTGGGACTACAGGTGCGCGCCACCATGCCTGGCTAATTTTTGTATTTTTAGTAGAGACAGGGTTTCACCATGTTGCCCAGGCTGGTCTTGAACTCCTGACCTCTGGTGATCTGCCCACCTTGGCATCCCCAAGTGCTGGGATTACAGGTGTGAGCCACCATGCCTGGCCAAGAGAGTAACTTTCACCTCCTTTCCTACAAAAGAAAAAATTAAAAACCGCTCACATGCTAGGGGCAGAGACAAACTGGCTCTAACTCAGCACATTCCTAAGAAAGCTGCATTTTTGGTTAAATTCATGCTGCTTTTTAAACCCTTTTTGTTTAGGTGTACATAGCTGTCAGATCTCTCCACCAGATCCTCAAAAACAGAAACTCTGCCTTGTATTTTTTTTTTGTCTTGGTCCAAAACGCCGAACAGGATTGGTTGTTGAGGAAGGGGGTGGATGCACTTCCCCCAGGTGACCAGTTGTCTCAAAGTCTACATGATGAATGTTTGAGTGAAAACCAGATTTGGGTTCTGGTAGTATAGACTTGGCTTCGGTATCTGCATATGTGGAGACCTCAGTTTAAGTCACATGCCTTCCCAGAGCCTCAGCTTCCCTTCTGTGAACTAGGTCAGTAGTCCCTGTGCCTCCTTATGAGCTGGTTTTATTAAAAATATTTATTGAGAGCCAGGTGTGATGGCTCACACTGGTAATTCCAGCACTTTGGGCGGCCAAGGCAGGAAGATCACTTGAGCCCAGGAGTTTGAGACCAGCCTAGGCAACATAGCAAGCCCTGCCCTGTCTCTGCACAAAATTTAAAAATTAGACAGTTATGGTGGCATATACCTGTAGTCCCAGCTACTTGGGAGGCAGAGGAAGGAGGATCTCTTGAGCCTTGGAGGTTGAGGTTGCAGTGGGCTACAATTGCACCACTGCACTCCAGCCTGGACAAGAGAGTGAGACTCTGTCTCCAAAAAAAAAAAAAAATTGTTGAGCATCTATTATGTTCTTAGTACTGTGTTTGACCCTGTGTGTGATACAAAGAAGCTTTAGTGCTATCTGCCTTCAAGGGGGTTTAAAGATAAGTGGGGTGACAGACTTTCACCCCTGAAAAGTTAGATGATGCAAGAGCTGTGCAGGCTGAGGGCCAAGGGAGCTGAGCACTGAGGAGCAACTGTGGCCAAGGGAACTTCCTGCCCTCTGCGCAGAGCAGGGAGATGGGAGCCAGGCCTGAAACAGGGCTGTATTCTTTCTTGGAAAGGAAGCTGAGGTTTCATGGTGAGATTCAGGGGTTGTTTTCTCCCCTGCCTTTTTTTTTTTTTTTTTTTTTTTTTTGAGACAGAGTCTCTCTGTTGCCCAGGCTGGAGTGCAGTGGCATGATCATAGCTCATTGCAACCTCCAACTCCTAGCCTGAAGCAATCCTCCCACCTCAGCCTACCAAATAGCTGGGACTATAGGCATTGTGGCACTGTGCCTGGCTCATTTTTTTAAAAAATCTTTTGTAGACATGGCAGGGAGGGTCTCACAGTGTTTCCCAGGCTGGTCTCGAACTCCTGACCTCAAGCCATCCTCCTCCCTTGGCCTCCCAAAGTGTTGGGATTATAGCCATGAGCCACCATGCCTAGCTGAGATGCAAGTTCTTTATGAGAGGCCTTGCTCCTCTTTTTCTCTGCAGTCAACACGATGCCTGCCATGCCGCTACCCTGGGGGACAATGTGAATGAATAATAGTGAGTGTGAAGTGCTCCAGGTTGCACAGATGGAACTGAGCATGAAAAAGCGAAGGCGTGGTTCCCATGGCTAAGATTAGAAATTACCCTGGGCTGGTGATGCCGCCCCAGTGGGAAGGAGAGAGCTACAGGCAGAACTCTGATCCCTGCCCGGCAACCTACCAGCCATTCCTGCAGACAGCTTGCTCCCCGACCTGGGACAGCAGCTGCAGCCTCCTCTGCCTTCCCAGCACTTGAACCCACAGGGTGACCCTCTCTGATTCAAGCAGCACCGTGAGCCCAACAGGCTGAACTCCCATTTGTATCAGACAAACTGACACACACACGTACACACCCCACATCCCCCCTTTCCACACGTGCCCTGGTAGATCAGGGGCTGCTCTTTCTCCCGTTTCCCTCTTCCCCTCAGCTGGAAATGAAACCCAGTTGTCCCTGTCCTGTTAGTCAAATAGACAGAATAAAGGGTTGGAGCCTGGAATTTGTGATATGAGCTTGGCAAATCCCTTTTCCGCTCTGGCCTCAGGGTGTAGTGAAGCATTTGGGGCAGAGGACGGCCGAGGTCCTGCCTGGCTGGTTGTGCCTCGAGTTCCAGGCTGCCTCAGAGCAGGGGGCTCCTCTGTACCTGCAGCAGGTCAACCCCTCTGCTCAGCCAAAGCTCCTTCACCACACCTGGTCACAGGGCTCCTCCCTGGGCCTCATTTCTGCCAGTGCCCCTCTTCTGAGTAACAGCAACTTCTCCTCCCCTCCCCCAGGGTAACACAGCCAACTGTGACTCAGGGGCTCTCTGTCTCACTGCCGCTGCCTTCCTTTGATATCTTGGCTAATAGAGGTCCTAGATGTCGTCTCTCCTGCACAGTTTAAGGAACGGGGCTTTAAAAACTGACAGCTTCTGAGACCCCCAATAAAATAAATCTTAGTAAAGCTTTCATACGTGGAAAAATAATCATATATAAGAGGGTTTTTGCAACAGAATGGAAACATCTAAGTAGGGAATAGTAAAAGAAATGAGGTGGAATATTACACAGCAGGTAAATGGGAAGATCTAGCTCTACATGCTGTCAATATGCATGGATCCGAAGTATCAAATAAAAGGTCGAATAAAACAATTAAGGTTGCAGAATGATATATATGACATGATATGACTTATGTAAAGTAAAAAACATATAGCATTCATAGACGTTAAAATATGTTTAATGATCCAAAAATGTTCCCACTCAAATCATGAGAATTTTCCACCTGGGGAGAGAGATTAGGGGTGGGAGTGGGGAGAAGGAATAGGGAATGGGGACTCCAGCTCTGAGATGTTTGTTTCATTTCTGAAACAAATATGGCAACATTTTAACAATTGTCCATTCTGCACGGGGTACTTGGGTTATTTTTGTACATATTTCCATATCTCAAAAATTTATTAAACACAAGGAAAAGGAAGCTGCCCTGTGGGGTGTCCGATGAGCATCAGGCGAGCCTTCGGGAGACACTGTTCCCTGAGCCCTGCTTGCCAGTCCAGAGGGCCTGCCCCTCTGACCACCCAGACCCCTTCTTCCACCCCGCGCCCCACTTTGAGTGGTCTAAGGTCCGCCCACCTCTTGGGGATTGGAGCGGCTGCAGGCTGGAGTCTGTGTGGAGGGATGGGGCTGCCTTGAGAGGATGCAAGGCATTTGCTTTAGTTTCACTTCCAATGGTCTCTCCAGCTCCTGAAGGGAAGCAGGGAGTCGTTAAAGTGAAGTCAGTAATCCAAGACCACGTTATTTGTTCCTCTCCAAAGTTCATGTTCTATCCTCCAGAGCAGGATGTATGAATGTTTTTAAACTAGGTCAATCAAGGGGCATTAGGGGTCAGGAAACCCTTAGAAGTCAGAGCCAAAATGTTGGAGGAGGGTGCGTTTTTCTGAAGAGGGGGTTGACAGCTCTCATTAAATTCTTAAGAGGTCTCAAAAAAAAAAAAGACTGAAATGAATCCAGACCCTCGTGTTGTGGTTGGAAACTGAGCCCAGAGGGGCCTCGAGGCTCTGCACCAGTGAAGGGAAGACCCACATCTCCCCGCCCAGTCTCCGCCTGCTTCCAAGTTCAAGGCGGTCGTGGGGTAGGCAGTGGCACTAAGACCTCTGTGGCCAGGCCAGCTTCTGCCCTGGGAGTCCAGCCCCGCAGCTCTTCTCAAATCAACAGAGCATCTCAGAGAGCTCTTCTGGGGAATAATAATGAGAAAGAATACTAACAATGACCAGCAATGGGGACTTTTCAAAATAGTTTCTAAGCTCCTACTTCTTTTCCTCTCCCTACTGAAGTCATGTGGCAGGGCCAGTATGGTTGCCTTCATATTACAAGTGAGGAAACTGAGGCATAGAGAGGTTACGTAGCATGTCCACGGTCACACTGAATCAGTGACTCAACTGGGGTTTTAAACTCATATTTTCCTCCTCTTCCCCCCAAACCAAGTTTCTTAACCACAGAACCGTTGACATTTTGGGTGAAATCATTCTTTGTCGTGGGGCTGTCATGTGCATTCATTGTAGGATGTTTAACAGCATTGCTCGCCTCTACTCATGGAATAACAGTAGCACCCCCATCATGACAAGCAAAAATGTCTTGTCTCCAGGTCCTGCCAAATTACCCCCATTTGAGAACTGCTGCTCTGACACCAAGCCCAAGTTCATACAGACCTCAGCACCTTTCTTTGCACATGCTGTTCCCGATAAGGGCATCATTTTACAAAACCACTTTATCAGGCTGGCTCTTCTCGAATGTCATCTTCTCAGAAGCTTTCCTGGCCACTCCATCTAAAGTAGTAGACACACATGCACACGTATACACACACACGTTCACACATGCACACACAAAGACGTGCACACATGAACACACACTCACACACCTGTCCTCCCTGTCTCTCTGGCTTTTATCTACCATTCACTAAATATACTCCTTCCTTCTCCCCTCCCCTCTTCCCCACCTGATCCTCTACATTTTGCACAGTACTTAGCCCATGTCAGATGCTGAATAAATATTTGTTGAAGAAATGACTAAATGTTCCCCCACAGTGCAGCCCCATCAGCTCAGTCCTGCCAACAGGCTACTTGGCACAGCAGTTATTCAGGACACACTTGGCTGGGTGGGCTTGGGGAGTGGCCAGCACAACACTTTGCATCGTTGTGGGCCTGCAAAGGGCAAAAGTTCTGGGGGGGAATGGATGGGGTAAAGAGGGGCAAGTGCAGACTGCAGAGATGCCAGAAGCACAGCACAGCCGTGAGCTCACCGCTGAGTGCTGGTGGGCTTTCCCCCTGCTCTTTGCAGCTTAGGGGAGGAGGTGTGGGACGGAGAGGGGGAGAAGGAGGGAAGGATGTCAGGGAGCAGGAGGGGAAATAACAGAAGCTGAGTGGGAGGGAGGAGGCAGGAGGCGGGGTGGCTGGAGGCTGAACATCTCCGGCTGGGGGAGTGACCCCTGCTCACTGCATGGCGGCAGAGGAGGAGGAGGGCGTGTGTGAATCCTCCACTTCCTTTCCCAGCCAGAACCCGGGACTTGGCGTGGGCCAAGGCATAGCTGCTTCAACTCATGGGAAGCCAGACTGTTGGTTTGGGATGAGACGATGAGTCAGGTTAGTTCACATCTCTCTGCATCCAGAAAGACACTTTGCAACTCCATGCCTCTCTCTCCACATTCCAGAAAGGGACCATCAGAGGCAGGTGTCACTTTGCCTTGAGCCTTGGTTTCCTTTGGGAGGGAGAATGCAGAAGGGGGCTGGGGATGGGGCAGCTCAGGTGCTCCCACTACTTTTGAGTAGAAGCCGCTCAAAAGTGAGGGCTTTCTGCAATATCCCGGGCCCCTCCCCGTCCTGGTGGAGCAGCCATCCACAGTGCAGGTGGGCTAGTGGAGGGGAGGTCATGTCAGGGAGGGGTGTGAGGGCTGGGACTGGTCCTGGGGCCAGATTCTGAGAAGGGTAGGCTGGATGGTCCCAGCTGCTTTGGGTTTCTTTTCTCTTTTTCTCTCTTCTCTTAAGGTCTAAAGTCCAACTCTAGCTGGATTCCTTCTGTAGGAGCTCACGTAGCATGCCATGTGGAGTGTGAGGCTCTGTGGTTCCTTTACCTTCTCTCCATCCTTCTTCCCTCCTCCTGTCCCCTTCCTGAATCCCCAACATCTATGTGATTTCTTATTTTCACCCCAAATACGTGCTCCCAGTCAGTAGGAATTTGTTTCCCAGAAATAAAAATGTGTCTGTTGACCCTGTCCTTATGGAGGGCAGAGACAGCAGGTTGGACGGGGGCAGGTGAGAAGATGGATTTGGGAACCAGGATGGAACACAGCCGAGTTTTGTGTAATGCTCTCTCCAAGTTGACAGTGAAACAAGTCTAGACACTTAAAGGTGATTAGCTTAGCTTCAAGTGGATCCCAAACTCTCCTCAAACTTCAAAGCTCCTCTGTGTGTCAAGACCTGGGGAGTGGCCAGCTGGGTATCGGGGCTAAGGGATAGGAATGCTCTCAGGAGGACTGGAGGTGGCCATTCTTCAGTCACCCCTCTCCTGGGCTCCTGGCATTGTCCATCTTCTACCTCTTGACCCTCTAGGATGCAGCACAGGGCTGCTGCCCAGGTGAATGACACAGCTTCTGAGTGCCTACAATCTTGTTGGCATTGGCCCAAAAGGGAAATGAAGCTCGGCTAGAGAAGTCTGCTTTTGATTCCTCCTCTAGGCTTCCTCTTCCCTAACCCAGGAAGCTCATTTTGCTATCTGGGACAGAAACCCTAACATCTCTGGGCCTCACCTACAGTCCCCAATTGCAGCGTGCGATTTTAGCATGGAGATTGTGGCATTTGGGCCTGGGTTCGAATCCCACCTCTGTCACTGGTCACTGAGTGGCCAGGGCCACGGCATCCCACCTTGTGAGTCTGTGCCTTAGCCTCCCTTTTTTTGTTCTAGGAGCTCTAGATACAAAAACCTTTACTCTCAGATTCTGGTAGAGATACACACAATAAACCCTAAATTTGCAGTGAGCTGAGATTATGCCACTGCACTCCAGCCTGGGTGACAGAGTGAGACTCTGTCTCAATTAAAAATCAATCAGTCAATCAATCATCAATAAAATAAGATATGACTGGGTGTGGTGGCTCACACCTGTAATCCCAGTGCTTTGGGAGGCCAAGGTGGGAGGATAGCTTGAGGTCAGGAGTTTAAGACCAGCATGGGCAACACAGCGAGACCCCTGTCTCTACAAAAGAATTATTTAATTAGCCAGGAGTAATGGTATGTGCCGTCATCCCATCTACTCTGGGGCTAAGGTGGGAAGATCACTTGAGCCCAGCAGCTGGAGGCTGCAGTGAGCTGTGATCACTGTTACCTACTGCAGTCCAGCTTGGATGACAGAATGAGACTCTGTTTCTAAAATTTAAAAATAAATAAAAAATAATAAGATTAGTACAGGTGAGAGCAAGCCTTACACAGGGAATAAACAGGTTGGTAGAAAGTAATCGGGGAGGGATGCAAGGGTTTCAAGATTAACTGGAGAAAGCCACCTTGCAGACATGAGACTCAAGTTGAGAACTAGAAAATGAGAAAGGCTGATGTATGTGAAGAGCCCAAGGAGGAGAATTCCAGGCAGGGGAAGCAGCAGCAAGTGCAGAGTCTCCTGGATGGGTCAAGACTTCGTATGTTCACCCACCAGGAAAGAGATGAGTGTGTCTGTCCCTGGGACATGGCGGGACAAGGTGAGGAGTCCGCATTGTACTCTAACACAGTGGGAAGACTGGAAGGGTTCCCATTAGGAAGTGCTATGACCTGGACGCTTCAGATGTGTCTGATGAACAGACTGGGGAAAGACATTGGGAGGCTCCTTCAAGGCCCAGGTGAGAGGAGATGGAGGTGAGAGGAGATGGATGAGAACCATAAACAGATTCATTTAGCACCGATGCACTGATACTGTCAATAGCCTCCAGCGGTGTCATAGGCTTGAAGGCAACACATATCGTGCACACATCTGTAGATCGCCTACTACATGCCAGGCCTTGTATTTTCCTTCTGTTTGTTTCGGCTCCCTAATGTTCCTATTTAATATTAATATTTTCAGTTTGTAAATGAAGAAACCTCAGAGAGATTGATTTTCAAATCAAACTCCTGCCGATGCCACAGCTGATGGTCTGGTCTGTACAGCCCTGCAGGTACAGCTGCTCGGCAATGTGTATTGCATGGCAAAAAAAGGAGGAGCTGAGCATATTGCGCAGAGCACGGGAGGGTCTTTTGGCCCAAAATGACACCCCTGCATGTGGACCAGAGTAGTATTTTCGCCCCATAGGAACTAGAGGTGTTAGCTAAGCTAGGGATGGATGACCTAGGGGGATGAAAACACATTTTGTCAGTGTCAAGTTTATATCAGCAGAGCCACCCTGTGCTCCTAAGTCACACCTCGCAGGAATGGGAGGCAGAAAGGTTGCATTTAGAAGGAAAGGATTAGCTCTGGAAAGTGAGTTTGGACATTGAGGCTCCCCAGATCCATAGGGATGATGGATGTTGGCAAGGACAATGGTCACAATATAAGTAACAGATACCGATAACACTGCCTAGCATTTATTGAGTGCCCACTATGTACTAAGTATTGAGTAAATGTTCCAGAGCTGTTATCTTATGGTGGTATTTCTTAAATTTCTCATAACGATCCTATGAGGTAGGCTGCTTCACTGTATTTCCTCGAGTATACAAAGCCATCAATTCAATAAAAGCTTTTCACATCAAAACATATTAAACTTACACAACGAAGTTTTGTTGTGTCATGCTTTTCCTAACAAAATATAGAACATATTCATAACATAACCTCTTTATTCTTCAGGATGATAACGCAAGTTTGAATCGAAGCCTAGATATTCAGAGTCACAGAGTCTCCATGCACAACTGCTAATTGTAAAAAATATATATATAATAAAATTAAAATTAAAAAACAGAGTCAGAAAGTTTCTGGCTCCCTTTCAGCTGTGCCCATGCAGTTCTCCATGTCCCACCTGGGATTTCTTTAGCCCCTTTAGGATGGATGGTATAATTTAGAGCTCAGCGAAGAACAGAGGCTCCTTCCACATCTCCTGTTTTATTAAACTTGTGGCTTTCCCCTTCTTAATTGGATATCTGTCTTTTGACTAAGAAATACTTCACAGTGCATGACAATCACCAACCTTTCCTAGCTTTGAAAATTGTGTGATCTAAACTTAGAGATTTGCCTGAATCTGCACATGTGCTGGCACTGACATCCCAATTTCTCCTGTCTGGTGACTGACAAGGTTGTTATTGTTTAAGCATTGATTATTAGATGCTATCCTATTACTTTAAAAAAAAAATGTGCCCAGTCCGGTGGCTCACGCCTATAATCCCGGCACTTTGGGAGGCCTAGGCAGGTGGATCACCTGAGGTCAGGAGTTCGAGACCAGCCTGGCCAACATGGGAAAACCCCATCTCTACTAAAAATACAAAGATTAGCCAGCCAGTCATGGTGGTGCTCACCTGTAATCCCAGCTATGTGGGAGACTGAGGTGGGAGAATCATTTGAACCCGCGAGGTGGAGGTTGCAGTGAGCCAAGATCATGCCACTGCACTCCAGCCTGGGCAACAGAGTGAGACTCTATCTCAAAAAAAAAAAAAAAAAAAGTTTAAGGGTGTCTTAGAATTAGTTTGTAACACTGAAGGTTAAAGATATTAAACAGTTTACCTTCCATGTCATAGCTGGCAGGTGATGTAACTAGAATGCACACCAAGTCGGCTGGGTACTTCTCAACATTAAGGCTGTAATGACTTTCTCCTTCTTTCTCTCTTGAATCTTCTCAATGAGGCCTTCCTTCCACCATTCCTCCAAAACTGCTCTTGTCAAGGTTACCAAAGATCTCCACATGGCCAAATGCATTGACTAATTCTCAATTGTTATCTTACTTTCAGCAGCACTTGACAACTTTTTTTTTTGAGACAGGAACTCAGTCTGTTGCCCAGGCTGGAGTGCAGTGGCGTGATCTCAGCTCACTGCAACCTCCGCCTCCTGGGTTCAAGCTATTCTCATGCCTCAGCTTCCTCAGTAGCTGGGACTACAGGTGCGTGCCACCATGCCCAATTTGCCTGGCTAATTTTTTATATTTTTAGTAGAGACGGGGTTCCACCATGTTAGCCAGGCTGGTTTCAAACCCTTGACCTCAAGTGATCTGCCCACCTTGGCCTCCCAAAGTGCTGGGATTACAGGCTTGAGCCATTGCGCCTGGCCATTTGACACCATTTTTAGGAAACAATTTCTTGACTTGGCTTTCTTAGGTCTTCTATATCGACATCACCCTGAAAACCTTCTCTGCTGCTCTTTTTCACTTCTCCTAACCTGCCTGACCTCCAGATGCCGAGTGCTCCATGTTAACCATCCTCAGGCCTCTCTTGTCTTTCTGCATCCGCTCTTTGGTGACCCCATCTAGTCTCATAGCCACTTCCACACTCCCAGCTCTGACAAGTGCATCTGCAGCTCCCAGCAGCTGCCCACTCACCCTCCTGCCTACTCTCCATCACTCCCTGGATGCCAAATAGGCTTTGCAAACTGAATGTCTTCAACCAAACTCCTCTCTTTGGCATTGTCCCTGACTCCTCTCTTTCGCTCACTCCCTACATCTGATCCTTTAGCAAGTCCTGTCAGCTCAACCTCAAAATTACATTGAAAACTGTTTTTTAGAGACAGGGTCTCACTGTGTTGCCCAGGCTGGTCTTGAACTCCTGGCCTCAAGTGATCCTCCTGCCTTGGCCTCCCAAAATGCTGGGATTACAGACGTGAGCCACCACCACATCTAAATCCACAACTACCACCCTAGACTATTAGCCTGTAATTGGCCACCACTTCTATCCCCCGTCTCCTCAATAAGCTTCTTCCCCACCCGGAAGCCAGAGTGACCTTCCCCAACCTAAGGCAGATCAAGGTGTCAGCTGCTTAAAGCCATCCAGGGGCTCCTTGTCTCAACCCAAGCAAAGCCAGAGCTCTTTGAGCTGCACAGCCTCCTTGTTCTCTGATGTCTGCTGGCTCCTGGTTTCTGTTTCTCCTTCCCAGCCTTGCTAATTGTTCTCCAGCCAGGCTGCTTCCCATGTGGGTCTCACACAGCCAAGCCCCCTCTGCCTCAGGGACTCAGGCTTTTATACTTGGGGTTTCTTCTGGTACCCCTCTCCCCCTAGATTTTCATATGACTTGCACCTCATTTTCTTTTCTTCTTCTTCTTTTTTTTTTTTTTTTTTTTTTTTGAGTCAGGCCCAGGCTGGAGTGCAGTGGCACAATTGTGGCTCACTGCAGCCTTGATCCCCGGGGCTCAGACGATTCTCCCACCTCACCCTCCCAAGTAGCTGGGATTACAGGTGTGCACCACTACGCCCGGCTAATTTTTGTATTTTTAGTAGAAATGGGGTTTCTCTAAGTTGCACAGGCTGGTCTCGAACTCCTGGACTCAAGCAATCTGCCCACCTCAGCCTCCCAGAGTGCTGGGATTACAGGTGTGAACCATCATGCCTGGCTGCCCCCTCATTTTCTTGAAGCCTTTTAAAATGCTACCCTAACAAAAGAAGACCTTCCTGCATAAAACAGCCACCTCCCAGAATTCTGTTCTGTCCTCTCTGCTCCAGTTTCCCCCGCAGCACTGGTACCCGCAGCACTGGTACCCGCAGCACTGGTACCACTTGCTATAGTATACATTGGTTTGCTTCTGGCCTCTCCACACCACTGTAACCCTAAGTTCCAGGAATGCAGGGACTGTGACTGTTTTAGTCACTTGCTGGGTCCCGAGTGTTTAGAGTAGAGGCTTGCATGAAGTGGGCTCCCAGTGAATGTTTGTTGAATTATCAGACAAAGGAAGAAGGAACGGAGCACCCGGTGGTGGAGACAGTGCTGGGCTCTGACATGTGTTTCTCTACTGCCCAGATCTGGAAGTCGGAATCAGCACTGTGCTGTGACCACTCCCACCCACGCTGACTTCTGTCTTGTGTCTTCTTCCAGGTCTACGGCTCTCGCAGGCTCTGTGAGGGCTTTGCTATGACCTCAGTCCCCTCACGGAGCCACGACTGCCCCTTGCTGCCACAGCCTTTCCAAGACCCTGCCCGGCCCTGCCCCATCCTCAGCCCCGAGTCACCATGGGCAGCGTCAGTAGCCTCATCTCCGGCCACAGCTTCCACAGCAAGCACTGCCGGGCTTCGCAGTACAAGCTGCGCAAGTCCTCCCACCTCAAGAAGCTCAACCGGTATTCCGACGGGCTGCTGAGGTTTGGCTTCTCCCAGGACTCCGGTCACGGCAAGTCCAGCTCCAAAATGGGCAAGAGCGAAGACTTCTTCTACATCAAGGTCAGCCAGAAAGCCCGGGGCTCCCATCACCCAGATTACACGGCACTGTCCAGCGGGGATTTAGGGGGCCAGGCTGGGGTGGACTTTGACCCGTCCACACCCCCCAAGCTCATGCCCTTCTCCAATCAGCTAGAAATGGTAAGCGGGGGTCGCTGGCAAGGGTAAGTGGGTTGGAAACGCAGGAGAAAGCAAAATGGGGGTGGAGAGCCTGGGGGTTCAGGGGGAGTGGTGACCTGAGCATTCAGACTCCTCAAAACCAGAGCGGCAGGGGTGCCGGCGGAAGCCTGTGGCCACACCGCAGAGATCAAACGTTTCACAAAGGAATTAGAGCATCGCTCAGTCCCCCTGAAGCAGAAGTCTTGGGTCAGGCCATAAGCAAAGAGCACAGGGGATATGTGAGCTTTCTGGAGTCCCACTGAAATGTAGCTGGATTGTCAACGTAGGATCCAGGCGTTTGCCAAGCCTCGGGAAGGAGAGGGAGCCCTGTTCTCATCTGGAAGCACAGATGAAGAGGATGCAGGCCGGGAGTTAACCGCTTCTCTCCCCGGGAGACTCGTGGGGGTGGGTGCGGTCTTCTCATTTGCTGCCCTGGTGTGCATTAGCTCCTTGTTCAAGCTGCGCCTGGGGGCATCTTTGAATACAGGCTGGAGTTTTGTCATCCATTTACCAGAGATTAGGGCAAAGGAGGCCCAGGCACTGAGAAATCCAGCCCTCACACCAGCTCAAGCCCTCGTGCGTCCCACGAGTGGACACTGAAATCAATTTTCCTATTCAGTCCTCTGCCCCTTGCCCTGGGGAAATGAATCCCCGGCTTTGATTTACTAGGAAAGAGCCTCTTATGTTTGCATAGAGCATTCAGCTTTTCAAATTAAGGGGCTTGTAAACTGTGAAGCACTCTACCAGGGAAAATTACAGTTTTAAAAAAGGATCGTGATTTGGAGTGAGCCTCCCAACCCTGTAAGGAGGCCAGGTCCGTGTCCTTGCTCCAGGCTTAATGGAAGAGGCAGTGAACAGGAAGAAGGGATGGACCTAAAGAGGGACAGCAAGCTCGGCCAGCCTGATGCCCTAACTTGCCCCACACAGAGACCTAGAGCAGGAGCCTCAAGATGGTATTTATCACCTCGGGAGGGCTGGGGCAAGCTGGTGGCAGGTTGCTATTTCATAGAACAAAGTGCCCAAGTCGCCATTAGGGTTTTTCCTTCCTAAGAGAGATGACATTCAGCTGCTTCAAAGCAACAGGCAAGGTCTGCTGAGACAATTGACCAAGAGGGGTGCTGCGTGCGCTCAGAGAGCCCAGACTGGCTCAAGGTCGGCACGCGTGCCTGGGGAGGGAGGGTGCAATGCGCGCGCAGGGGAGGCATGAGTCACCGCGGTCCTTTTCCTCTACAGGGCTCCGAGAAGGGTGCAGTGAGGCCCACAGCCTTCAAGCCTGTGCTGCCACGGTCAGGAGCCATCCTGCACTCCTCCCCGGAGAGTGCCAGCCACCAGCTGCACCCCGCCCCTCCAGACAAGCCCAAGGAGCAGGAGCTGAAGCCTGGCCTGTGCTCTGGGGCGCTGTCAGACTCCGGCCGGAACTCCATGTCCAGCCTGCCCACACACAGCACCAGCAGCAGCTACCAGCTGGACCCGCTGGTCACACCCGTGGGACCCACAAGCCGTTTTGGGGGCTCCGCCCACAACATCACCCAGGGCATCGTCCTCCAGGACAGCAACATGATGAGCCTGAAGGCTCTGTCCTTCTCCGACGGAGGTAGCAAGCTGGGCCACTCGAACAAGGCAGACAAGGGCCCCTCGTGTGTCCGCTCCCCCATCTCCACGGACGAGTGCAGCATCCAGGAGCTGGAGCAGAAGCTGTTGGAGAGGGAGGGCGCCCTCCAGAAGCTGCAGCGCAGCTTTGAGGAGAAGGAGCTTGCCTCCAGCCTGGCCTACGAGGAGCGGCCGCGGCGCTGCAGGGACGAGCTGGAGGGCCCGGAGCCCAAAGGCGGCAACAAGCTCAAGCAGGCCTCGCAGAAGAGCCAGCGCGCGCAGCAGGTCCTGCACCTGCAGGTACTGCAGCTTCAGCAGGAGAAGCGGCAGCTCCGGCAGGAGCTCGAGAGCCTCATGAAGGAGCAGGACCTGCTGGAGACCAAGCTCAGGTCCTACGAGAGGGAGAAGACCAGCTTCGGCCCCGCGCTGGAGGAGACCCAGTGGGAGGTGAGGCCACACAGGGCTCATGGGTTTGGGTGGTCAGCGGTTTGGCGCCAGTACCCCCCTCTCCTTCTGGTGCCGGCCAATAGCGTGCAAACACAGACCGCGCAGGCAAGCGGGGCTAATGTGCTGGCTTTATCACCCAAAGAAGGGGCTCCCTGCAAACCATGTTGGGGGATCGACTTACATCTGAGCTTCCTCCTGTCCCCACCATCACCCTCATGGCTCCTAGATTTCAGTTTCCCAAGTGAGCCATTAAATCATGAAGCCGGAAGCCAGATGACCAAGGCCCAGCCAGGCTGTGGGCTGACCTCCCTTCCATCAGCTCCCAGGAGGCTCAGAAGAAGAACAAGCCGTGCCTGAGTTCAGGCGGGGCCAGGGGCCCAAGAGAGCACAGAATGCATTTGTTGCTTTGGAGGGAGGGACTGCACCCACTAGTAAGAGGGACCCTATTGGTGGCAGGTTTCAGTGATGGAAGTGGCCACTCCTTGCTGAAGTGTAAGTGGAACTTCTATTTGGTGAGCTGAGATGGAAACCTAGGAGAGGAAGTAAAGAGTCCCCCACTCACACACTTACACACTCACACACACTCACTCACCCGGTCACACGTGGAAATGAGGCATCTGTACCTGACCGTGCTGGAGAACCCCATAACCTCTGCATCTATTAGTGGGAAAGCAGCTTTTCTCACCAGCCTGGTGGTCTGGATGACTCATGGAGTTCAAGCCCATCGTTGAGGCTCTTTACATGCTCGCACCCAGCTTGGTCTGTCCACGTGCCTGCCTCACCCCCAGTTCAGAGTCCAACTCTCAGTCTACACGCAAACCCCTGGCTATGTGCAAGTCAACAACCAGTGGTTTAACTTGCCCACTGCTGGCAGCTGTATCACCCCCATTTAACACCAATGGTATTGGTTTTGGTGTCAGCCTGATTTCCGTCATCGACGTTTATGCCCACATCCTCTGACCTCACCCCTGCATGCACCCAGCCCTCCTCTCTCCTGTCTACTGGAGTAAAGACTACCTCACAAATTCACTGCTGTACCCAGTGACTAGTATCATGCTGGCTTGGATGCAGAGCCCAATCCACATCTGTCAAACGAGGAATCATTGTCTTCTCCTCTTGCTCTTCTTCTCTATTTCCACCCCTATCCCCCATCAAAATTTGGCCAAGAGCAATGATGAAAACCGAAGCCACAGGTTAGACCCATGTGTCTCTGGATCTTGGCCATCTGGGGTCATGGGAGACCAAGGCCAGTCTGGCTGAATCTTAAGAGTGAATGAAGTCCAGAGCATGTGGCTCTACAGAATGGATTCTTGGAACTAGCCTGGAAGCCACCTTCACATTTCCTTTCACAGTAGAAATTTCCCCTTGCCCTCAGTGAAACACTGCACAGTCCTGGAGAAAATCCGACCCTACCCAGGATGCGTGCTTGGGACCAAGAATTTCATTCCAAGGCCAACCCTGTATTCATGCCACGAAGGGAGTGACACAGTCATGGCTGAGGCATGGGCCTGGCTTTGAACCTCAGCTTGACCACTTATGATCCAGGTGATTGTAAATACATTAGCCATGGTGGCAATGGGGTATAGTGATTAAACTGTTGGGATCAAATCTCTACTCTTATACTTTATATTTTATATATATATATATATATATATATATATATATATATATATATATATATATTAGCCCTCAGGCTGGTCACTTCACCAGCTATTTGCTATCATAACCTCTCTGTGCCTCAGTTTCATTGATGTAAATTGAGGACTACTAATAGTACCTACTTCATCGGGTTGTAAGGAATAGATGAGCAAATGTATGGCTTGGCACTTAATAACACTACAAATTATTAGTGAAAGTATGTTTATAATAATATACTTCTGTGTGGCTAGGCGTGGTGGCTCACGCCTGCAATCCCAGCACTTTGGGAGGCAGAGGCAGGCAGAGCACTTGAGGTCAGGAATTCGAGATCAGCCTGGCCAACATGAGGAAACCCCGTCTCTACTAAAAATACAAAAATCAGCCAGGCATGGTGGCAGGTGTCTGTAATCCCAGCTACTTGGGAGGCTGAGGCAGGAGAATCAGAGGGGAGGCGGAGGTTGCAGTGAGCCAAGATCACGCCACTACACCCCAGCCTAGGTGACAAAGCGAGACTTCTCAAATAATAACAATAATAATATACTATGTGTCATTATACATGATTATTATTATTTTATCATTTTACTATATAGCCTAGCTCGATAACCTGGGGAAAAGGTCACAGCAATGTTCAGCTTACTTTCAGATTGGACAAAGGCTGGAATGCCTAACACCGGGCCACCGCATCCGGAGTGGCTTGGTTATTTTAGGCAGCTGAGCTGTCACTTCCCTGGGTAAGGACACTCACCTCTTGGCACTCTGTCTCCACCCCACCCTCGGCAGGTGTGCCAGAAGTCAGGCGAGATCTCCCTCCTGAAGCAGCAGCTGAAGGAGTCCCAGACGGAGGTGAACGCCAAGGCTAGCGAGATCCTGGGTCTCAAGGCACAGCTGAAGGACACGCGGGGCAAGCTGGAGGGCCTGGAGCTGAGGACCCAGGACCTGGAGGGCGCCCTGCGCACCAAGGGCCTGGAGCTGGAGGTCTGTGAGAATGAGCTGCAGCGCAAGAAGAACGAGGCGGAGCTGCTGCGGGAGAAGGTGAACCTGCTGGAGCAGGAGCTGCAGGAGCTGCGGGCCCAGGCCGCCCTGGCCCGCGACATGGGGCCGCCCACCTTCCCCGAGGACGTCCCTGCCCTGCAGCGGGAGCTGGAGCGGCTGCGGGCCGAGCTGCGGGAGGAGCGGCAAGGCCATGACCAGATGTCCTCGGGCTTCCAGCATGAGCGGCTCGTGTGGAAGGAGGAGAAGGAGAAGGTGATTCAGTACCAGAAACAGCTGCAGCAGAGCTACGTGGCCATGTACCAGCGGAACCAGCGCCTGGAGAAGGCCCTGCAGCAGCTGGCACGTGGGGACAGCGCCGGGGAGCCCTTGGAGGTTGACCTGGAAGGGGCTGACATCCCCTACGAGGACATCATAGCCACTGAGATCTGAGGGGCTGCCTGGGAAGGCGAGTCTGGGGACCTGGCACTGGGAGGCAGGGCTCTCCCGTGCATCCCCCCTGCTCAGCAATTCAGACCCCTCTGAGAGACGCCACTCCCTGGGACACAGACCCAGGACCCCCGAGGGGAGGGCAGGATGGCCTTTCCTTCCCTCTCTGATGTCCCAGTGCTCACCAGCCCTGCAGCCCACCAGACGTCAGGCCCTGACTCCTCTGGCTTTCCCAGGAGATGGGTCCAGGGGTCTGTCTGCTTTGGTTAAGGGCTCCCTAAACTTTGGCCTTTGTTCGAAATAGATATCCTCTCCCCCTCCTCCAGGGAAGGTGGCCACAGCAAGTACAGCGGCTCCCCTCTGCTTCTCATCCCAACCTCTTTTTCCTCCTGGACACATTGGAATGCCTTGGAAATAGAAAGAAGCCATATATGACCAGAAGCCTTGGAACCAGCCCCATCAGAACCTGAGCTATTTTCCTCTGGCCGCAGAGGTGTAGGGGTGGAATGAGCCGCGGGGAAGCTGGCTTTGAAACCTCAGGGCTGTCCCAGCCCCGGCAAGCCACAGGAAGGAGGGGAGAGACAGGCAGCCCAGCAGTGTGGAGACCCTGCCACAGCCAGAGGAGGGCAGAGGGAGAATCCAAGGGTTGAGAGCCAGTGGCGGGTGATGGCCAGCCCCTGGGGCCCAGCCCCTGTTTACTGGTTCTTGCAAATGGGAGCTGAGCAGCCTCTGGACAGCCAGTGACCTTTGACCTCGGTGACCACTCTTCTTTAAGCCATAGACCCTGAGGCCCTGGGCTGGGTGCTGGGAAGGGAGGGTTGAAACCACCGTGAACCAGAGGGTGTGGCTTTCCAGGCACCCTCAGGGAGCCTCCCCATCTGTCCAGCTGGGGCCAGAGGCTGGGAGTCCCTACCTGCTTCACGTTGGCCGGCGGCTACTCTGGAATGTTTTTCCCTCCCCAGAATCAAGCTTTTGCTTGATCCAGAAGAGCCCATATCACTAAGATGGCATATATGTGATCTGGGCATTTTCCTCCTCTGCCTACAGCCAGGTTTAGCGGCAAACCTTTCCCCCTTAGCACCTTCAGGGCTGAGTTCTGGGTTTCTAGAGGTCAGGACGGCTCCTCAGAGCGCCAGGAAGCCAGAGCCCCAAGCAGGACGAAAAAGAGGCATACACACAGCAGTGTGAATAGCCTGGCCACCAGCCATCCTCCCTCCACCTCAAGACCCCCATTTGTCCCAGACTAAAGGATCCAGAGAGCAGCTCCCTTTCTCAGGAGCTTGGGCAGTGCCCCAGGGAGTCCAGGGTTTCTCTGCAGATGTGCGGAGCGGGAGGCGGTGGTAGAGAGAGATAAAAGGTGGAGTTTCTCTGTTGTTTGGTTCAGGGATTTTATTTTTAATTTTATGAGACAGGGTCTTGCTCTGTCCCCCAGGCTGGAGTGCAGTGGCATGATCATAGCTCACTGCAGCCTCATACTCCTGGGCTCAAGCAATCCTCCTGCCTCAGCCTTCCAACTAGCTGGGACTACAGGTGCGCGCCACCGTGCCTGGCTAACTTTTCATTTTTTTTGTAGGGACGGGGTCTCGTTTTGTTGCCAAAGCTGGTCTCAAACTTGTGGCCTCAAGCAATCCACCTGCCTTGGCCTCCCAAAGTGCTGAGATTGCAGATGTGAGCCACCGTGCCTGGCCAGATTTTTCTTTTATTCTTCTTTCTTTTTCTTTTTTGCTTTCTTGTCTTTTCAGAAGCAAGCCAGACCTAGCAGGCTGTTCCATGTTCTATTTTTGACTGTAGCCACAGCTGCTGTTCTCAGGACAGCATCCCTTCCCACATGCCTGCGCCTGCTGCCTGCTGAGATGAGGAGGGGAGCGTCTGGGAACTTGCGAGTCCAAGGCCAGTCCCCATTTCTGCCTCGCTCACCGCTGGCCCTTAGAGACCCCGAGGTAGGGGTGGGGAGATGCTTCTCTCCTTGCCCCCCGCCCTCATGGGTCCTAGCCCTTCCCTGAGTGCGGGCTGAGGCCAGAGTCACCTTTTCTGTGGCTGGCTCTACCTTCCTGTCCCTGAGGTTAAACGGTGCCCATCCTGCCATCCTCAAACGACAGAGGAGCTTTTCTGGAATTTCAAACCATTGCTCTTAGTCCCAAGCTAGGCTTAAACCTGGAATCTACAAGCCAAAAGTCCCTCCCTGCCTGAGGGCAGTACCCTCCATTGGGCACAGTCCAGACCCAAGTCAAAGATGCCCCATTCCTTGCGCCTCAGCCCTCAGTTCCTTCATTTCCACCAGGCCGTGCCTTGTTTGAGTTTTTCCTCCCAGTGAGACTGCCCCACGGAGACAGAGGAAAGGGCTGGCTCCCCCTCCCCAGGCTGGAGACCCCCCCCCAACTCCAGGAAAGAGCAGTCAGAGTCCAGTGCTCTGCCTCAGACGTTGCCTGAGAAGAAGTGGCTGCCACACCCAGGGGAAGGCCCTGAGGCGGAGGCTGTGCTCCGCCATGGTGTCCCGGTACCTTCCATACACAGAGGAGTGCAGCCTTCTCCATATCTCCATGGCCCTGTCCCAGGCCGGCCCAGATGTGTCCCCCCCAGGCCTTGTCCTACGTCCAAGGTGGCAGATGTCTTCCCTGGGCTGCCACCAGCCCCCGCCCCAGAGTGGCCCACCGTGGCACTAGAATGCAAGTATCCTGCGACCTTGCAACCTCACCTTCCTGTGGGTGTTCTTTCCTGCCCTGTCCAAAAGCGCCCTCACTATTCTTGGACCATGCCAGATTCTGCCTCTCTGGAAAGAGGCTCTGGACAGCAGAAGCCTCCAAGCACAGAGCCTGGCCCCAGGCCCCAGACAGGGTGGGCTTCCTGCCCTTCCCTCTGGGCACGCCTGCTGGCCGACCCACTGACCCACTCGGATGGACCAACCTGCTCTGTCCCCAAAGGACGCCTGCAGGAGAGAGCAGCACTCCGCATCACCTCACCAAGGATCGGACTCTGCCCCTGGACCTGGGAACGACTGGACTGTCACGGGGTTCCCTCCTAGCTCTCCCAGTGAACTCCTGCCAGGCACACACAGCCCCTATAGCACTGAGCTCACATGGGACTGGGATATGGGGGCATCTCTTCCCCAGAGAGGCACTCAGTGAGCCTCCTGTGCCTGGCCCCAGCCTGGGCCATCTCTTAGGTGAGACAGTTGCCCGAAACTAAGCCAGGCCTGGCTGGAGGAGCAGCAGCTTGGGGAGAGGGATTTCCCTGCAGACCTCAAGCCATCATGCGGTGGGTGCTGCCATGACAGAGGCTGCACCCCTGGGCCAGCGGGGCTGCTCACCCACCTCTTGTGCAAGGTGGCCTTTGTGCTGCGCCTGCAGGCAGAGCTGGAGCCCCCAGCAGAGGCAGGCTGGGACGGACCAGCATCTGGAAGATGTACATAGTTATTTTTCTCTTTGTGGTTTCTTGTTTGGTTTGGTTTGCTTTTGACAGCTTCATTTTATTTTTGACGTCACTTTTTGGCCATGTAAACTATTTGTGGCAATTTTATGTTTTTATTTATGAATAAAGAATGCCATTTCTCACGCCCTCTAGAGCCACGTGTATCTGCCCTCCTCTCCCCTCGCTGCGGTGTGGCAGCTCCCTGGGACTTCTCCCCTTGGAACAGGAAAGATGACGTCCCTTCCACCAGCGAAGGGGGTGAGGAAGGCAGCACAGGGCAGTGGGAAAGGGGCCCCCGGGGTCAGACAGGCTTCAGCTGGCCCCTGCCCCCATCGCCTACCCCGGGACCTTATCTGTGAAATGAGAGGAAAAGGGACCCAGGGACAGGTGTCCATGTAGAGTCAGAGCGTCCTCTCCAAAAGAGAGCCCCTCCCCACCCAAACTGCATGCCCTACCGTCTGCTCACCTCACCAGCCAACTCCTGGGTCTACTGCATATGGCCTCCTGGCAAAAGACCAGCATGGCTACAATTGCCACTGCCCCAGGGCCCCCTGGTGGGGCAGGTGCAGTCACCATCATGGCCATCTGTCCAGCCTTCTTGGTTCCAGCCTACCTGGTGCCCCCTTGACAACCTTCCCTACCATCCCGGGCCCACAGCCTAGGCCCAGAGGGCTGCTGCTCAGGTGGTGGGAGACAGAAGGGACATGTTACGAGGAAATTGATAATGCAAGGCAGCATAGGGGGCACATAAGGGGCAGATGACAAGGCCTCTGCGGTGGGGAAGGTTAGTGTAGACGGGGGTCCGGGGAGATGCAGGCAGGAGAAGACCTGGGGCAAGGGTAGGACACAAGAGGAGCGGGAGAGAGGAGAAGACCAGAAAAGTGTCTCCGGGGCGGGCGTTCACACAGCTCCCTGCCCACCTGTGATGGGAAAAGAGCAGCACCGGGGATTGGAGAGGCAGGAGGGCCAGGGTGCAGGGGACCCCAGAGAAGCTCAACTCACTGAGCCAGGACAGGAGCCAAGTTGTGATTAACATATAAGCCCCAGCTTTGGGACAAAGGGGTCATGTCAGACCTGTGGTAACTCTTCCCTGTCTTCCTCCTAGACCTGGCCCAGGCTGGTGACCTCACTAAAACATCCCTCTCACTAATCACACCCTTGGGTCACCCCTTCCTGTTTAATTCTAGTAGGCCCAGAGACTCATTTTAACCAATGGGATAGAGCAGGAGTGATGCTCTGCCAGTTTTAGCCTAAGCCTAGAAGGCCTAGCAGCTTCTACTTCTATTCTATTATTTGAGACAGGATCTCACTCTGTCACTCAGGCTTGAGAGGGCAATGGTGCGATCATGGCCCACTGAGGCCTTCACCTCATGGGCTCAAGCAATCCTCCTGCCTCAGCCTCCCAAGTAGCTAGAACCACGAGCATGCACCACCATACCTGGCTCATTTTTTATTTTTTTTCTGGAGATGGGAGGGTCTCACTATGTTGCCCAGGCTGGTCTCAAACTCCTGGCCTCAAGCCATCCTCCCACCTTGGCCTCCCAAATTGCTGGGAATACAGGCATGAGCCCCTGTGCCTGGCCCACTTCCGCTTTTATACTCTCGGGAGCCCTAAGCTGCCACAGAAGAAGCCCACCCTCCCATTTTGCTGGAAAGGCCACGTAGGGTAGGAGGGGCCACTTGTCCCAGAGTCTCAGCTAGGTCCCGTATCCAGCTGAGTGCAGCTGAGTGACTACCCAGGACGCAGCCGACCCCATGGGGAGCAGAGCCTTGTTCCCCACTCTGCCCTGCCACAGTCCTTACCCTCAGATCCCTAAGCACAGTAAATGACCATGTGTTTAAGCCACTGAAGTCAGGGGGATCTATTACATGGCATAAAAATACATCACCAGAATGCCTATCAGCACGCTCCTTTGCTTGCCACTTGACAAGCCTGTCTCCATCCAAAGGGCTCAGAATGACATAAAAAAAGCACCCCTAGAAAAGCACAAGGCGGGCCAGGTGCGGTGGCTCACACCTGTAATCCCAGCACTTTGGGAGGCTGAGGCGGGCAGATCATCTGAGGTCAGGAGTTCGAGACCAGACTGGCCAACATGGCAAAACCCTGTCTCTGCTAAAAATACAAAAATTAGCTGGGCATGGTGGTGCAAGCCTGTAATCGCAGCTACTCAGGAGGCAGAGACAGGAGAATCGCTTGAATCTGGGAGGCGGAGGTTGCAGTGAGCTGAGATTGCACCACTGCACTCCAGCCAGGGCAACAGAGCGAGACTCTGTCTCAAAAAAAAAAAAAAAAAAAGATAAAGAAAAGCACAGAGCCATGGGAAAGACCATTCCAGCTGGAAGAGCAGCGGTGAGGCAAGGGGGCAAAAGAGTGGAGAAATGAGGGCTTTTCCTGATCCCACTTCCTCCAGAGCCCTGCCTAGGAAACAGCCTTCCTGGAGCCTCCCAAACATGCTTATTGTTTTATCTTTTGTCTTGTTTTCTTGTAGAGACAGGATCTCACTATATTGTCCAGGCTGGTCTCAAACTCCTGGCCTCAAGTAATACTCCCACCTCAGCCGCCAAAAATGCTGGGATAACAGGCATGAGCCACCCCATTCAGCCCTCTGCTTATTACTTTAGGAAAAAGAATAGAACAAAAGGGAAAGGAGAGAGAGAGAGAAGAGACAGAGAAAAAGGGAAAGAAGGAGAGAGAGACTCCTTCTTCCTTGACAACAAGCAGCTCAATCCTCAGCCTCCACCGCACACATTGCACAGTCTCAGAATATTTTTATCGAGCCCCAGACGGACTGAGTGCACAATTGAGCCTGTGAGAAGGGAGACAGTTGGGGATCATCCCCAGGCATTCACAGCAGCAGGTGTTTTCTGAGTTATTTAAGGAAGGTCACGCTGTCCCCAAATATCTCCCCAACCCAGGTGCCACAAGGCCTGAAATATCACAATTTCATGCATGCATGCATGTATTTCTTCAATAAATATTTATTGGACTCCTACTTTTTGCCAGCCCTGTTCTAGATGCCAGAAATACAGCGGTGAACAAAGCAGTCAAGGTCCCTTCTCCTGATGAAGTTTACACTTTGGAAGAAAAGAAATAAATAATTTTCCATTATAATAAGTGCTACAAAGGAAATAAAGAGGGTGATATAAGCTGTCTGTGGAGAAACTGGAGGTGCTGTAACTGCAGCAGAGTGAGTGAAGTGGGGAAACTGGTACAGTGAAAGGAAAGTTGGAGAACCACAAATATCACCTGATGTCACTATCTTGACAGCACATGCTGTCCTTTTCTAACTTGGATTCCCCACCCTTCATGCCAAATTCTTTCTCTTAGAAATCTCTTCTTCGCCAGGCGCCGTGGCTCACGCCTGTAATCCTAGCACTTTGGGAGGCTAAGGTGGGCAGATCACGAGGTCAGGAGTTCGAGACCAACCTGGCCCTGTCTTTACTAAAAATACAAATATTAGCCAGGCATGGTGGCAGGCGCCTCTAGTCCCAGCTATTCGGGAGGCTGAGGCAGAAGAATTGCTTGAACCCGGGAGGTGGAGGTTGCAGTGAGCCGAGATTGCACTCCGGCCTGGATGACAGAGTGAGACTCCATCTCAAAAAAAAAAAAAAAAAGAGATCTCTTCTCTGGGGGTCTCAGTAGATATGGGTGTGTGTGTGTGTGTGTGTGTGTGCACGAGCACACAGGCACGCAAGACAGAGTCTCACTCTGTAACCCAGGCTGAAGCACAGTGGTGTGGTCACAGCTCACTGCAGCCTCCACCACCTCCAGGGCTCAAGCAATTCTTCTGCCTCAGCCTCTTGAGTAGCTGGGACTATAGGCACACCCCACCATGGCTAGCTAATTTTTGTATTTTTTTGTAGAAACGGGGTCTCGCTATGTTGCCCAGGCTGGTCTCAAACTCCTGAGCTCAAGTGATCCACCCGCCTTGGCCTTTCAAGTGCTGGGATTACAGGCATGAGCCGCCATGGCCAGCCCTCAGCAGACACCTTCTTATCTTACCAGGGGACTTGCAGCTTTTCTTCCCTAACCTCAGCTTTTCTTGTTGCCACCCGCTGGACATCTCTAGCTTCCTCTCCATCTAAAACAAACCCCTCCCACCACCTCCCAATAAAGACCTTTGAAAAGCCTTAAGCATTAAACATTGTTGTTCTCACATATGAAATTAAAGACAAAACTTTGTGAAATGGCACAATTCTTATAGAGATGCTGAAATTAAAAGTTTCTAGGTAACTTAATTAAAAAATGTTCAGCTTTAATTATCTATATATATATTTCAGAGACAGTCTCTGTCACCAAGGCTGGAGTGCACTGGCACAATCATAGCTCACTGCAGCCTCCAACTCTTGGACTCAGGTGATCCTCCTGCCTCAGCCTCCCAAGTAGCTACTAGCCACCAAACCCAGCTAATTAAAAAAATGTTTTTGTAGAGATGAGGTCTCACTATGTTGCCCAGGTTGCTTTCAAACTCCTGGCCTCTAGCAATTCTCCTGCCTCAGCCTCCCAAAGTGCTAGGATTACAGGCATGAGCCACTATGCCCAGCTAAATTATCTACATATTTTTTGTTTGTTTTGGTGGGAGGGATGTGTTTATTCTGCGTACTGTATAATCCAGACTTTCCCCCAGGTAACTCTATCCTACCATCTCTCACTGCAGTTTGGAGCCATTGTTGACTCCTGCCTCTCCATCATCCTCTCTGTCCAATCAGATCCTAGATCCTGCAGGCTCTATCCACTCCTCACAGCCCTACCCACCACCCTCTTTTCTGTCTACATCTATTAGCTCATTTGAGGTCATCAAAAGGATTGCAAAACGTCCAAGACATCTTAGACCTTAGACATCTTCTAATTCTCACCATCTCAATTTTATAGACATACAAAAGGGAGACCTAGAAAGACAAGAGGGCTTTCTAAAGGTCACACGGCTAGTTGATGATATACCTGGTCTCCTTGGCAGCTCTACTAACCCTGCTAGTTTCTTTGCCCCCACTCTGGCCCATTAAATCCATTAACACACAACAGTCCGGTTTACACCTCCAGTGCTGCTGACATCATAACCTTGCCCTGCCCAAAAGCTTGAGTGGCTCTTCACTGATGTCAGAATCATCTCCAGCCCTCTTAGCTGGCTTTCAGGTCTCTCCATTTCATGGGGTTCCAACACCCACATCTGCAAACTTGAATCTGATGGGAGGGGCCAGAGCGCATTCCATAAAACATCACATCTATCATCAACATTAGCTCCATCAGCAATGAGGGATTCCTCTTGTCCATCACAATCTTTATGAAAAGACCCCCCTCGGCTGCCCAGTTCTGTGTTGTACCTGAGATCTTCCAAGAGGCAGCACGTACAGAGGTTAAGTCCTTCATCTGGAGAATCAGCTGGCCACGTTAGCATCCAAACTCCTCTGCTGCTGAGATAAGGTTACTTAGACCAGCCATGGTGGCTCGCTCCTATAATCCCAGCAGTTTGGGAGGCTGAGGCGGGAAGGTTGCTTGAGACCAGGAGTTGGAGACCAGCCTGGGAAATATAGGGAGACTCCGCCTCTACAAAAAATACAAAAATTAGGCAAGTGCGGTAGTGCATGCCTGTAGTGTCAGCTACTCAGGAGGCTGGGGTGGGAGAATCACTTGAGCCTGGGAGCTTGAGGCTGCAGTGGGCTGTGATGGTGCCACTGCACTCCAGCCTTGGCAATAGAGGAACACCCTGTCTCAAAAAATAAATAAGTTACTTAGGCTGGGTGCGGTGGCTCACGCCTGTAATCCCAACACTTTGGGA
This sequence comes from Homo sapiens, assembly GCF_000001405.40. Classification (NCBI taxonomy): domain Eukaryota; kingdom Metazoa; phylum Chordata; class Mammalia; order Primates; family Hominidae; genus Homo; species Homo sapiens. Next base: position 20,240,539 of record NC_000008.11, on the reverse strand, counting down.
GGCTGAGGTGGGTGGATCACTTGAGGTCAGGAGTTCGAGAACAGCCTGACCAACATGTTGAGAACTCCATCTCTACTAAAAATACAAAAATTAGCCAGGCGTGGTGGCACGCACCTGTAAACCGAGCTACTCAGGAGGCTGAGGCAGGAGAATCGCTTGAACCCATGAGGCAGAGGTTGCAGTGAGCTGAGATCGCGCCACTGCACTCCAGCCTGGGCAAGAGAGCGAGACTCTGTCTCAAAAATTAATACTAATAATAAATAAATAAATACATAAATAAATAAATTGCTTAAACTCTCTGGGCTTCAGAGGGTTGTTTTGACAATTATATGAGATAATGCTCAATAAAAGTTAAAGCATTGCTACTGTTTATTATGACTACCACAATTTAGTGACATGATACTTATTAGTATTTGTTAACAAAATGTCCCTGCTTCAAGCCAAGATGAGTTACAGTGGTGCCCCAAGCTCCCTTGGCCTGGCGAAGCTCTACCCCGTGGAAACAACAGATCTTACTCTGATGAGCTACCTCCCCAGCTCCCTGCAACCTTTTCTCTCCAGGTTTCAATACCAGAAGGCTGCCTTATGGGGGTATGCCCCTGGGACCGAGGGCACAGCCGGAGGAAAGAAAGGAACAAGGAGGGATTTGCTGGGGGGTGTGGTGAAGGGCTGGGCCGGGCCACCCTGTGACTGTGACACTGACCAAAACCCCCGGCCGAAATGGAACTGGTTAAAATCCTTATTCACTACCTTTGGCACCTCTTTCCCTCTCCCCCCTCTCTCAGCTCTGCCACATAGTGCCAGCCTGAGCGTATACGCATGCACACACACACACACATGCACACGAGCATGCACACATGCAGCCCCCCCACCTCGTTCTCCTTCTGCCCCTTGCCCCCCACTGCCTCAATTACAGCTAATTGAGAGGTAAATAGGCTCATGACAGCAGTTGTAATCAGTGACAGGTGAAGCAAATTAAATTTCTTACACCAAAAATAACAGGACGATTTGCCTGCCACGGCCCGTCATTCAGATGGCCCCCTCTTGGGTTGCGGGGGCCGTGAACACATAGCCTGCGGGTTTCAAGGTCCAGGGTTCCCTTTGCTTGACTGGTTTTCCAGGCAGACTCCAGGGACTCAGCAAAGCAAGCTGGGGGTGGCGGGTATTATCCATACCAAATAGAAAGGAAGTGCCCTGGAGTCCCTGGAATTGACTGGGCTGGGTGCTGGCTGACTTCTCAATCCTGTCACTTGCATTTAACCCTCACAGCAGCCCTGCATTCTACACTGTCCTGTGCACAGTGGATAGTCGCAGCCCCAGGCCTGACTGTGGCCAAGGCACAAGCTCTTGGTCTGCTGCTGGGTTGCCTCCTCCTCCCAGCCTTGCTACAGCTGTGGACAGAAGTCACAGTGGTGGTCAGGGTCACCTTGCTGTCCTCCCACACTATGCATCACAGTGGCCCAGCTCTCCTAGGCCACCGTTTCTTCTGGCCCCTGAAAAACACCCATCTGAGCTGGGAGGTGCTTGGCCTGCTCTGCTCACCTGGATTGCTGCCATGCTGGAGCAGGGGGGTTGCCTGGGACCCGCCCACCCCTCGGAAAGAGGAAAGGAGTGGCCTGAGCGCCACTGCCCACTGTCAACCTCACCTGCCTCCTTCATCAGCTTCCCAGGCCCCTCCCTTGTGAAGCAAATGCTTTCCAGGGAAATTCTGGCTCCAGCCTTCATCTGGCTGGGCCTCCAAGACTATACTTAGAAAGTGGGAGAGGACACAGGCGTGCCAATGGGCCAGCTCCAGGGAGAGCTGGCATCACCCAAGACTCATGCTGCAGAAAACCAAAGGCAAGTCCCCCACTCAAAGTCCCGCTCCCGCCACCCAATCTGGTTACCCCCTGCCTCCCCCTGCTTCCTGAGCCCAAGAGCAGTGTACGCGCTCAGGCCCAATTTCCTGCTGCTGCCTTACAATATTATAGTTTGATAGAGGATTTTCCTACTTATAGACTCCCAAAGGGTATAGCTATATCAGAAAAGGAAAAAGCGTATCAAGCAAATGTGCTTTTCCTGTACACACACACACACACACACACACACACACACACACACACACACTGCTCTTTTTCTCTAGCTTCTAGATGTCTTTTAAACTTAGGGCTTCAGAGGTGTCTGTGTGTGTGCATGCATGTGGTTTTGTGTCTGTGTATGTACGTGTGTATGTATGTGCATGTGTACGTGTGTATGCGTATATGTATAGCTGTGCATGTGTGACTCTATGTATGTGTGCATGTGTATATATGGGGGTGAGTGTATGTGTGCATGCATGTGTATGTCTGCATGTATATGTGTGACTGTGCGTATGTAAGTGCATGCATGTGTGTATGTGTGGGTGTGAGTCTATGTATATATATGTTTATGCATGCATATGTTTATGTAAATTGTGTGCATATATGGGGTGGGTTGAGTGTATGTATGTGAATGTGTATGCGTATATATGTATATGTGTATGTGTGTATGTATTGTGTGTATCTGTGTGTATACATAGGGGTAGGTGTGAGTGTGTGTATGTGTATTATGTGCATATCTGTGTGTATATGTGTATATATCTGTGTGTATGTGTGTACGTATGTATATGTATATGTGTATGTATGTGTGTGGGGTGACAGGTGTGAGAGTGTATGTGTATGTATGTGTATATCTGTGTGTATATATATGTATGTGTGTATGTGTGTATTTGTATATGTGTGTATACATGGGGGTAGGTGTATGTATGTACATGTATGTACATGCGTATCTGTGTGTATGTGTGTGTATATCTGTATAGGTATATGTGTATGTGTGCGTGTATAAATGGGGGTAGGTGTGCCTGTATGGTGTATGTGTATATATGTGCATATCTGTGTGTATGTGTGTATATATATGTATATGTGTGTGTATGTATTTGTGTGTGTGTATACATGGGGGTAGGTGTGTGTGTATGTGTACATATGTGCATCTGTGTGTGTATATATGAATATTTGTGTGTATGTGTGTATACATGGGGGTAGGTGTGAGTGTGCGTGTGGGTATGTGTATATGTATGTGCATACCTGTGTGTGTATATGTATATGTGTGTATGCATTTGTGTGTGTGTGTATACATGAGGGTAGGGGTGTGTGTGTGTGTGTGTGTGTGGATGTGTGGATGTGGGTGGGAGGGGCTGAAGGGTGTCCGCATATGGAAGGTGCTGCTTTCCTTCCATTCTTTCGTTTTATCCCCACCCCCACGGGCACCAGGGCACCTGCTAACCTCCCAGAAGTGCCTGTGATGCGGATGAGGACTCAGGGCGCAGACCTGTCTGAGGGAAGAAGTTTCCGGGCGCAGACCTGTCTGAGGGAAGAAGTTTCCGGGTGCAGACCTGTCTGAGGAAAGCTTTTCTGGCTACACCTTGGGGAAGACCTTGGGGAAAAGAAGTCAGAAGGATGGGTAGAGAGGTGAGTTCACCACGGGGCAGTCACAACGGAGGGCTCAGCTGCTCCTCACCCGGGGTGAGATGAGAGGGCTAGGCCTTGACGTCCCCACCCTTACTCCAACCCCACACCCAGCCAGTGCCTGGGCCCCCTCCCCAAGCTGGGATGGATGTGTGCCTGGGCCAGGGCAAGCCTCAAAGAGGGACGCAGCTCTGCACTCTCAACAGCTGGGGAGTGAAAGCCTCACCCTAGAGGGGAATTCGGGTCACCCCCGAGTCCCCCCACGCCCTCCTTTCTCTCCCCTCTTCTCTGCACTCATCATTGCCACGCCCCCGGCCTCTGAACCCTGCCCCACAAACCAAAGCCTAATGGATGTGGCAGAGTCTCTCACCAGTCCCCATCCCCCAAGCCCTCCATGGATGGCACTAAAACCAAACCTCACATCCCGGGCCAAGCTGCAGCATGGGCTACATTCACGCACCTCCTCCTGCCCCACAGCCAACTGTGTAGACATTTGTGGACACTCGCCGCCAGGAAGCAAACTGTCGGGGAGAAGGAACCTTGCTTGAATGTCTCCCATGTGCCTTGGCGTCCAGCCAGAGTCTGGGCTGGTGAGGGAAGAGGGCTAGAGCGGAGGTGGCTGCTTGTAGTTGTTCTGTGGGTTGCCCGAGAGCCAGCTCAGCTGTAGGTGACCCCTGACAGGTGGCCCCATCTTACCCTTCAATGCATCGGCCCCAGAAGCCAACCCAGCACCCACTGGCCCCCGGAGGTGCTCAGTACGAGGGCAGGAAGGGCTCTGGATGGGGAGTCAGACTTCCTAGGAGTTCGAGGCCAGTTCTCCCAGTTGGCCTTGAGCAAACCCCTTGACCTCCAGGGGCCCAGCTCCTCCTACCCACAGGGTCATGGTGATCCAGAAAGGACTTGGGCTGCCTGGTGAGGCCATTCTAGGCAGTAAATGACAGAGAAAGCGGCTGTTTCTAGGCTACCGTACTCGACAGAGAGAAGAGACGAAAGACTTGCGACCATGGGGGAGGTGGCCATGAGAGCTGAGGGCTTTCCCTGTCACAGCCCAGTGAGGCACACGGAGGCCGTGAAGACCCCCAGCACCCTGGGGGTGGGGGGAGCCGGGAGCAGGGTTAGCATGAGATGGGGTTCCTCCTGCTTTATGTCTCCCTGAAGGGCAGGCACAGTGACGGGCCCTGTTATCTCTCAGAGGCCCTGAGAGGAAGGGAAGCCAGCAACGCCTGCCCTGTGGGGAGAGAAGGGGTGGTCTTTGCGTCCAGTCCAATCTGTCCATCTAGGGATGGGGTCTCAGGGCACTGGTTACTCCTTAGTCACTTCGGGGCTTAATTACAAGGAGTGGGGGTGGAGGAGGGAAATGGGGAGTGGGTGAGGGGTGCGAGCCCTGGGGCTGGTTATCGCAGCCATGCTTCAGGGTGGCATCACACCATAGCGAGATCCTTGTGATGCTTTGCCACAAAGTTCAGGGGTCTGTCAGTTTCCTAGGGCTGCCATAATGAGTTACACAGACCACGTGGCTTATAACAACAGTAATTAATTCTCTCCCAGTTCCAGGGGCTGAGAGTTCAAGATCGAGGTGTTTGGTCCAGGGCTCCGTTCCCCCAGAAGGCTCCAGGGGAGATTTCTTCCTCGCCTCTTTCAGCTTCTGGTGGCCCCAGGTGTTCCTTGGCTTGTATTCACATCACTCCCATCTTCGCCTCTGTCTGCATGGCTATCTCTTCCCTGTCTCTGTGTCTTTATGCGGTGTTTCCCCCTCTGGGTCTCTCTTCTTATAAGGACACCAGTCCTATTGGATTAAGAGTCACTTCCTCTTAACTAATTACATCTGCAATGACCCTATTTCCAAACAAGGTCACATTCTGAAATCCTGGGAGTTAGGACATCAACATGTCTTTTGCGGGGACACAATTCAATCCGTTAAAAGGGGCACTGGGAGGACTGAGATTCAAGAGTGCAAGCACAGGTTTGGGACTTGCTAAACGCCCGAGTCCCTCCTGCTCCGTCCAGACAGGGGCAAACCCCATGAAAAGGAGAGCTGCCAGACGGGGGAGGGTCCCGGGGAGTGTCTAGCGAGTGCTCGTGAACTCCGAGAGGTTGTTTAAACCGCCCTCTGTTAAGAAGGGGGTGGGGCCCGGGTGGGTAACTCACTCAAAGCAACATGATTTTCCCCAGAATAGACCCAGGTCCCAAGAGTGGGGCACAGGGGCCCGTCCCCCTTTGAAGTGCAAATGCCGGTCCCTGGGTGCAGCCCTCCCAGAATAATCAGTGTCTTGCATCTGCTGCCCCGCCTGAAGTGCGACCTGCCAGCTGCTCTCGTTCTCTGGATGCCCCACTGGCTGAAGTCAGGTGGCTGGAAGGATCAGGCCCCAGGCAGACCCGGTAATCAGCACTTAGCAGGGAGGGGGAATTAAGAAAACAGAGTGTTTAATGTGCTGGGTGGCAGCTGCGGTTCCGCTCCCATTTGCTTAGATACCTGCTGTCCCCGCTGGGCCCTGGGTGGGGGGAGGGCGGCACGAGCAGCCCTTTGTTTAACAGCAGCTCACTTACAGGAGCCCCAGGCTGTTGGGCAGGTCGCAGGAGGAGGATGGGACATTTGGTGGTTTTGATAATGATCAGCAGTGACCTTGGTGATAAAGATGCTTAGCGCCAGGCTCCCCTGTGACAGAGAGTCCCAGCTGGCTGCTCTAGGGTCACCCATGAGGCTCCACCTTAAAATCCAGAGCTTCTCCACAAGAGAAGTCAAGACCAACACCATAAACAGGAGGATTCTGTTCTAAAAGCTGGGGTTTGGGAACCAGACGGAGCAGGAGCAGCTATGGAGACTGGTGGTGAGACCTAGCGTGCCGTCGGACTTTGGTTATCTAGCCCAAACCTCAGTTTTCTCATCTGTGAAACAGGAATCAGTCGTTACAGGGTGGGCATGAGAAAGTGTATGTAAAACACCTGTCAATAATATTCAACGTACTCTTTCCTCGCTAAGACCTCTAGAAAGGGTTAAGTCCTGGCACCTGTCCCCCCAAAAAAGGGGTAAGGTCAGGTGAGAGAAAAACACCAGGTAGCCCCCTCCAGGCCTCCTGATGCTCAGACCTTGCTCAAGAAGGGATGGCTTCCTTCTTTCTTCCTCCCTCCAACCCCTTTATCTGTCCCTTCTCAGCCGTGACCACATTACCTCTTGGGCTACCTGCCTCTTTTAGGGCCCTAGTGGGGCAGATCTATCTCGGCTGAGATAAAACAAGGCCAATCTAAACAGCTCCTAGGCTGAGCAAGACAGCCTGAAATTCAATGTTCGCTGAGTGAGTGCTCTGGACATTCGACCACCAGTGAACAAACCCCCAGCACTGGCACCCGGAGCCTTGGGTCTACAGGCCCAGCCAGAGTGGGGGAAGGTGGGCTCGGACATGCAAAGCTGCCACCTGGGGGTGATGCCCAGGGCTGCCTTCTCCAGAGCTTCTCCTTGGAGGGGACAGAGCTGTGCCCCTGAGACTCTAGAGCCCACAGGGAAAGGCCTTCTGGGGCTGCTACCTGCTCCTTATGCCTTTCTGGGCCCCTCAGGGACATCAGTCCTGACGTGCCGCAGGGAAGGCCCCGTGGCTCTGAAGAGAAGGCATTGGAATAGGAACTATATTCCTTTGCTCGGGTGGGCTACTGTAACCAAGAACCACAGGCCAGGTGGTTTCAACAACTGAAATATATTCTCTCACAGTTCTGGAAGTCTGAAAATCAAAGTGTCAGCAAGGTTGGTTCCTCCTGCAGGCTGTGAGGGAGAATCTATTTCCTGCAGCTCTCCCAGATTCCAGTGGTTTGCTGGCAACCTTCAGCATTCCTTGGCTTGTAACTGCATCACTCCAATCTTCACACAGGGCGTCTGTCTTCCCATGGCCGCTTTTAAATAAGGACACCAGTCATATTGGATTAGAGGCCCACCCTACTTCAGTGTGACCTCATCTTAACTAATATCTACAATGACCCTAGTTCCAAATAAGGTCACATTCTGGGTACTGGGGGGTTAGGATTTAAATACATAGTTTTTGGCAGGGGACACTACTCAACCTGGACTTAAGTGTAGAGTAGGATTTGTTTGTTTTGAAGACAGAATCTCGCTCTGTCACCAAGGCTGGAGTGCAGCGGTCTGACCTCGGCTCACTGCAACCTCTGTCTCCTGGGTTCAAGCAATTCTTGTGCCTCAGCCTCCCAAGTAGCTGGGATTACAGGCGTGCGCCACCATGTCCAGCTAATTTTTGTATTTTTAAGAGAGACGGGATTTCACCACGTTGGCCAGGCTGGTCTCAAACTCCTGACCTCAAGTGATCCACCTGCCTCAGCCTCCCAAAGTGCTGGGATTACAGGAATGAGCCACCACGCCCGGCTGGATTGTGACCAAAGAAGTAGCACCCTCCTGATATTTGCTCTCCTAAATCTAGGGCAAGAGAGCTTTCCAGTATGACTTATTTGGGAGAAGACAAAAACGCTGGCGTGCTTGGGGCCAGGGCCTCTGGGGCAGGAAGGAGGCTGCCCTCCTGCATAATCGCTGTCTCTCCTCTGCCTGTGCACTGTGCTGGGAAGAATTAGGTCAGCCTTTGGGCTTTGCCATGAGGTAGCAGAAACTATTAAAAGCTGTCCTGTGAGCCGACTTAGAGCCCAGTGATTTAGCACGATTTGGAGAGAGGAGTGGCCTCACGCCTCTGCCTCATGGCTCTGCCTCTGGGGAAACCGCCCAGGTAAAGTCCACATGTATGCATCCCACGAAGCTGCCCTTCATCTCTCCAGGCCCCTTCCTGATGTGTCAATCTGCTTAACTAGTTGTGCATATGTCAGAGAGCTGTTTTGATAAGTAAATCAGATGGTTAGGGCAAGCTGGCACACAGCAAATGCATGAATTCCGGCCATTGCTAGGCTGAGTCAGGGAGGGATGCCCTGCAGAGAACACAGAAGGCATCTTACAGCGTAGAATTGCTGGGAATACAAGGGCAGACCAGACCAGGGGTGGAACGAGGGCAGCGGGCACGGGGAAAGGAGGTGCCTAGGATGATTCCCACTAAGAGATCCACAGGAATACGGAGGAGGCGCTGCCTCCCCAGACACGGACTTGAGCACCCCGGCTCTTAAAGCTCCCTCTTCCCGTGTGGTCTACTGACACCTGATGGTAAGTAATGGAAATGCAGCAAGAGTTGCAAGGTTTTTTGTGTGTGCGTTTTCTTCTTTTAATTTTACTTCTGTTAACAGGATTAAAAGTACTGCTGCCTCTTCAGACACACGGATACCTGCACCTATGGCTACTCTAAGTTTCCCCACGTACACTAACTGACACAGACCTGAAACTTATGAGGGCTTTACGCTGGGGTCCATGATGGTGCTGCTGCTGGGCATCTTCTTTCTGTTCAGGGCCAGGTCAGTCCCAGGGCAGGCTTCAGAAAAGAGTCAGGCCGGGCGCGGTGGCTCATACCTGTAATCCCAGCACTTTGGGAGGCCGAGGTGGGCAGATCACTTGAGGTCAAGGGTTTGAAACCAGCCTGGCTAACATGGTGGAACCCCGTCTCTACTAAAAATATAAAAATTAGCCAGGTGTAATGGCTCACACCTGTTAATCCCAGCTACTCAGGAGGCTCAGGCAGGAGAATTGCTTGAACCTGGGAGGCAGAAGCTGCAGTGAGCCGATAGCGCCATTGCACTCCAGACTGGGCCTGGGCGACAGAGTGAGACTGTCTCAACAAAAGAAAAAAAGGGGAGGGAAGAGTCAGTCCTTTCTGGGCCTAAAAATCTCTAGAGTAGAAGCTGTTGCTGCTACTTGATTACAATATGCCTTCCACACCTTGTCCTCCAACTAGCAAAAGAAACCCAGGCTGCCCCAGCCAACCCAAAGGGCTACAGCACAGCTGTCTCCGTCATTCTGAGCACCTGAGTGTTTGGATTTGGGGAAAGGAAGTGGGAGGAGGAGAAAGAGGAAGAGAAGAAGAGAGAACAGCTTGAGAAGGACACATCTGGTCCTTTCTAGAAATCTATTAAAAAATTAGAACTTCCTGGAGATGCCATGATGTGGTCAATCACCTATCTATGGATTAGGATTCAAGCCCTCTCTCGTTTTTTCGGGCACTGAGCTGAGAGGTAATTCTTGCTCTGGAATAACTGGTGACACAATCTGTAGGCATTGTCAGTGACCAAACTGAGCAGTGGTGGCTGGGCCTCGGGGTCTAAGGGAGCAGCCACAGCTGGGGAAGGTGGGCTCCCTCTCTCGGGCATGAGCAGCTGCTGCCTGGGGGTGATGCCCAGGGCTGCTTTCCCTGGAGCTTCTCCTCGGGGGAAGGGCACTCGCTCCCTGATGGGACAGGGCTGTGCCACCAAGACTCAGGGACCTGCAGGGGAAAGGCTTCTGGAGCTGCAGACGAAAGGCTTCTGAAGCTGACACTTGCTCCTGGTGCCTTCCTGGGTCCCTCAGGAGCCACAGGATCTTGTCTTGTCCTCAGGCTGTAACTAACCATCTCTAGTAACTACCCATCCCCGTCCTCTGAGACCTGCTCGTTGCTGGGTGTCATATAACAGAAATGAGAGGTCCTCTGGGTTAGTGGGTGCATCAGACCTTCCAGCTGCCATGCTGACCACCCTCAGGGCAGCTCTGTGGGGGCCTCTCTTTTAATATGGTTAGGAGTCGTGGTGGTGGACATGAAGAGAAGATACTACTAGGTCAGAAGAGTTTGGTATTTTATTTTGCTCTTATGAAAAGGGTGCCAGTCCCAAGCCTGTCTTTCCTGAAATAGTTTTACTTAGGAATACAATTCTGGTAGCCCTAAGGTTAGCCATCCTACTAAGAAATTTTGCATACCCACATTTATAGCCATTGACTTTATTTCTCTGATAACACTTAAGGGCCTGGTCATAACCTTCTTACCCTACAATACAAAGACAAAACAAACAAAAAACCACAGTCTTTGGAGAACAAGCTATGAGTTAAAGCCAGGCTGGTCACACACTACCTATGTGAAATTGGGCAAGTTACTTAACATCTGGCTTCAGTACCATCATTAATAGAACGTCTCTCATCAGCCACATGAGAGACACAAACATTAGCCTCCTCTGGACACTCAAGGCAACTTAAGATCACTAATTCTTCTAGGAGACATGGAATCTTACTCTTTTCCCTTTGTTTTGAGATCATGAGATCATAAAATGGTTTGCATCTACTTTTGATTTTTTTTCTTTCTCCTTTAAAAAAATATTTTTTTAAACATGTCATCCTTGTGCAGGAGCCACGCTAATCTTCTCTGTATCATTCTAATTTTAATGTATGTGCTGCTGAAGTGAGCACCTACTTTGGATGTCTACAATCACCCGGTGATACAGAGATAATCCCTGCTCAGATTGCTTTACAGATAAGGAAACTAAGGCTAAATGACATAGTCATTGAGGCATGGGCCTTGAATCTCTCAAAGCTGTGAACTCATTTTATCATAAAAATATAAGACTTGTTTTTCCTTTTCTTTTAGAGACAGGGTCTGGTTCTGTTGCAAGCGCTAGAGTGCAGCGGCATGATCATAGCTCACTGCCACCTTGACCTCCTAGGCTCTAAAGATCCTCCTGCCTCAGCCTTCTGAGTAGCTAGAACCACAGATACAAGCCACCAGGCTTGGCTAATTTTCATCTTTATTTTTGTAGAGACAGGGTCTTGTTATGTTGCCCAGGCTGGTCTCAAACTTCTGGTCTCAAGTCATTCTCCTGCCTTGGCCTCCCAGAGCGCTAGGATTATAGGTGTGAGCCACTGCACCTGGCCCCTAGGCTTTTTTTTTTTTTTTTTTTTTTTTTTTAGGGATATTATTAGAGATGTAGAAATGGAGGCGATGAGACCAAACAGTTCCCCACTTACCCAGAGGACCTCTCATCTCTCATTTCTACTGTATGACATTTCTGCCGTTTGTCACGCAATCAATTAGAAAAAGGCAAAGCCAGGATTCAAACCCAGATACTCTGGTAGATATTTTATAGTGTTTTCTCTTAATCTTTAACAGTTTATTGTCCCCATTTATATGATAAATAGGGTCAGAGATAGTAAACAACTTGTCTAAATTCTCATAACGTAATGGTAGAACATAGATTTCGTCTCGGATCTGCTGTTCTCCAAAGCCCATGATTTTCCATGTTAGGCTACCACAATCTGAGGACCTTTCTGCACAGCAGGAACACAGAGTGACAGAAGGAATCTCCACTAGATTTCGGCATTCCTGACTTCCAATCCCAGTTCTTCCACTAAATCTAGGTCAGTTACTTGGCCTCCCTGAACCTCAGGTAGCGGGCAGTAATGTTCTCCCTGCCCTATCTTCAATATTAGAGGATAGTGGGCTGAGGTGGGCATGGGGGTTCGTGCTGACAACAGCAATGCACTTGGAATCTTTCCTGGGCTCTTGAGGAAAACTCTCTTCCTTATTCCTTCTTTTTACATGGCAGCAGCAGAGTACTAAATGCCTCCCCAGAGAGCTCCGGTTGCTTGAATTTGTGTTAATGTCACTTCCTGTATGTTGGTATTTGTATTTTTCAAAGCAAGGGGAAGACCAGGAACAGAGCCCACGAGGCAGAGCTGGTGGAAAGTGCCAGGTCTGATCTAAGAAAAAGATCCTGTTGTCCTCAAGCTGAGAAGCCAGAGCTTCCCATTCCAGGCTTCTGTACAGGTCTGTAGGGGAAACAGCAATGGCCCCCTAAGGTGTTTATTCTATCCTGTTCTAGAAAGGGAACTCACCACCTCTAGAAAAAGTGATCAGGAGTGGTGAGTTTAGCAGTGTCCTGCCTTGGGTGAAATGTCCATTCATCATGTAAAAGCTCTGCTGCTGGCTTTCAGTCTTGGATTGGCATCCCCTGGAGTTTGATTTGGTGATACACAGGAGGGACAGGAAAAAGCCCATCATTACCTAGACAAGATGGCAAGAAAGAAGTCCCAGGTGCTGCCCAAGAGGGATCCTGGGCACCGCCAGGGCACACTGGCCACAGGCCAGAGTCAGATTTCCTGGATTGTAGAAATCATGTGGGCTCCCTGTCCTCCACCCATTTGGGGACCTTAAAATGAAGAAAGCTATCTTTGCAAAGTACATGGCTTTCCACAAGAAATACAGATGGCTTAAAAATGTTGGAATTCTATGACAACCTGGTTTACTTTAATACAGTATACTTTTTTATGCATTAAATTTGCAAGGTTTTTTGTTTTTGTTTTTGTTTTTGTTTTTTTTTTTTTTCCTATTACAAGTCAGGATGGTGGTTTCTGGAGAGAAAGGGGAGATGGTTAGTCACTGAAAGGGGACAGGATGGGGACCTCTGAGAGGCTGGAAATGTCCTGTCTAGTAACTTGGGTCTTGTTACACAGGTGTGCTTATTTTGTGGAAATGTATCAAGCTATCACATTAATGATCTGTGCAGTTTTCTATGTATGTTACTCTAATAGAAAATTTTCTTAAAATTAAGGTGTTTCTGGTTTTAGGGTTTTAACAAGAGTGAACACCCAGTGCTAGAGAGGGTGCAATGAAATCACGGTGAGACCAAAGGCTGTCATAAATCTTTTTTAAAGCAGTGGAGCCAATATAAGTAATGAGCTTTGGTAGTGTTCATATTCTTTGTCCTATACTTTTGGAAGTCTCTTAAATATCCCAGAACACGGACGAATATTTATGTACCAACAAATTCATCACAGTGTAAGCAAAAGTTGAAAATATGCTAAATGTTAAACAACAGAGACAATATGGGTATATTTATGATAAAGTGTTATATAGCCATTAAACTGAATGCTTAATAAGTGCAGTTTCCCATGCAATTAAGAGGCAGAATGAAAAATTTATGTTTCTTTAGTTTCAACTATATTAAAGCACTTGGAGTCTCATAGTAAATAAAGACCTGGTTTTTCTTAAGAAACGACATTAAGTATATCTTTAAAAGCTCAGTAAATAAGCTGGAAGCTACTTGCTTCCTGAATAAATCCGATTATTGGGCATTATAAAAAACCCCACTCCTGCACACTGCCAGTGAAAATAGAAAACAGGGGAGCCACTTTGGTAAGTCGTTTGGTAGTTCTTCAGAAGGTTAAACACGGAGTTATCATATGACCCAGCCATTCCACTCCTAGGGATATACTCAAGAGGAATGAAACATACACCCACACAAAAACTTGTACATGAATGTTGATAGCAGCACCAATGGCCCAAAGGCATATACAACTCAAATGTCCATCCACCAATGAACGGATACACACAAAGTAGTATATTCATATAATATTATTTGGTAATAAAAAGAAATGAAGCCTGATTATGTGTTATGACCTGGATGAACCTGGGAAACATTATGCTAACTGAAAGAAGCACTGTATGATTCCATTTATAAGAAATATCCAGAACAGGCCGGGCGCGGTGGCTCACGCCTATAATCCCAACACTTTGGGAGGTCGAGAAGAGTGGATCACTTGAGGTCAGGAATTCAAGACCAGCCTGGCCAACATGGTGAAACCCCGTCTCTACTAAAAACACAAAAATTCGCCAGGCATGGCGGTGCGCGCCTATCATTCCAGCTACTCGAGAGGCTGAGGCATGAGAATCACTTGAACCTGGGAGATGGAGGTTGCAGTGAGCTGAGATCACGCCACTCACTCCAGCCTGGGCGACAGAATGAGACTCCGTCTGAAAGAAAAAAAAAGAAAATCCAGAACAGGCAAATCCATGGACAGAGAAAGATCAGTAGCCGCCCGGGACTGGTAGGGTTGGGGAGAAATGGAGAGTGGCTTCTAATGGGTACAGTCTTTTGGGGGTGGGGAGAGAATATGAAAATGTTGTAACATTGATTGTGATGGTTGCACACTCTGTGACTATACTAAAAATCACTGAATGGCACTTTCAGTGGGTGAATTAGATGGTATGTGAATTATATTGCAGTAAAGCTGTTAAATACACACCCACTCACACACACACGCCCGCACACACACGTAACTCTTCTCTGCATCACCTTCAATGGTTCAGCGCACATTCTGTGCTTCGGTCATCATCTATTAAGGCGGGTTCTTCTGTAATCAGGGTATGCAGACTTAATCTGTTATTACATTTCTTCATGCCAGCCCTTATTGGCTTAAAATATATCTTCCACACTCATGTCGATCTTTCAGAATCCTTAGCAAAACGCATGGATAACTCCCTGGTATTTTCACAGGTTGTTGAAGCACTTAGAAGTAAACCACCTAGGCCCCATCTCTCTCTTTCTCTCTCTCCCTCCCTCTCTGGATAACCCAGAAATGTGCACACAAACCTTTCAGCTCTTATTCCACCCCTGCCTTCTGGTGGAGGTGGAGGAGGGCTACTGCATCTCACACTTCAGCCTGGTCTCATTCCTCATCGTCTCACAGGATTCACCCTTGCCACTTCAGTTCCTGGGGTCTCCTGATGGGAAACAGGGGTAGCAAAGGCCAGAAAGAAGCACAGTGGAGGATGGTTTCCTGAACCCTCCCTGAAAACCAAAGTGGCTGAAGGAAACAACAGCAGACCCATGAGAAGCAAGGGGCTTTTGCCTGTGTGCAGTGGCTCGCGCCTGTAATCCCAGCACTTTGGGAGGCCGAGGCAGGTGGATCACTTGAGGTCAGGAGTTCGAGACCAGCCTGGCCAACATGGTGAAACCTCGTCTCACTAAAAATACAAAAATTAGCCAGGCGTGGTAGCACGCACCTGTAATCCCAGCTACTCAGGAGGCTAAGGCAAGAGAATCGCTTGAGTCCGGAGGCAGAGGTTGCAGGTTGCAGTCAGTCAAGATCGCACCACTGTACTCCAGCCTGGGCGACAAAGTGAGACACCTCAAAAAAAAAAAGAAGAAAGGGGCTTTTGAGAAGTACTGCTAAAGGACCACAATTCCCCTCATGGCACATGTAATCTAAGGAATTCAATAGAACTTTGTTATTTGGAAATTATTTTTGTTTTTCAACGGAGCCCTCAGATTAAACCACACGGCTGTTTTGTAATCTCATGTACTGAAAGTTTACACCTTAAACACATCTCTTCTTGACATGATTCCCATAATCTTATATATATGTGGTCCTCAGGAGAAAGCAGCCAGAATTGCCGTGGGCTTTGGCTTAAGAAGACAGAAGGGCAAAGCCACAGGTGGTAAAGTCATGATTGTTGAAAGGTTCTATATGATAAAGTGTTAAATTTCCTCAAAGTCATAGGATTATGGAACTCTCTTCTTCATGCTTACCTGCACTTTCCAAGTTTTATCTGAACAATGAACATCTAGTAGGTAAATCACTAATGAAGCTTCCTTGGTGCTAGGGCCACACTTGAGTGCGACTGAATAGTAGATCCTGGGGAAAAGTATAGTAGAACCAGAGAATAGAATGTCTTACGTCAGAGTATATTGAGGTTTCCAGCAACCTAAGCTTGAATCAGAGTCCCAGCCTCTGTGAGTTGGTCTCAAGGCCCATGGTCCGTGCTCGCTTCCAGCTCCAGCTTCCCGCTTGGGAGAGGCCTTGGTTTCCATGAGCTGAGCCTCTAGATTTTGGAGAAGATTTTCTATGGACAACACAGACCCAATAACAAAAGTACTATGGGAGGAGGCTAGATCTGACTTCTAAACCTGTTCAGTTACCAGAGAGATCAGTAACTCCCTAACTCATAAAGGGAGGGATGGTTAAGCGAACTAGAAATATTTAGACTGAAGACTTAGAAGTGGCCAACTATCTTCAGAATGGTAGAGGGTAAACACCTGGGAGAGCCGTAGGGGACAGCCCAAGGATACCCCTCCGTGAAGTTAGAGGGAGGCAAGTTTCTTGGTTTAGGAAGATTATTCCAACGACCAGAGATGCCCATCTGTGAGTAGACTGCCTCCTGACACCGTCCCACCTTCACCAGAAGCTGGATCTCACTGCTTCAGATGCTCAGAAAGCCCTTCAGTTATCAGGAAAGGGCTGGACCAGGTCATCCTTGCCATCTCTCTACCCTGACCTCCCAATTCCACAGTACAGGGCTCCTTACACCGATTTCAGTTTATTTTTATCAGAGCATGTTCCCTTACAGTCCCCAGGCTAACATGCAGCCCCAAAAAAAGCACTATTTGATTCAGTGAACTGTTGACTGCCAGTCACTGATCCGGAAGTGTCTGTTTCTAGAACTCAGTGTTTAGCCACTGCCACACCATTCAGGGGCTGCTGCCCTCTTGTGGAAATGAAGAATACGACTGCTTAGAAAAGAAATTAGATGCATTTGGAGGCTATTGTCTGTACACACATTCCCATCTTACCTTCCCCTAAAAGCTTAACATTTTAGTGTGAGCCCTAAGCTTAACTTTTTAGTGTGAGCCCTGAAGTTCCTAGGTCCAGACAGTCAGGGCCTTTGGTTTACATTCACGCTACCATTCTGTCCACCAGGATATGGAACTTTAGCCACAATACAAAATCCTGGTTTCTAGCGAGATTGACATTTGTGAAGACCATTTTGATGTGTGGAGTGGCCTTTGGATGTTAACATTGTGCTGTGGGAAGAGCACTAGCCCACGCTTAAAGACCCAGGTTCCAGCTCGTGTTCTGCCATTCCCTTGTGACCCTGGACGAGTCATTTTCCAGTTGCATCTGTGGATAAAGGGCTACATGACCACTGGTACCTGGAACGCTGTAATTTATTGGATTTAGAAAATGCTCTAGGAGTTTAGAGATGAAATTCTGTGGAGAACAGTGGCATATCACATGTGCACTACTTGTAGCTGCTAACCACAGCAAACAGCCACGGGCTTGATTCTAGGTTAGGCACCCTCAGGCTCCTACAAAGGAGACCTAGGCATTGTTCATGTGTGCCTCAGCCTCAGGGATAGCCATGGTCAGATGCTTTGCTTTTCCCTTAAGTAGAAATGTGGCAGACTGTTCAGGGAGGGTCCCACAATTCCTAGCCTTCACACGTGTCTGAAAAACACTTACTAAGTTTTCTGGACGAGTTTTGCCACTAGCTCAGGATACAAAGCTCTGTGACCCATTAGTGACTGGAAGTGATTTCTCATTGTTTCCAAATATCAGTCACCCGCTCCTTGTTACCACTGCAGGGCTTCATATGGAGGAGGGGGCAGCTGGGGACACCACAAGGTTTGCCTGAGTGTGAGGCAGGTGTTCAACCCCAAACTGGAAAAATGGCTTGAAATAAAACTACAGTTGGTAGCTGAGTAAGGAACATGACTGTTTCATTTTAAAAAAACCCACTTCCTTCTTAAGTTTTCCCACAAAGGATAATTTTCCCTCAAGAACTGCCTTGCCAAGTATTTCTTGTTGTAGTCTCTAAATGCTATTTTAAATGTAGTCTGGGGAACTATTTTCCGTTGGCTCCTAATACTGAATTAAGCTAACTTGCCCTTATGATAGTAACAAAAAATTTCAAGAGCAGAGGATGCTTTGTTGACCTCAGACGATTTGTACCCTCACACTTGCTGAAAATAAAACATCTTAGCGAGGTATTTATGACATTAGTCTGAAAACATTTTTTCACTTACATGAAATCTTACACAATGAAGTGGCAGTCAACTGCAAGAATAAATGCCGAATGAGTCATTTTAGTTAGCCTGACCTTTGAGGACACTTGGCTTCGTAGCAGGTCTTTTCATTAGGTCTTATTCTGGTATAAAAAGGCTCCTTCAGAAAATGTTTTCACTAAAAAATAAGTTACAAACTAACAAGAGTGCTATATAACCAACAATTCCTAAGTATTATGTAACAGTAATAAGGCAAATTCATCTTAAAAAAGGTTTACTAGTAACAGTGGCCTGCTATGGACCAGGCACTGTCCTAGTGTTTTACACACAAAAATCTCCAGTCCTTACAACAACCCTAAAAGGCATACAAGCAGACAAGCAGACTCGAATTTGTTGAATGATTAAGCAAGGCCATATAGTACTGGTAGAATCCGAAAGAGAACTCAGGTCTACCCAGTTCTTCTTATGATTAAGCTTTTTCCTCTCCATCTCCTGAAAGCTGCCTTGAACTGGAGTGGGGAGAAATGGGAGGCTCCATGACAGCATGCCCTGTGCTTTCACCAGGTTTCTATATATACAGGACATCCATGTGAGATTTTATGTGAAACAGGTTTTGGCTTGCTTCAAGCTGTATTTCACTATTTAGCACCCTCTTTTGCTCACAGCAGATGGGCTCTAGAGGTCCTGACTAGGCCTGAAATGAGGAACGCTGGGGAGCACCTGTAGGAATGCTCAGCCCTGGATCAAACTACAGCATGCTGTAAGGGACAGTACCAAAAAGAATGACAAGGGCAGTGTGGAAGCCATGTCCCTGCAACACAAGGGCTGGTTCCCAATCCTGGTTATGATGCTCAGAGCTGTGAATTGAAGAGATGTGTGATTACATATTTGCTTGTTGCTTTCCTCGTTAGAAGATAGAGAGTCACTTTAGTTAAGGTCCATTTAATTTAACATTTATTTTCATTTTATATCCAGATGTCACATTTTCTACATTAAAATATAATCATGCTGACTCCCCCAACCCCCAGCCCTCAGAGAAAAAAGTGAAGAACTTTACACAACATGAAAGATGGAATGCACGGGGTAGGGAAGTTGCTATTGCACCCAAGTAACAAAGAACACAGAGAGACCAACAGGACGCATGGCAGAACTGCATAGAAGATCGCTCAGGGCTCACGTCAGGAAGGCGCAGGAATTCAGAAAACTCTAAAGCTTGGAAATGCTATCGTTTGTGCCACAAAGATTACCCTGAAAAGGTAGAGAGAGGTCAAAAAGCAGAACCAAATTGGGGATTTTCAAAGGCTGCTCTCTAACAGAGTTTAAAATATCCGTAAACATAAGTGCTTCTGCTCCCTCCCCTTGCCTTCAGCATCTGGTAAACACTTTAGAAACTTAAACCACTGTTAGCATGTCAGAATGTAGAAAGGCTGTAGGTTTTTCTTTCTTCTCATCTTGTACCCCAAACAACAACTCTACTGGCAATTGTAATCATGTGACTCCTCTGCTTGGAAACCCAGTAAGGATCACCAAGACAAGGGGTCTCACTGCTACCAGACAGATACCAGCTGTGCAAAAAGTTGCAGGATTCTGTGTATTATTTGGAGAGGGAGAGCTGTAAGACACAGGAATCCCAATACGTAAGTACTAAAGAGAAAAAGAAAACTCCTTTCACTCATCTATTCATTATATAGGAAAGAGCAAAAAGACAGTCAAAACCATCTGCTTCGAGCAGCAGCACAGCCCAGCAATACAGGCATACCAACAAACCGAAAGCAAACACTCAGGAAAGAGCCTCTTGGCCCTTCTCAAAGGAGACTTCTCTCAGACTGGATCTTGCCCCTAATGTAGAGACCAAAGCATTATAACTTCAGAGACTGGTACTCTTGAGGGAGTTGAGAGGTAAGGTCTAAGAGACCCAAATAACAAGACTGTTATCAGGTAACTAACTACTCCACTATGTACAATACATACAGCAATAAGAAAACGCCACTCCATCCCTGCAGCACTTTAAACATAGCACTGAGGACCCAGGTAGGGGGATATTTTAAGGTCTGTTAGCAGTTTAAAACGTTGCAACACTGGCACAATATGTTACCTATTCTTTGTTTTTAATTACAGGGTAACATGGTAAACTCCAACACAAAGGTGGGAACCGAGAGTGCAAAAGGAATAAAGAAAACAGAACCAGTATTTCACAAGAGCGCGGAGCAATGCAGAAGCAGCAGCTAATGCTTTGCAGAGTCTCGAGGGTAAAATTCGCTGAGGGTGCTCTGAGGGATTCTCTTCAGCATTTCTTTGGGGAAGATTCGGAGTAGCTGCCAGCCAATGTCCAAAGTCTCAAAGACAGTGCGATTTTCGTAAGGACCTTAAAAAATTGAGATTGAATTAATAAATGCAAATGACTTCCAACTTAGCAGTGTTATCCAGTATGTATTGTTATATGACTAGCAGTGTATTAAATAGATATTGAAAAAAAAAAGTTGGGACTCCCAAGACTAAATGAGAAGGACTGAGGAAAAGAAGGCACAGACAGTGAGTATCATAAGGAACCAGAGAAGAGGGAAGAGGCGGCTGGGCTGAGACAGGGAGCAGTCTTGCGGGAGAGGATGGTGAGACAGATCTGAGATTTGACAACTGGGTAGGATACTTGAGCAATGGAAACTAGAATCAATGTTTTGTCCAGAGATTAGTAAGAAAAGTCTCCCTAGCACAGAAGGTTCACACAAAGAGAAAAGGCTGAATTTGAAGGCGACTAACACAGATGCTCAGAAGGACATAAATGCCAGTCAAGCACCTGAATACATGCAACCCTCTCCAGAGTATCACTATCTGAAGGTCAGTGGTTTCCCAAGTTGTTAAAATTATTTTTGATGGCAGAATCATCCTTATCCCCACAAATAAATCTTATTCTTTGAGTCCAAGGCTGGAGGTCTGGGTTCTTTTCTCTAGAGGAAAACTTTATTTTGTTTAAGATATTCAGGTTCTGCATTAAAAAAATTCCAATAATCATGAATATTTTGGGGATTTGAATATTAATAATGTATCATATAACTGGAAAGGTGCACATCCTAAGTGTACAGCCTGATGCATTTATTCCAAAGTAAACACACCTGTTGTAACCACCGATGTTAAGAGAGTATCACTAGCATTAGCAGGGGTGATGGGAGAGACCAAGCAAAACAGCTTGAAAATCCTGCCTATGCTATGTCATAAAAACCACTACAGGTTTTTTTAGTAGAGGGACAACCAATAAAATTAGTAATATATTTACCCTGGCAATGGCACACAAAGAGTCAAGAAGAGTGGTGAAAAAGTTGGCACCAATGGCCAAGGGTGATGGGACAAAGGTTTGGACTAGAGCCTTTGGACTCAAGAGTGGTCAGAGACCAGCAGCTTCAACATCACCCAGGAATTCACAGAAATGCAAAATCTCTGTCCCCACCAAGGTCTGCTGCATCTGAATCTGCATTTTAACAAGATCTCCAGCTGATTCAAAAGCATATTAAAGTTTAAGAAATACAGGACTAAGGCATTATAATGGAAATAAAAACTGAATAGGGTAAGATATTTCAAAAGAAAACAACACAAATTAGTAAATAATTGATCAATGGACAATAAGCAAAGAAGGTTAAGAATAATGCCCAGTTACTGAGCTTGAGTTAACTGGGACAATGATTATAGCAGAGGTAGATAAAAATTGAAAGGGCACTGCTAGGCAGGTCAGCTGGAAAAAAAACTTTGGTTCTGAGTACACTGAGCCTGAGGGGATGGTGGCATAAACAACAACGGTGTTCCTAAGGCAGCTGGAGATTGTGGAATCAGAGGTCTGGACAGTGGGTAAAGGTCCACACATCATAGAGCCCACAGCACAGTGAAAAGTGGACGCTGGGAGGGAAAGCAGAAAGAACAGGTAACTGAGCTTTTTGGATTACTAACAATTAAGAGGCAGGAAGGTAAGAAATGAGAAAAAGAGATGAATATAGATGAATCAGGAAAGTCCCAAGCCCCAAATGTCAAAGCAGATCATTGCTAAGAAGTTAGCAGCAAGGAGAACTGGCAATGAAGTTGTACCGCAGAGGGGCTGGGAAGGAGGATTCAGAAGGGCGATGGAAGAAGGAAAACAGTGAGATGGTAGCTGAGTAACTGGAAAATCAAGTCAAGATCTCCCAAGATGTTTAGAAGGCAGAGGAGAAGCCAGAGGGTTAAGGCAGGCAGGTGACAGAGCCTCTTCTCTAACCAGAGAAATAACTATATAGAAACCAATGAGAATTTTCTTAGGCTTGGAAAGCAGTTTTCAAAATTACATATGAGGCTTTTTATGTTTGTAAGCCAACAGTCATCTTACCCTGAGCAATGAAGTTCCTCTCAAACTTCTGCAGAAATTCCAAGTAGAGAAGATCATCTGAGGTAAGGGCTTCTTCTCCAACGACAGCTTTCATGGCTTGCACATCCTTTCCAATAGCATAGCACGCATACTAAAGAGAAGAAAGGCACCCATCAGCAGAGAGAAGCTCTCAAAATGTTCAGTCATCTGGGATATAGGAATGTACTGCTCTAGTTCTCCTCACAAGAGCCCATAGAAGGAATTTACAAAAACAATTCACATAAAATTCATATGAAAGTACCAGAAGGACTATATTCTCACTCAGAAAGGAGTCTTCAGGCATACAATACACAAGACACTCCTAATGTTCTACAAAACGCACACTTCTTCAATATGTTAATGAGCTCAAAATTTATAGAGCACTTGAAAATCAGAACTCATAGTTAAACCATGGAGAAATCCATCTTGAAGTTCTATTCAAAAAAAATCTGTGATATCGCTAAGTTTACCATTTCTACTTTATGGCCATAGTGTTTTTCTTTATTTGTGTTAGTGTACAATCTTATATGAGTATAAAAATCAAGGATTTCAGAGCCTACATAAAACTGTATACTTTAGTGTTCTGGTGACGGCTTAATATGTTAAGCAAGAAATAGGTCAGAGTAGCCTTTCAGGAATACTCTATAATTAACATTAAAATTGCTAATAAAAAATTTAAACAACCTCATTGCTTGGCTTTTTATTTGGAAACTTGATAGCATTAGACATGGGTTTCAAGCTAATCTTGATCATTTGCATCTGTCCTTATGGGAAAAGGCTGCTTTGGTTCTAATGAATGATTATGTATTCCACATCAAGCCTACACTAAAATTCCATGTGGATGGGGAAGAGAGAAGTGGTAAGGGTGAAAGACAAGAGGTGTAAGACAGCAGAAACGTATCCATATTTTCAAACACCATTCTTAGAAGAATGTACATACTAGCTGGTTAGATACATCGGCATGATCCTTCCTGGTCATCCCTTCTCCAATAGCAGACTTCATTAACCGTGATAGTGAGGGCAGCACATTGATAGGTGGATAAATCTTGGGTAGAATGAGAGGGAAAAAATACTATATTTAAGTACAAAACTCAAGTTTTACTGGTAATAAAAAAACATTTGAAACTCATTATTACAACTTAAATCAAAGACAACCGCTGCATTTGTCTCCTAGATGAATCCTACTGTCTCTTCCTGGCAAGAAAAGGTAGTAAGAAACACTTTATAGCATAGCATTTCTTTCGAGAATCAAATCCAAAAAAGTGTCATCTATAACACTGTACAAGACTATTTTAAAAAACTCAACTTTCAACATCTGTTTGATAAGTACTACCACATTATCGAGTCAAAATGGTCTTCTGAACTGACTCAAAAAATTATACACAAAATAAAAAAAATTAACAATAATTCCTAAAAGCTGATTTTAGAAGTCAGCATCTACTAGAGAGGCATGGAAAAGTCATTTTTTTCTATCAATAACAAGATTGGTAGATGATACCATTATGGAACAGAATTCCCAAAAAAGTTCTTGGAGACAAGTGACTCTGTTTTAAGACACAATAAAGGAAAGTGTTAAGAAGATTCTTAATTCTGGCGCTCTGCCGACACCAGAATTTAAGATAATAGAAATGACAATTTTATAACCATATTAAAAACAATTCAAGTTGATACTTTCTAAGCAAAGCAATTCCTAAGAGCAAAATCCAAGTCACTAAAGAATAACGGATGAGCAGGTCTGCAAGCTTCCCAGCACTGCTCCCGTCCAGTACCTGTCTGTTGTGCAGCTGTCTGTCCACATAGATCTGCCCCTCTGTAATGTAGCCAGTCAAGTCTGGGATGGGGTGAGTGATATCTACCAGAGGAAGACAGTTGGCATTAAGCATGGCATCTTTAGGTTATGAGTTTTAAAGCGGCCATCTCTCAGAACCAAACCCACAAAAAGTCCCTCTGTACTACCTGTAACATTACTTAGAAGAGTGTTCTTAGAGTCATTTTCTGTGATGCTGCCAATGTTCTGTGTCTGTGCTGTGCAGTACGGTAGCCATTAGCCAAATGTGGCTATCTAACACTTGAAACGTGGCTAACAAAACTGAAAAACTTAATTTCAATTATTTCAGTTAACTTGAACTTAAACAGCCAAATGTGGCTAGCGGCAACCATACTGGCCAGTTTAGTTTGGTTGCAGCAGTTAGACATGTGTTGGCTCTATGAGGTAAACTGGCTGCATTCATTAAAAATACTCTCTCCCCTAGGTAAGCGCTCTCCCCTCTCAATATAAGTAAAGTTTCATTTTAAACCCAAAGTTCCCTTATAGAAATTTGCCAACCTGATGTATACTAAGAACATTCTTAGTTCATAAGCTATGTCGGATGGATACACAACATTTCACCATGCAAAACGCAGGCATATAGACAAGTAAACAACACTACACAGGCTGCACCAAAAAGGTCACACAAAGCAACACATTTCCAAATCTGTTAAATTACATCATTTTGTAGCTACTCCCTTGGAACAAATCATTTTCACGTCAGAGGCAGTACAGAGTAACAGTGTGAGTTATGAACTCAAACTGGGTCCTAAATCTATCACTTGCTAATCTCAACAAATCATTTGACCTCCCTGTGCCTCAAACAGCATCTGCCTCAAAGTTGCTATGAGGAGCAAATGAGTGAATATTTATAAAGCACTCAGAACAGTGCTCAATTACAGTAAGTAATAACTTACCATATTTTGTCAAAGTGTTGTTCAAAAACTGAAATAAGGACAAAGAGGCAACACAGGAGAGGAATTCTGAATAGTCGTACCCCATCCTGGGCACACACACAGACAGGCATTGGAAAGTCATTTTTAACCAGCCCTTGGTTAAAAAAATCTGTCTCTCAGTTTTGTGGAGTTTCCCACTTGTACTCCTCATGTGGCACTGAACATGGCCATGTTAAATTACCGGTGCACACACATAAAAAACATCCCCAATTAGACTGAGTAACTTACATTAAGTAGAGACCATAAATTCTTTTCAAAAATTCTTTACATTTAGAACAGTGTCCTGCAAACAGCAGGCACTCAATAGTACCTAATAAAGTTAAAAACTTAAATTATGAAGAAAATTGCTTTTCCTCCACAATAGGATAATAACTGTGGGTAATTTTCAAATGAAAAATGTTTTATTTAGGCAAATAACCAAGATAAACTCTTAGGGGATGTGTTCTCAAAATAACTTCAACTCGAAAAGGTAGATGGGTCTTCTCTCTCTTTAAAATGATTAGGTGTGTTATAATCCAAATACCAAAACTTACCATCATTAGGCATGGTTAGAATAGGGATTTGAGTAATCGAGCCGTTTCTCCCTTCCACTCGCCCAGCGCGTTCATATATCGTGGCTAAATCTGTATACATGTAACCTGGAAAACCTCGTCGACCAGGTACCTCTTCCCTGGCTGCTGAAACCTGACAGCAGGTCAAGCAGAAGAGTATCATGCACGATATTACAACAAGCTTGCTTACAACATGTTTGTTTCAACATGCCAAAGTACAAAGTTGAAAATCCCATCATGTTCATTTTAAATACTGTCCTTAAGAATGATTTAGAAAAATCTCCCGGCAACATAAATTCAAAGTATTCTGTAACAAAAATGTTGACAATGGGGCACCAGAAGGTTTTTGCTAAAATCGTATTGCCATAATGTAAGTTTTCAAATAGTTTGCTAGAAGAAAATCTGTTTGCAATTTTATAAATCAAAGGAAGTTAATTTTAAAACAGAAAAGATTCTTGGTTCACAAGATTTATTCCACGTGGTGGAACTAGCCATATTTATCTAACCTAATCCCAAAAAGGTCAAAAGGGAAGGAAATGTACACGAGGAATCATCTGCTGCGCTTTACAACATTATTTAACTTAATCCTCACAGCAACCCTATGAGGAAGGTGCTACCTCCAATTAACAGTTGGAATCAAGGGTCAGAAAAATTAAACAATTTCTGAAGGTCACAAAGTCAGGAGTCCATTGCACTGCACAAAATAAGAATGGTGATAAACGATCTTTCCCTTAGAGACATGGATACCAGACTATAGGTGTGCATGTTCACCTACAATCAACTAGAACCCTAAAGCATTATGAAATCCAACTTCTAAGTGCTACTCTGACATCTTCAAAGGAGCGTGCTACAGCGGTGCTCCTCACAGCACGGTCTGCAGACCAACTGTTATCAACATGCAATGATCACACAGAAAGCAAGATAAGCATTTAGAAACTTTCAGGGCAATTTGGCAGAATAATTTTATGCCTGTTGAATCTAACAATTCTAAAATCTGCATTTGTAAATTATATATATAGTTAAAATTTCACTTTTCTAATAACTCAATTTTATTGCATTTTACAAAAGTATTGGTCTGTGATGGATGGGGGAGAAAAACTAGTCCTTGACTAGAGTTAGTCTGAAACAGCAATATAGCAGAGTAAGATATGGTGAGGGCACTGAAGGAATTTTAAGAAGCCTGTCTCTTCAGAATCTTTTTATGTGCTTAAAAAAGTAACTTACTCAAAATTTCAGTAATTTGTATTACTGAACAAATACCCCAAAACTTCTAGGGGTAACTGTTATAATCTTTCTTTAAGAAGCAGGTCTCGATCTGTCACCCAGACTGGAGGGCAGTGGCACAATCATAGCCCACCGCAGCCTCAAATTACTGGACTCAAGCTATCCTCCCACCTCAGCCTCCTGAGCAACTAGGATTACAAGTGTGTGTGCCACTACGCCCAGCCAATATCTTAATTTTTTTGTGGAGAAAGGGTCTTGCTATGTTACCCAGGCTGGTCTTGAACTCCTGATCCCAAGTGACCCTCCTGCCTTGGCTTCCCAAAGTGCTGGGATTACAGGAATGAGCTACCGTGCCCAGCCTGCTAGAATCTTAATATTTTTCCTAAATAAACACTGGGTTTTCTGAAGAAAAAAGTGCTGAAGAGAGTACTGTGAGAGTAGGGTCTTTATAAAATATTAACATCATTAAAAATGGAATTACAAAAAGGTTTAAAAATTAATAGTCTGGACAGAAACAGAACTTCCCGAGAGAGTAACTGAATAAACAGCTTGAATTATTTACTCCCTTTTACAATCATTTCTTAATCCATGGAGATAGTGACAGTATGATAAACAGGCTAACCATTTAAATCTTAACCTCTAATCACTTCTACCAAGTTGACAAAAACGAAGTAGTTTCCTTTCTGATTTATTAAGGCATTCTATTAATATATGAACAGTGGAATTAAAAAACCATAAAGAATGAAAACTTGCAAAGTGACAAGTTAACCCTGAAAATTAACCAATTTTGTTTAACTGAGGGAAAAACATGAACAACTTACCTCTCGAAGTGCTTCAGCATAAGAACTCATGTCTGTTAGAATAACCAATACATGTTTCTCACATTGGTACGCCAGAAATTCAGCTGTGGTTAGAGCCAGGCGAGGAGTGATAATTCGCTCAATGCTGAAAGGGAACATTAAGTCTTAGGCCACTCAAACCAAAAGACCAAAAAGAAAACACAAAAAGAAATGATTCTGGAAATAACAGTACAATTCCCCTTTTAAAGTTTTAAATGAATTGAGGAGAGTAAAGCAGTTGTTATTTTACAAATTCTTAAGTAAGGTATTAACAGTTATTTATAAATGTCCCAAATTTCTCAGTTGTATGGTTTCTCAACACTGGGGTGGGGCAGGCAGGTAGGAAGGAGAGAGAGAGGAAACAAATGAAAGCCAGATTTTTGAGGTAGGAGGAAAAAATCATTTACAGAGAGTTGATTGTGTATTAGGTAATTTATAAGTATGATCTCATTTAATATGCAAAACAACTCCATGAGACAAGTATCAGCTGTCACATCTTATGAGCTTCAGAACCTAAGTAATTTGCCCAGTGCCAGATAACTACCAAGAAGCAGGGCTGGACTTTAAATACAGGGTTACCTCATTGTTAGGTCCAAATGCTGTTATTACCACATTTTACCTCCCCAACCTTAAGACACACTTTTGATCCCGAGTCTGGGCCACAGAAAGAAATAGCTCTGTTACTTACGTTGGGTCATTAGCCAAGTTCAAAAAGAGGCAGACATTGTCCATTGAGCCATTTTCTTCAAAGTCAGATTTGAAGAACCGGGCAGTTTCCATGTTTACCTAAATAACAATAACTTCATCAGTGCTGGGAGAAGAAAAATCCTTAACATTTATTTCTGATGAAAGCCAAGCTACAGATTTGAATTGTTCCTTCTTTTAAAACCTCAAGTACCCCAAAAATCTTCACAAAAACCAACAGAACAAAGAGCCGGTTTGGGGCACAAACAATATTATTCTTAAATTTCAAATTAGTCAAATGCCAAATTTTAGTCCTTAATTTGGCCAAAATGCCAGATTGCAAATTCTTTACCTAAAGAAAAATTCAACTATATATGTACAGCTTACTACAATGTTCTCACGACACAAGCAAAATTTTACATATCATACTAAAACAAAAATTCTACTTACACCCATAGCAGCAAATACAATTGCAAAATTTTCCTCACTGTAGTCTACTACATCTTTGGATTTCTTTACCAAACCAGCCTGGCGACAGATCTGAGCTGCAATCTGATGAACAAAGTAGAAGAATTCAGTTGAAATCTAAAATAACATTTCTACAACAAAATAACTTTTACCATAAACTTTTTGGAATCGTAATCATAAACGAAACCAGGATGTTTTAGGGTATTCATTCAACAAAACTATTTTGTACTTTTTGCAAAGATATGCAAGGGTAAGCAAGAAGACATGTGCAGAAATAAAGATGTGAGGTAACTGGATTATACAAACAATAACACTGAGTATTTATTTTGAAAACCCTTTATTCGGTTTCTCAGTAACAGTGATGCATTATAGAAATTCTTGTCTGCTAAACTTCATAGCAAACCGATCCCAGTCCTCACCTCATTGTGTGGTAGCCCAGCAGCAGAGAAGATAGGAATTTTCTGCCCCCTAGCAATACTGTTCATCCCATCGATGGCCGAAATGCCAGTCTGAATCATTTCCTCTGGGTAGATTCGACATTGAGGGTTGATTGGCTGACCTAATGTATTTCCAAAAAGGAAAATTTCAACAAGTTGCCGCATTATTCATGAATGAAATTAGATATCATATCAAATTAAAAGAAAAGAAAAAGCACCAGAAGACCAGAACTACATAAAGCATCTCTTTACTACAAAAAAAATCAGTTATTTTTCAAATATGAAACTTGAAATAATTTTTTCCTTTACTCTTTTGTAGACTCACAAAACATAGGGTAATAGAATTCAAGTTCCTAAAGTAAAATAAAGATATAGCAAATAAGAGAGAAGTCCTAATTTCAAATTCATGGTTTTACCATATACATTTCAGATATATCCTAGATATTTTACAGTATCTTAAGATATTAATACATAAAATTTTACGATAATTTCTAAGAAAATATAATTAAATAATAAAATAATTTATAACCTATGGAGCGTGTTGCCTATCTACTTTAAGTGATATCACAAAAAACACTCTCTATCTGGCAAAGGTACAAGACAGAGTGAGGTTATTTTCTCCCAAACACAGCAATCCATCTACTGTACCTACCCATGATATCAAGGAAGTCTTCGGCCAGTACAACAGGACCTCTGTCAATGGGTTTTCCCGATCCATTGAATACCCGACCTAGAAATCAGTAAGAAGACAGGACAGAGTAGATGCTGACTTTCAAATGTTCATAATTTTTAAAAGACATTATGGAAATATGTTTAAAAGGAAACAGATCTCGGCTTAGAATGAATAATATCCATTTACCAAGCATATCCTCAGACACCGGTGTTCGGAGAATATCCCCAGTAAACTCACAGGACGTTTTCTTAGCATCTATACCTGAAGTCCCTTCAAATACCTATCAAGAAAAAGAATTAATGAGAAGGGTAGAAGTAATTTAGATCACGGGCATTTACATTTTATTTGTCTGTTAAACAGCCCTTATAATGTAAAACCCATGAATGTATACTACTTTTGATATAATGAGCAAAGAAATATGATAATAAATCAAATTGTCAACCTTTAGATCAAGGGTTCATGCCTACAGGCCAAATTTGATAAGCAAGCTAAGCATGTTTATATATATACACATACATAAATATAAATATATAAATATATATATGTTTATATATATATATATTTTTTAAAGGGTTGTTTCAAAAAAAAGAAAGAAAGAAAAAGAAGAATATGTAGGAGAATTTAGTTGGCCCCACAAAGCCTAAAAGCTTTACTCTCTGGCCCTTTACAGAAATCTTGCCAATCCCTGCTTTAGGCTATTTTTAAGGGGAACATG
This sequence comes from Homo sapiens, assembly GCF_000001405.40. Classification (NCBI taxonomy): domain Eukaryota; kingdom Metazoa; phylum Chordata; class Mammalia; order Primates; family Hominidae; genus Homo; species Homo sapiens. Next base: position 20,209,910 of record NC_000008.11, on the reverse strand, counting down.
TTATTTTAGAAAATTGCCATTACCCATAGTGAGGTAACATTTTAAAACTAGGAAATGTATGAGATAATTTAAAGGAAGAAACTCAGACAGATATCCTGTTGGTTTCATCACATCATCAGTGAATTCTGCTTTTCATCTCTCTCCTTCTACATGACTACTTAATTTTATCCATTTTAAAAAAGCCACTTACTAGTGTTGCTATCGGACTAAGTGACACTGAGCAAAAAAACATGCAATAATAGTTTCTTTCCCTGCAGCCGGTAACCAATCTCTAAAGACTCTAAAAACACTTATGCAATGATCATCACAGAAAGAAACAAGCAGTGTTCCCTATGTGTAGGCAACTAGGAAACAGTTCAGCTGGCCAGCTGAAACTTACCTGAACTACTGCCTTGGAACCACTAACTTCCAGAACTTGCCCACTTCTCTTTGTGCCATCCGGTAAGGTCAAATGGACAATTTCAGCATACCTGGGAAACTAAAGAGAAAAAAATAAAGGATCAATATCCGACATTTTACAAGCCCCCCAAATTACTACACATGCTCTGTCTCTCCCATGTTGTGTCTGAATATGGAACCCTCTACTCTTCACAGACACAGGTTTTTGCTGAGAGCTTTCAATACCCTCAGGTAGTTTAAGTCCTTACAGCAAACATCACTGTCACATATACTAGCAAACAAAGCATAAGGTACAGAAGAAGGGTCTTAAATCCATGAAAACATGGGAATTAAATGTATTGCTTTTCCTCTGCATGCATATTTTATAGTTTTGAGGCTACAGAAAAGTACAGATAAACATGTTCTCACCACCTAGAAATGATGATTGCTTTCTAGGCTGTGTGTGTAATCAACTGTGTGCTCCAGATGTGGTTGACAGGGGAAGAATAAAATGTTACTAAATAGGCTAGGCGCGGTGGCTCACACCTGTAATCCCAGCACTTTGGGAAGCTAAGATGGGCAGATAATCTGAAGTCAGGAGTTCGAGACCAGCCTGGCCAACATGGTGAAATTTTATTTTTAATTTTTTAAAAATAAAAAATTAGCCAGGCATGGTGGCACAGGCCTGTAATCCCAGCTACTCAGGAGTCTGGGGCAGAACTGCTTGAGCCGGGGAGACGGAGGTTGCAGTGAGCCAAGATCGTGCCACTGTACTCCAGCCTGGCTGATAGAAAAAGACTCTGTCTCAAAAAAAAAAAAAAAAGAAAGTTACTAAATAATAATTACTATTATAATAAGATAATGCTTAAGTCTCATCCTCAATCTAGTTCTCCTAACAAGATATATATTCCTCTAATCCATTTTTACTCTTTAAAAAGACATGTCTCCAAAAAATGAAGTTTGGTGATTTACATAAATGGCAACGTACTAATCACTCCGCAATTTGTTTTTCACTTGACCTGATATTAACATGACATTTGGCATGTTAATACTTATTTTATCAACATAATTTATTGAAAGATGCATCATTATTTTGTGTGATGTGAAAAGAGAAACCTGCCAATTAAACTATGATGTGCCATTGCTTTAAGACCCTTTGGAGATATGGGCACCTTAGTATTAATGTTAAAACAGAGCAGATATAGTTAAATCAGATAACTACACTACCTTTCATTCAGCTGTTCTTTTACCAGTGGAGTTCTAGGTTGTTCCAAATTTACACTAGCACAGAAATGTTACAATGAGCATTCTTGTATGGGGCTCCTCATACAAGCATGCCAGAATTTCCCAAAGCCATTTGGTGGGCCACATACAGGCCATGCCCATTTTCTGCCAAATTAACTCTGCAAAGGAACCTTATTAATTTACACTCTCCCTAGCTATATAAAAAAGTATCCTTTCCCTCCATCTTTGCCAATCTATGCTTTTAAAAGTAATTTTTGCCATTTTAATAAAAACAGCATCATTTTAGTTTGCATTTTCCTAACTTGTACCAATACTGAGGAACTTCCCATGCTTATCATTGTCAATTATTCATTCATATTACTGATAAGTCAGACTTCATTTCCTATGAATTGCTTATTAATATCCTTTTCTTACTTATCAAGTAAATCCTTCTTATTCATTTATAGAAGTTTTATAGATTCTCTATATTAATCCTTGTACAAATATCTTTTCTTACTCTCCTTCATATCTTTTAATTTTGCTTATGGTATCTCTTCATACAAAAGTTTTAACACTTTTTTTTTTTTATACTTTAAGTTTTAGGATACATGTGCACAACACTTTTTACATAATAAAACATACTGTGGTCCTTTACAAATTTATGTCTTTTGTGTCTTGTTTGGAAAACAGCCTGAAGTCATAAAAACGGTCTTTTCTTTTTTATTTTATTTTATTATTATTATACTTTAAGTTTTAGGGTACATGCGCACAATGTGCAGGTTAGTTACATATGTATACATGTGCCATGCTGGTGTGCTGCACCCAAAAACGGTCTTCTGTATTGTCTTCTATTAGACTTATGTTTCCTTTTCTATATTTAGATCTTTAATTCATCTGGAATTTTGGTAACTAATTTTATATTTCTCATTTTTATATGGGAAACCAATTGCCCTAACAATATTCTGAGCAGCACAGTGTCCCCCATGGCCTTGTAATGTTGATTTACCAAGTCGAATTCTCATGTGTGAAGAGTTGATTTCAGGGCCCTAAATTTTGTTCCACTGTTATATCTGCTTATTACTGAACCAAATCCTCATTTTTAATTACTCTTCCCTGATTGTGTTAATTGGGGAGAATTGAGTCTTTTCCTTCATGAACATGGAATCTTCACTTATTTTAGGTCTTCTTTTATGGTCTTTCACAATGTTTTATAGTTTTCTGTAAATAGTTACTCTGGCATACAGAACACTAAAAATTTTTGTAAACTGATCCTGTATCCACTACCTTGTTTGCTACCTTGTTTCTAATTGTCTGCCACTGGATGACTTGGGTTTTCTGATTCATTAATCAGATTATCAAGAAATGATGATGGCGGTTCCTTTTCCCTTCTAATCGCTTTGTACCCTAATTTCTTTTCCCCATAGCACTGGGTAAGTTTTTAGCAGAAAGATGGATAGTGATGCTGAGTGAGGATTGGAAATTTCAGCCCCATCCCCTGACTTCCTGACAGAGTAGCGGTACTGGAAATTGACTAATCACCGCTGCTAAGGACTTGACCAGTCATGCTTAGGTCTTCAAAAAAAATCCTAACTGAGGGTGTTTGGAGAGTTTCTGGGTTCGGCAGCAAGAATGCATCCATGTGTCAGGAAGGTGGTCCACCCCAGCTCCACGGGGACAGAAGCTTCTGTGCTCGGGACTCTTCAGGGCCTCACTCTATGATCATCTCTTCAGCTGGCTATTCATTTGTATCCTTTAATATAACCTTAACAGTAGTGGTAATATTAATATATTAATATACCCTAAATCAGTAATAGTAAGTAAATGGTTTTCCTGAGTTCTGTAACCTATTCTAGCAAATTATCAAACTTCAGAAGGGTATCCTCAATCTGTAGCCGAGTTGGACAGTAGCTGTGGGTAACCTGGGGACCCACTACTTTTGATTGGCATCTGAAGTGGACTGCAGTCTTGTGGGACTAAGCCCTTAACCTATGGGGTACACACAACTCTTTGCAGTGAGTGCCAGAACTGAGCTAAATTGCAGGGCATCCAATAGGTGTTCCCCAAAGAACTGAATTGTTATAGGAAAAAACACACACATCTGGTGTCAGAAGTGAAGTACATACTGAGAACAGCAGTAGAGAGGGAATAGTTATTTTCCTTTCACTGATTTCAATGGGAATGTTTATAGAATCTTCTAAGTACTTGATTTGCTGCAGGTTGTGGTAGATACTCACTAAGAGGTTAAAAGTTTGTTATATTCCTTATTTTCGAAGAGGCTTTTTAAAAAATGAGTAATTTCATCAAATTTTTTTTCTGTATTTATTGAGAAGAATATAAGCTTTTTCTAGTTTAATCCATGAATGTGTTGAATTACATTGTTAGATTTTCTAATATCAAATTATCTACTTTTGCTGATATTTTACATAGGTATTTTGCTAATATCTAACATGAATGCATTAAGAATTTTGGGATCTGTGTTTATAAGTGAGAACAGCTATTTTTCTTTTCTAATACTATCCTTTTTCTGGTTTGGAGTCAAAGATACTTTAACTTCACAAAATTAGTTGGCAGCAGTGCTTCATCTTCTTCTATTCTGATATAATTTGCCTGAGATTATCTGTTCCTTGATCCTATATGTTTTATGTTAAAAACAAAAGCCAAAATCTAAAATCAAATCACTATCAATCTCATAGTCTAAATAGATTTTTCTACAACTACATAAAAATGATTTACCAGTCTTCCCTCACCTATAACTACAACCCAATGTAACATTCAATGAAACTTTTTTAGGTCTCTTAAAATTACTTCCTCAGAGACGGTTTCTAAGTCCTTCCCAGTATCATCTTTCACAGCACCCTAACTGCCTCTTCACAGCGCGTACCAATGAGACATTGATACTATATCTGCATCTCCACTATACTATGCTCAACTAGGGGAGACCCCGTTCTCGTTGTCCACCATTATATTTTCTGTACTGGGCTCAGCACTTAACACAATTGAGCCCAAATATTTTTTGAGCTGTTTCAATAATATACTTACTAATATTTAAAAAATTTATATTTTAAAAATGAGTCCAAAAGTTTATTTCACAAAGAATATAGAAAACAATTAAAATATAAAGAAACAAACAAAGCTTCCTAATATTTTCCCCAGAAAACAAAAGAGGAGGCTGTATTCTTTTACAAAACGTTAATGGGCACCTGCCTAAATCTTGTACAACTTCAGTTTGATTATGGCTTTGAATCAATCTGCAGCACATATCAAACTGCAGTCAGGAGGTAAACTCACTAGGTTTCATCTTGAGATTAGTTTCTACAGGTGCCTTATCATACAGAAAGATATTACCTTAGTGATAAAGCAGAAGAGGCAATGCACTTTGCCCCTTCTTTTAAGAAGTGTTTCTCAATGTATTTTCTACTTCCAGAGGGGTCACACGCCAAGCACAAATGCATCATTAACCTCTCTCAACAAACTAGTAATTGTATGCCTCTCCCTGACCCACCCCTGTAACCAATGTACAATTACTGTTCTAGAAAACATATTATGGAAATTATTTTCTTGGATGATATTTTGGTCAAACAGCTCAGGCAAAAATCTTAGCCCAGGGTATCTGATAGCCCAGGGTATCATGGTATCTGGGCTTTAGACTGACTGACACCCAGTCTAAAGTATGGCTTAAAAATCATAACAAAAATTTAAAGTATACTAAATAGGACTTAATGCCACATTTTTAACTACATAAATAGACCAAAACAGATAGTGGTATTACCTTAACATGATCTAAGATCACTAGTGGACCATTGACTCCAGATACTGTCTTGTATGCTGGAAAGAAATACAGAAGAGTCAGTTTTAGTCAAATAGCACAAAAGCTTAAATTAGCTCTCTGGCATTACCAAAAATCCTTTCTACGTTATCATGTCTATTAGAATACGGTACACTCAAATAGCTACAAAATTTTTCAATGCATTTATAAACTACATCTGTGCCTATACAACTTTTCATAATCCACTGTCATCCAACCAAAAATATTTTGAATCCTTAGTAAGTCATTGTTGTAAGCACCCAGCATACAAAAACAAGACACAGAGGGAAAGACTCTGCTTGTCTCAAAAGTTCAGTCTTATGCGAGGGGGTGGAGTTAGAATGTGATGAGATAAGGGCTCTAACTATGGCCTGCACAGGGTTTGTGGGAGCACAGCAGAAACAGGGGAATAGTTCTCACCTCAGGGAGAAAAGTAAAAACTTTATAGAGGACGCAGCATTTAGCTAAGTAGATGAGGAAAGGGAATCCTTAATGTTACGCAGAAGTGACAAAAGTCACAAAGGAAATTGGAGAAATTGTATAGCCTGCAAGGTAAAAAGCCACAATTAAATGGTGTCATAAAAACTAGGGAAAAGAGCTTCTGAAGGACGGAGTAGGCAATGGAAAGAAAGGCCAGGGGGTCAAACAAGATAAGAAAAGGATCCTTTTAAAAAAAGTCAAACGTTACTGCCAGGTTAGAGACTGTTGTTTTCCACTGCAAAGTGCGCCCTAGGAATAAACAGCTAATTCTACCCCAGCAGGTCCTACCCAAAGCCCTCACCTATCACACCTGCATGGCAAGTGAAATGGGGATCAGGTATAAGAACACTCAGGGGAGAGTAATTCTACCAGACACCTACAAAATTCACTAAATTTCATAAGCAGAACAACTGAAAAAAAATACATGAACTAAAGTTTTGAAGAAAATTTACTATAAGGCCTAAAATAATTAACATGAAGCTGTCTAGCAACTGGGAATTTTTCACTTGCTTGATTTCTTTTGAGGTCTTATAATGAGCTTGCACAGAGATTCCTGGCACAGATGTGGACTCCCAAGCATGAGGAAACCATTTACTAACCAGTCTGTCCACTCAAGTGGCTTTGGAATTTAAAATTACAATTCCTTCAGCCTCAGGCGGGGAAGCCAGAGCCCTGGTAAAAATGCTGGGACAGAGCAGACAGCACTGTCAGGGCTTCCATCTTTCCTGCTAACAGGACGTTTAAATCCAGACATCACATATTTGCTTGAATACATCAGTAATTGTACTGCAACTGTCTCAATAGAGGCCCCCCAACTGAACTGTATTTTTTTTTCCCCACTTTAGATAAAAAGCAAGCTACTTGGATGGATGGTCATGTGAAAGGATTAATCATTCCCCTAGATTACTAGAAAGACCCCATTTGCCACATTTTCTGCCACTTTTATGAAAACCATCCCTACTGTTTTAAAATGATTGAATACTCTTAAAAAACATAATTCCAACCCTTTAAAAGATTTCTTCATTGTTCTCATTTTAAAGACTCCCAGCATTTTTTTTACAATGGCTTTCTAAAATTGCCATGTGGAAATGGAAAGTGAGCTACATTAGAAATATGTTTTCTTGAAACCAGTTTTCAGAAATGCAGAAACGTAGACCTTTCCAAAACCTTTACCAAACAGCTGGGGTGAGGGAGGGGATATGGTATTGAGATTTATGATTAACTGTTTTGAATAAAATGCAACATCAGTAAAATACACCAGGTTCTTAAAATTCTCTTTATTTTTTCAACAAGATTGTATCTCCTTTATAGGTCTGATTTCTACAACAATACTGCTTTAGAATCTCATGTTTAAAATTCAAGCTCATTCCAAACTATGAAATTTTGCCAGTCACGAGCAAAAGTATGACCAAGAAAAAGAAACACTAGTCATAGCTTTTCCTGGAAACAGTGACTCAAATTGACATCTACTACAGAAGACAAGATTCTACTTCATCAAAAGTCTCTAAATTTGGAACAACGTATCCAGCCTTTTAAAAAGTTAGTAAGTAACCTTGCAAGTTAATTGATAACACTATCATACATTTAATAAGTACTTTTCAGGAATTCTCATTTAATCTCCATAACAGACAGAGTTAGCTATCATTATTCTAAGTTTTAGAAGAGAAAAATTATTCTCAGAGAAATTATTGTGTCTTGCCCAAGGACACAAGCAACCAGCCCAAGGATCTGAATGTGTACACTCTAGCTCCAAAGCCACTTATTCTTTGACTCTACTACAGCCCAAATTCTAAAACTGAACTGGTTCATTTTTTGTGGTATGGTATCTTGTAAGAATTATGAAGCGATACCACCCAAAACAATTTCACAAGCCTGCAATTTTAGGTATGCAAAACAGGTTTTTACTTTTTAACGCACCAGGCAATAAACTTCATCCCCAATGTGGCAGTACTGACAGGTGAGGCCTCTAAGAGGGGAATGGGTCATGAGGGCTCTGCTCTTATGAATGGATGAATCCATTCATGGGTTAATGAATTATCATGTGAAGGTAACTGGTGGCTTTACAAAAGGAAGAGAGACCTGAGCTAGTGCCCCTGCATTCTCAGCCCCCTCACCATGTGATGCCCTGAACCACCCTGGGACTCTTTCAAGTCCCACCAGAAAGAAGGCTCTCACCAGATGCGGCCCCTCCACTTTGGCCTTCCCAGACTCCAGAACTTTAAGAAATAAATTCCCTTTCTTTATAAATTACCCAGTTTCAGGTTTTCTGTTAAAAGGAGCAGAAAATGGCTAAGACAGTAGGCAAGGCTGATGCACCCTAAGGAAACTAAGGCCCTGATAAGTTTGTTTTTAAATGGGGGAGCCAGGCTTCTAACTGTTTTGTTTTTCTTTAATCTTAGGATTGGTACTCTATGACCCTTATAATATTTCTGGCCTTAGTCTTCAGTACAATTAAAAAGTATGGAGATCATACAGCTTCTAGCACTTGGACTACAAGTGGGGACAAAAAGACAATTTGTATAAAACTACAGCTCTTCTCCATGGTACTAAAACTATCTGCAAAGAAAACCAAGCAGAATGATAACAAACACTACCTTTTATCTCTAGATTTATCCAGCCTTCCTCACCATTACCATTAACAGCCCAAAACAGAGATACCAGTTTAAACTATGGCTGTCAAAGACATTAAGTTGCCCTTCAAAACAGGAAAAAACCCATTTGTAAATTACCTAAATATTTCTATTTACCTACATATTGACCACTCCTCTCCAAATGAAAAAGAATTTGAGCCCGTAGGTGTGTGAATGGGGGATAATCAGAACTTCTGACAACACAGAAGATATATGCTTATATTACCTTCTTAACATATTTTACAACCAAAATGTCTTGGCTTTGATTCTGAACTATCATATGAGCCAGACAAGTATTTATGAAGTAACATCTAAAACCCAAAATCTACACGGGTTTTAAGGAGCACATATTTTATCAGATGACATCCTCTTCCTCCTGCAGGATAGGATATTGCTCAACACTAGTAACACCATTTAATGATTACGAAATACTCAGAAAAAGTTGACAGCCATTGCATAATAAGTGTCCTAGTCTTTTAGCCTCTGCCTTATTAGCAAAACAAAAACCCAGAGCAATCATCTTCCCTTGTACAAGAAGAGTAGAGATCTGCATGATGAGCAGTGAGCACCTGAAGAAGAGGTTCTAGGAAAAAAGCAAGGAGAAGATTCCTATTTTGACTTTTTGCAGGGCTGGCTCTGCTTTATGATATAAGAAACTTAAGGCCAGTTGATCTAGGGTCTCAAGAAAAATGGAGATGACCAAATTCAAAATACATAGCACCCGAAAGCTCTATGTATGTTGTTGAATCTTTTCTTTTAAGAGAAAATCAAGTTTTCATTCCTTGTGACTTCAGAAATTCAACTAAAATGCTCAAGATAATTTCCTAATTTCAAGCCTGAATATGTTTTCCATTTCTTTTAAAAGTCCTATAATCTTGAAGCTATTTTTTAAAAGGATCTAATTTGTACAGTGGAACTGTCAACATTACTCCATTTCTTCATTCAAAAAACAAAGCTTTTTGAGTTTAAATGCAAGTTACACAATTACAAGGCACATTCTATGTGTCAGGCACTGTGCTAGGCAGTGGGGACACAAAAAGGATCTCTGACTTCTAAAGGTTCAGTGTGAAGCTTTAGGCTGGGCACAGCAGCTCACACCTGTAATCCCAGCACTTTGAGAGGCCATGGCGGGCGGATCTCTTGAGCTCAGGAGTTGTAGACCAGCCTGGGCAACATGGGGAAATCCCATCTCTACCAAAAATAAAAAATAAAAATTAAAAAAAATTAGCTGGACGTAGTGGTGTCCGTCTGTAGTCCCAGATACTTGAGAGGCTGAGGTGGGAGGATCGCTTGAGCCTGAGATGTGGAGGTTGCAGTGACCTGAGCTCACACCACTGCACTCCAGCCTAGGCAACAGAGTGAGACCCTGTCTCAACACACACACACACACACACACACAATAACTATAATTACATGTCCCCTTAAATGATAACATCAATCAATTCACAAAAAATTACAATCAATTTACAAAAATTAAGAGGTTGGCTGGGCGTGGTGGCTCATGCCTGTTATCCCAGCACTTTGGGAGGCCTAGGTAGGCGGATTGCCTGAGCTCAGGAGTTCGCCACCAGCCTGGGAAACACGGTGAAATCCCGTCTCTACTAAAATACAAAAAATTAGCCGGGCATGGCGGCGTGCGCCCGTAGTCCCAGCTACTCGAAAGGCTGACGCAGGAGAATTGCTCGAATCTGGAAGGCGGAGGTTGCAGCGAGCCTAGATCGCGCCACTCTGCACTCCAGCCTGGGTGACAGAGCGAGACTCCATCTCAAAAAAAAAAAAAAAAAAAAAACCCACAAAAATTAAGAGGTTAATCAATATTTACTCAGAAGCAATTAAAACTTTTGAGTAGAATAAAAAATATGGCAAAATAAGAAGATATTCAAATGCTGTTAGTTGTTAGCCTAAGTATGATATCATTTATGCTTTTTAGAATAACACGGATATATAAGTGAAACTCAACTCGACCGGGCATTTCAACTCCCTGCTCTGATTCCACCCATGTTCACAATCTATCCACTGAATTATTCGAGCAAGGAGTTTAAATGCAAGTTACACAATTACAAGACACATTCTATGTGTCAGGCACTGTGCTAGGCAGTGGGGACATAAAAAGGATCCCTGACATCTAACAGTTGAGTGTGAAGCCCTATGCTACAACAGTTTTGTCAAGAATAACGTCTGGAAAAATCCCTCAGCAACTGGGTAAGTACGTACAAACCATGGAGAAATCATATTCATCTCTCTTAAAGGTTTACAATCTTAATCATGGAGTACTCTTTAAACAACGTTATTTCAGTTGATATTCTCTGAATTGACACTGAATGATTAATTATATGGAAACTGACTACTGCACCTTTATAACCTTTTTTGAGAGGCACCACTAATGTCTATCTGTTCTACCCAAAGAAAGGCAATGCATACAAACGCAATTAATAAAAGAGAATTTGTAATTCGTAGGTATAAATTTATTGCCAAGGTTTGCATAAGAATGCAACATCTGCCGATTTCCTGAAGTAGCTACTTCAGCTCAGATAAGTCCCAACATACATTTTCTAATTCGAACAATTCCCAGTTACTGTAAAAGGCACATCTCAGCAATCCACCGAATCAAATGTTTTCCTTTTTCTTCACACTGCAGTGCTATCACATGACCCAGTGACAGATCAGGATGTGGATTAGTCAGGCTTCAGATCGCCCAGACTAACACCCTTCATCTGAAATCCTTTTTAATCAGTCGGCCACCTAGAGACAGACACTCTGGCAATTAACCAGTGAAAATGCAGTCTCACCACCTGGGGAAACATCATGTGCTTTTCCCAGTTTTTTAAAAAGTCTATTTCGAGGGCTCATTGCCAGTTCCGAAGAAAGCTGTGAAGAAGTTGGATGCTACACAACTGCATTCTCTAGTAATCAAGAACCATTTCTTTTGGAATTGCTGAGCTATCCACTTAAACCTAGTTCATTAAGGCCTTTTTATTTAAAAAATCACAACATTTAAACAAGCCTATGCACACACACCACCTATGGGCAAAGCCACCTGGCTTCCCCAAAGAACCCTGCACTCAACCAAGTTTGGTTAACTGGTCAGTAAATGAAGAGGCAACGGTAGAAAAAGGCCCAGCGAGAATTTAAGAACCTGGATTTTTAGTCCCTGCTCTGCCAATAATTAAGTGTCTGAAGCATGGCAAATCCTACCCCTTCCAGAACCTTAGGCTTCTCACCTGTAAAATGATAGGGTTGGACTGGATGACCTGCAAGGTACTTTTCAGCTCTAGCGTTCTCTGATATCTAGGTGTCCTTCTGCGGAGCAGCCCCTCCACCAAACACCAAGCCACATCTCCCTCTGGCTACTGGCCTGACCTCCATCCACGAAAGGCCTGACCACGTCAGCGAAGGCTCTACCGTCTGCCCTCCGCAGGAGTTGAAGACCCCATTGAGGTCCTCACCAGGGGGAGGGGAGAAGGGGCGTTCCCTCGACCCCTAGATATCCAAATGAAGTCAGGGGAAGATTAAGATCGGAGTGGCAAGAAGTGGCCCTCGGGGACGGGAAGCAAGTGCCTAAGAAGGCTCCAGCCTAGGGAAGCTGGGGAGGGGAGGGGGTAGGGCAACAGCCAGGAGCCCACCAACCCCAGGAAAAAGTTCCCGCTGGTGCTCTTGCCCTCAGCCCATCTCCTGGAAATATTAGGTACAGGCAAATCTCCTTCTAAAGAGACAAGTGGGTCAGGGTCGGAGGGGAGACGCGGGAGGGAAAAACAAATCCTACCCCCTACCCGCTGGCTAAGCAGGTGACTGGGAGCAAAGGGCTAGGCTAGGGAGCAAAGACCGGAGACGTATTACTCTCTGATACTCACTGAGGCGAGGCTGGGAGAGGTAGTTCCGACTGACTGCCAGCGCCTGCTCCCGAGCTCCCACCGCCGGCCCACCGGTGGGCACGGGTAGCTCGGGTGCGGCCCCGTTGACAATCCCCCGCATCGCCCGCAGCGCCATCTTGTCTCCTCTGTCCCGACTGGCCCAGCAGCGACGCCGCGCACGCGCAGATATACCAAGGCGGCCCGCGGCCCGAGGCTCCGCCTATGCGCGCTGCGGCGCCCCGGCCTCGCCCCGCCCCCTTCGCCGCCGGCCGCCCCCAGCCTCGTGACTTCGCGCCGCTGGGGCCAGACCTGCTTGCGAGCAAGAGGAGCTGACCAGCGTGCTGGGAGGCGCGCGCGGGCGCAGAGGGAAGGGAAGCGAAAGAGGGGAGATGGAAGGAGAGAGGAAAGCCAGCCGAAAGAGAGGCGCACAAGCGGAGTGAGGGGAGGAAGGCAAACGCGTGCAGGCCAACGTCAGCTGATATCCATTTCGAATGGGCTTTCGTGACGCTGAATGGAGAGAACTCAAGCTGTGAAAACCGCTTTGAAAAACAGAAGCAATGGAAAACATGTTTCAGTGATTATTAACACATGTGGCATCATTTAGTTCACTTTACTCCCTACCCAATTCGTTCACGCATGTATCCATTCGACAAACATATATTGGCTTGTTATAGGATGTGCGTAGCGGTGTGAAAAATAGGGGCAGATTTGGAAGCTGTGTAAGGGGTGGGACTAGTGTAGGATGACAGCCCAGGCTGGAGGCCGGAGCAATGGAATGGATTCTTCTTCTTCTTCTTCTTCTTCTTTTGAGAGGGAGTCTCATTCTGTCGCCCAGACTGGAGTGCAGTGGCGTAATCACGGCTTACTGCAACTTCCGCCTCCCGGGTTCAAGCGATTCTCCTGCTTCAGCCTCCTAAGTAGCTGGGATTACAGGTGCCCACCGCCACGCCCGGCTAATTTTTGTTTTTAGTAGAGACGAGGTTCTACCATGTTGGCCAGGCTGGTCGCGAACTCCTGACATCAATTGATCCCGCCGTCTTGGCATCCCAAAATGTTGGGATTACAGGCGTTAGCCACTGCACCCAGAAGATTATAATTTTTAAGTTTAACTAATGTCCAAAGTTGGCACGTGTAAAATTAAACAGGAATTGTAATACTTTACTGATAAGAGCACAATTGGTATGATATTTAGAAGAACAATTTGGTGATATCTCATTCAAATATTTTGGTACTAGGAACTTATCGTTCTCTCTCTCTGTAGATATATCTGTATCTATCTATCCACTCAGTGTATGTGACAAATATTTTCCATTATATATAATACATTACGTCATGCACCATATGGTATATATTATTATATATGGTCTACAGACATATACATGTATATATACATACACACAGATATTCAAAAAAAATTTTTGTAATAGCATAAACCTAGAAACAATCTAAATGCCCATTCATAAGTTATAGCCTATTAAGTCAAAGGTATTTCTCAAACTTTTGAAAAGAATTCAGTGGAGGCTCAAGGGTTGAGTTTTTTTTTTTAAAAAAAGTCCAAGACACATTATTAGGTTTAAAATAAAAAAGCAATTGCAAAATGCCATGTAAAGTAGATTAACATGTGAACAGTAGGAGAAATTTTATTTTTAATTTAATAATCTTTCTATGTAGTTTCACTGCTTTAACAGGTGTTTGTACTGATTTTTTCAAATACAATGCATAACAACTTTTTTAATAAAAATTACAAATCTAGTCTTCTCATGCCAATTTTTCACAATGGTAGGTAAATTTCATATGTGAATATCAGACTGTTAGTTGTTACAATTTTTATGTTATTCTTTTAGGAGTAGTTCATGGCTTTTACTTTAAAAAAAACCTGTTTTTAACTTTTTACTCTGGTAATAGAAATTAGTTGTGGTCTAATGTGTATACGTAGAGTGGTAACCCCAACATTTATTTAACAAACATCTGTTGAGAAAATGCACATGTGTATCGGGTGCTGATCTAAGTCCTGGAGATATATTTGTAAATAAACAAAGACTCTGTCATCCTGATACCTGTTGGAGGGAGAAAGTCAGAAAACAAACATGTAAATAAAGTGCCTGGTAGTGTCAAGTATGATGAAAAATAATAAAACAAGATAAAGAGAAAAGAGTGATCTAGACGAAGATAAGATTTTAGATGATGTGATCAGGGAATGCACTTCTCAGTCATCTGAGATCTGAATGGAGAGAGAAAGCAGATCATGGGAAGCTCTAAGAGATGTGTGGCATAGGCAGAGGGTTTTGCAAGTGCCAAGGTCCTGAGGCAGAAGAAGGAAAGTGGGGCTAGAATGGACACAGCTAAGCAGAGAGCAGCAGGAGAGAGGGCAGGGCCAGATCATGTACAGCTTTGGAGGCTATGCAGATAGCAGTTCGAATTATATTCTTAGAGTGATTGTAGAATTTTATGAAGGAGGAATATGATCTGATTAGGCTTTAAAGAGGCATGTTGTTCTACTGGGCAAAATATGAACTGGTGAAGAAGGCAAGAGAAAAATGGAGAGACCAGTTAGGAAGCTATTGTGATTGTCTGGGTGAGCAACATGGACTCAAACCAGATGATGGCTTTCCTACATAGCACGCTGGCCTTAGCTCTGTCACAGAGCTCATCGCAATAATGATATCATTAAAAAGTGGCCATTTATATCTTTCTCCTGCACTTTTCCATTCTGTAACCTCAGATATGGAATGGGGGATTGGCAAGGGGGATGTGGAGCACAGTGCAGCTGGGAGAAATATTTCAAATGAAAAAAACAATGATAGAGATAAGTCCAAGATTGCTGTAAAACAGGGATTATTAACTTGGCACCCTAGGAAGTCGGTGAAACGTTGTGCAAAATGTGTGCATATGGATATTTTCCGTGGAAATAACCCACAGATTTCTATCACATTGTCAAAGGAGCCTGAAACTCTTAAAGAAAACCACCAAGTAAGCATCACTGACAAATTGGGAGAGTGGTATTGCCATTTATGGAATCACAAGTGTTTAATCAAATTGCCACATGGTTGTGTCAGATAGTTGGTATCACTTGACACCGTCTCTAACTTCTCAGACAACTACATTTTTAAAAATTGTGTAATTTATTTGGATCTTACGATGGTACCTGTGCAAAGCGCAGGTAACCCAAAACTGTTAGTCAACTGAAATTCAGAGTTTCTTAGAATTATTTATAGCAATATTATATAAATGCTTTTCCTTGGGTTTAAAAAAATTATCCCCTTAATATGCAAGAAGGAAAAGGATAAATGAAGTGTTATATACATAGAAAAATACATTTAGGAAAATATAGAAAAGTTTTAGTTTCTCTAGTAATGAAGAAATTCAAACTAAGCATCACCGTTCCACCTTATCTGTTAAATTAAGAAAACTGAATGATTTTTTTTAAGTGTTGGCAGGATTCGGGGCTAAGTGTCGCACCAGCTCATTTCTGATGACTTTGGAAATTGGCCAGACCTTCTGCAAAGCAACCTGGTATAGGTTAGGGATCATAAACTTGTTCACGCACTTTGATCCAATAATTTGATTCCATGATCTCAATGATATGATTATTAACCAAAGGAATAAATGTTTATAGCTTGTTATGGCAATGCTATTCATCAGAGTGAAAGTGAAATAGTAACCTAAATATCCCATAATAGTAAACTGCACCAGTAGTGTATATTTAATAGATACTGACATGAATATGATATATAGCTGGTGGAATTCAAGTATTTGAACTCTTTATACCAAATAATATTGAGTGAAAGCTTAGCACAGATATAGACCAGTTGCAGTAGTGTAGAACATGTTTGTACATTGGTAAAAAGCAGGAAATTGTGCATTGATGCCAATAATTGATGCTGCAATTTGGAGAGAAAAATCTTTTTCTCTTCTGAAATGTGTATTAAATATCCAAAAGTCACATATACTCACACAGAGAGAGTATCAGCTGGAGGTGGGGGGGCTTGCACAGTTTTAAGGGTAAGAGGTGCTAAAACAAACTAAATATGGCCCGAGAAGGACTCTGTACTTCTATATTTGAGTCCTTGTGGATGAACTGCAACCTAACTTAATAGGTAGACAAAATTGAAAACCTAACTAGGAGTTTGCGCCTGTAACAGTAGCTGAGTCTTGGCCCATCCCAGCAGTGGTACTTCAGCTACTCATACACTGCTGAGTGTTCAAACTGTGTTCAAATAAGGCAAACACTGAGCTGTAACCAATCTAGCTCTATCTGTGCTTCACTTCTGATTTCTGTAGGTCACTTCCCTTTTTTATCTATAAATTTGTTCTGACCACGAGGCATCCCTGGAGTCTCTCTGAATCTGCTGTGATTCTGGGGGCTGCCTGATTCACAAATCATTCACTGCTCAATTAAACACCTTTAAATTTAATTCAGCTGAAGTTTTTCTTCTATCAGGGGCTTGGGGCATGGACTCTGAGGTCAGACAGACTTAGTTTAAGTCCTGAGTTGATTAGTTCTATGACTTTGAACAAAATTTATTCTCTCTAATCCTCACTTTTCTAGTTTATAAAATGAGAATAATATTATCTTCATAAAATTATTGTATTAAAAGAGATAATGCAAAGTATTTGGCAAATAGCAAAGGCTAGATATGGCTTAGCTAACATTATTATTACATGCTTTGATTTATTGATTAACAGAATATTTATGTGTTAATTAATATGTGTCAGGCTCTTCTTTTTTTTTTTTTTTTTTTTAGACGTATTCTTGCTCTTGTCAGCCAGGGTGGAGTACAATGGCATGATCTCGGCTCACTGCCATCTGCGCCTCCTGGGTTCAAGCGATTTTCCTGCCTCAGCCTGCCGAGTAACTGGGATTACAGGTGCCTGCCACCACCCAGCTAATTTTTGTATTTTTAGTAGAGACGGGGTTTCACCATGTTGGCCAGGCTGGTCTTGAACTCCTGACCTCGCGATCCGCTCACCTCAGCCTCCCAAAGTGCTGGAATTACAGGTGTGAGCCACCATGCCTGGCTGTGTCAGGCTCTTTTCTAAGAAAGAAATGATATGGCTCCTGGACTAGTTGAGTAGTTTGTATTAAGCAGCGACTGTATCTTATCATTTTCTTGTCTTCTATCTAAAGTACCTAGCAAGGTAACTTACACATAGTACTTAGTAAATATCTATTAGATAAATGAAAATGTGTTGCTTTTTTCTTAAAAATGAACAGTTGTCCACCAATCTTATTCTTCCATACGGAGGGTTCCCCGCCCCCCGCCAAGGAAGAGTCATCCTACAGATATTGTATACTGGCTATTGTCCTCCTGTTATTTGCTGAAACCATATCCTTGTTTTACTTCCAAGGAATGCAAAAATCCCAGGAATTCCCCAGCAGTAGGGAATGTGGTCAAAACATGAGACTCAGAATCACCAGCCCAGTTTCAGTGCTGACTGTCTCCTTATGCACAGTGTAACCTTGGGCCAATCCTCAACTCCTTCTGTCTTTGAATCTCCATCTGTGAGTTGGGAAGATTTCATGTCATGCCGGCTTCTCAAGAATTTAAAAAGAAGCTTCCAGAAATCAACATCTTAGATAGAAAGGCAAACTCTTATTCTTTTATTACAAATGATTATTGGGGAAGAAAAATAGAGAAGAAAGGGGTAAGAAAATCTCATGCCAGTGACTGATTTTTTTCCAGATAATGTGTATCTCTCTTTATTTGCTGGAAAATTCTAATCAAGGAAAATACTATGAAGACAAACCACAACAGATTAAATAAACAGACCTATGTGTTTCTATGTAGCAAGGCATATACCAATATAAAATCATCAGTACAACATTTTCAGCATAAGATGGGAGAGGAAGCTAATTAATTATTTATATATTTTATTATTGGTTTTTTTTGCTTTTGTTTTTGTTTTTTTTGTTTGTTTTTTTCAGTCAGAGTCTTGCTCTGTCGCCCAGGCTGGAGTGCAGTGGCATGATCTCAGCTCACTGCAACCTCCACCTCCCGGGTTCAAGCGATTGTCATGCTTCAGTCTCCTTAGTAGCTGGGATTATAGGTGCCCACCACCACACCCAGCTAATTTTTGTATTTTTGGTAGAGACAGGGTTTCTCCCTGTTGGCCAGGCTGGTCTCCAAATGCTGATCTCAGGTGATCCACCCACCTCAGCCTCCCAAAGTGCTGGGAATACAGACGTGAGTCACCGCACCTGGCTGTGTTGGCTGTTTTTAAATTCTGACCATCTGAGGCAGAGTGAGGTGTATAGGCTGGAAACTGTACTTTGACCTCCTAAAACTGAGATCTCTGGTTTTCTTCCATATCCCATATTACTTTCCTTGTCACTGGGGTCACAGATGTGTTGTCCAATAGAGGGGAAAGAGCAGAGGGTGCCCTATGATCAGAACAATGGCTACTTAAGAAGGTGATGCAAATGTTTAAATATACAGACCAAGAAGCTGATGGATGGAAGGTCTCTTACCGAGTACTGCTTTCCTGTCGCCTGGCTGTCTGAAAAGGGGACACCTGTCCTTGAAACTCCAAGTATCCTTTGTCAAAGACCCTCTTTTGTTGCCAGATCATGAGAGTCTTCTCACATCCCAAATGTTCCAACAAAAAGGAATCAGATACTTTGATTTGATGAAAAATTATTCAGACATTAAGATGGAAGCCTGGGAAAATTTTCATAACACAGTGCTGAGTACAGCATTCTATATGAAGTGGCATACACTATATGATTTGTATTATCTATTTGTGCACACATACACTTGGAAAATATTGTAAAGAAATATATACTGATATTAACAGTGACTACTCTGAGTTATGAGATGTTTTGCTTTCTTTTTTATTTTGTCACATTTTTGGCATGAACATTCATTATGCTTTTGAATCAAAAGTACGGTGAGAAATAATAAGGTGCTTCTGTTTAAAATGGTATAATTTTCACTTTAACAGGGAGCAGGTTTTATGGCTAGTGGTAAAACAAGCATGCAATCAGGTATGTTAAAAGTTCTATATTAGAGAGACCTGATAGAAATCAGGTCAAAGGGGTTAGTAACGGATGACATAGAGTCAACGTTAGATGAGAATTCATTGTTTTACTTCTAAGACCAGAATGATTGTAAAATCTAGAATAGATCTTAGCACTCAGCTAGACTTAACTCCCTAATTTACAGATGAGGAAACTGAATCTTAGGGAAGTAAAGTGATTTTCCTAAGTTCTGGAAGTGAGATACCAGCAGTCTAAGCTTTCTAGACAGTCGTTCCTTTTTTACTACCTGGCCTCTGAAGCCACCTAGTTTGGCTCTGTTGCTTGTTTACAAATCTGGGTAAGTCTGAGAGATCCTTTCTGATGCAGAGTAATAGTGGAGGGTTTATTCTAACCCCATCTAAGGGAACTTCGGAAAACCAAATTAGTTCTAAGACAGTTGTGGGTGTCTGCTCCTCTGAAATAAAAATCTAAGACCCAGGATCTGACCTGGCATCTGCCTGAAGCCTCTTTTCTGTGTCAAAGATCACCTGGGGACCAACTGGACTGATAACATCGGACAGTATCTGGAAAAATTTTAGGGACATATTCTAATTTGGATCATTTCCACCAGTTGTCATGGCAATGTGGCAGCACTGTCTCAAAGTCTGAATCTGACCATTGCCAGAAAAGGCCTTAATTCTTGGCTTATTTATGATGTGTTCATCAGAGAAGTCAAAGTACTTGAATGACATTTTCTATCAGCAAGTACATACCAAGTGAGCACTGCTCATGAACTCAACGTGGTGTTGAAAACCGCAGAACCACAGAAGGACCGTAGGATATGTTTCTGCTCTCAGTGGTGAGTACATTGGACTGAGAGTTGAAGGAGCAGCCTCAGGTTTGCTCCTAATTGGTTCTGTGCCTCTGGGCTTGGGTTGCATCTTTAAAGCAAAGGCGACATTACTATGTAATACATTATTTCAAAGCAGCTAAAGGCTGAATTGTAGAGAAGATTAACACACATGATTTTTCATCCAAAACACTGTGGAAGAGCATGCTGGGTTGCCTACCTGATAAGAGAAAGGTCAGAGAGTAGTGGCTTAGGTCAGGTGGTTCTCCACAGGGGCGCTGGGGAGGGGAGGTGGGTTTTTTCAATTAGACATAACTTGGGAAGGATTTGATTTTGAGGAACTATGTTGGGTGGAAGTAAGTCTTGAGCAAGGTTTATGCATTCTCATGGTTAGCATGAGATAAGAGTTCTGAGGCAGTTCACGGTGAATGCTGCATTTAGAAGAGGAATTTATTTTAGGGAACTTAATGTTTAGAAATTCCCTCAACAAAAAGAAGAGTTCAGTGAGAGCAGAGTTAGTGGTTTACTGTTTTTCCACTAAGTAAGTGTATAGGATAAATATTATGTGCCTACTGTGTGCCAGGCACTCTTCTAAGTGTTTATTGTTCATTTATTTTCTCGAATCTTCACAAGAATGCTCTAAGTCAGCAAATGGAAGTACTAAGAAATCAGGTAGTGTGTCTAAAGTCTCACAGCTAAGTGAATGGCAGACCCAGGACTGAAACTGATCATTCAGATGCTTCTTTTCTGTGTCCTAGTATTTCTAAAAAGATATTTGTAGAAAACACGGCACTTGTCTCTAAGAGATATTAACACTGGTCCTTCCTGCTCCATTGAAATTATGGATATTTCCATAGACTCCCTGGTCACCCACAATGATTTTGGGGATGGTAGATATTTTTCTATACCTTGCATATAAATTAAACTTAACAAGGAGCCATTGCCAACGCTAATATCTCAAGAATCTGTGGTGGATTTTAAACGCGTCAGCTCTGCCTGTGAAATTCTGCGCACACAATCAAGGACAGATGGGGTTGAGAGCTGAATTGCAAGTGAAAGCTGGAATGTCCTTATTCCCATTCTGAAGCACCAGGGCTCTGGGAGGTGCATGTCTCCTTCAAAGCTTCCAATACCTTGCCAGTCTTATGTGATGCTCAGAGAGGCGAGAATGACTCCTCCTCATCATTACCAACAACAACCATCAATAGTTATTGATCACCTCTCCTGGGCCAGATGCTTGGTGATGGGTGGAATACCAAGACGGGTAGGATAAAACCCCTGCCCTTAAAGTTTAGGCTCTAGAGACAGATAACCATAATCCAGGGCAATATCTCCCACGTGTCATAGAACTTGATATCTCTGCTTCTGGATCTGGCCAGTCTACTTCTTAAGCATCTCCTGCATAGCTCCAAGATGAAACAAAGGGAAGGAGGCAGAAGTTCTGGCCAGTCGATGTAACTGTGGCTGCATTTTCCATGCAAAGCAGGTTTGAGTCAAACTAGGCAGTTAATCCATCCTGACAATCGGGGAAAGTGGCCAGGCTGACACTGGATAGTTAAAGAGGGTTTTTGAAATGGTATGTAATCATCTCTCAGTATCTGTGGGGCATTGGTTCCAGGACCTCCTGCAGAAACCAAAATCCATGAATGCTCAAGTCTCTGATATAAAATGGTGTGGTATTTGCACATAACCTATGTGCATCCTCTTGTATACTTTAAGTCATCTCTGGATTACTCTTAATACCTGATACAAGGTAAATGCTATAGAAGTAGTTATCGTACTTTATTTGTTTTTTACTTGTGTTATTTTTTATGGTTGCATTGGTTTTTTTTTGTTTGTTTGTTGGTTGGTTGATTGGATTTTTGTTGTTGTTGTTGTTTTGAGACATGGGTCTCACTCTGTCACCCAGGAGTGCAGTGGCGCGATCATGGCTCACTGTAGCCTCGACCTCCTGGGCTCAAGCAGTCCTCCTGCTTTGGCCTCCCAAAGCACTGGGATTATAGATGTCAGCCACCACACCCAGCCTGTATTGTTATTTTTTATTGTTTTATTTTCCAAATATTTTTGATGTTGTGAAGGGATGCCAGTTTTGGTGGTTGGTTGGGGGTAGGGCCTGAATTTTCCTAACTGAATTTTCCTATCACTTATTTGTTGCTGAGTTTGCTACCGCTGTCCCTACAATAGAACTGTTCAATGGGGTTCCAGCTGATGTTGATTTTACTTTTTTAGAGCCTCCTATTCCCTTGGATCTGAAACCAGCACTTCCCTTGCATGTTTACAGACACGCAGTTCCCTATCTTTATGGACACATATCCACTCCTACAGGGTCCACAGTGCCCTGTAGATCATGGCCGTAAAGTATCAGCCCTGATTCCTCTTTGGCTTTGTTTTCAGAAGCCTGTGACTTCTGAACCAAAGTCAGCCTCCAATCTGAGGCTGGGATAATGACATATGCTGAATGGAAGAAGTTGGAACTGATTGTTAAAATGTTTGAACAGCACAGGAAACAGGAAGCAATGAGAAACAAAAGCACCCTCCAGCTCTGAGTCACAGGGCCGTCTCCTCTGCCAGGCCATGTCAGCCACAGCCCAGGGTACATGTAATTGGGTAATAGATATTATTTGGCCCGGAGAAAAAGCTGTCCGTCTGAGGATGTTGTATGCCAACCACTTTAACTAGAAAGATAACAGAGCCACTATCAAAGAGCCTCAAACTTCAATTTCAGTCTCAGAGAGTTCTCAACAGGATGCTCTGGCTAGAAATTATTAGTTCTTTGCAAGGGCTCGGAGTCCACTAGTATAGACTGAGCTGTTACTTTTTACTGGCAATGCTTCATTTTTAAGTTTTGTTCACTATTATTTAAATAATAAATCAAGAATCTTCCACAACTTTGCCATTGGGCCTAACCACTTACATAATCACAATGTACATAAAGTGTTGTTTTTATGTTTTTAATTGTGGCAAAATATACATGACATAAAATTTACCATTTTAACCATTTTTAAGTGTATGGTTCAGTCGTGTTAACTATACCCACCTTATTGTGCAACTGACCAATCTCCAGAAGTTTTCATCTTGCAAAACTGAAACTCTACACCTATTAAACAATCACTTCCCATTTCCCTCTTCCCTCAGACCCTGGAAACCACCATCATATTTTCTATTTCTATGAAATTGACTGTTATACTTACATCATATAAATGGAATTACATAGTATTTGTCCTGTGGTGACTGGCTTATTTCACTTAGCATAATGTCCTCAAGATTCATCCGTGTTATAGCATGGGTCATAATTTCCTTTATTCATCCATTGAGGGACATGTAGGTTGCTTTCACCTTTTAGCTATTGTGCATAATGCTACCGTGAATTTACATAAAGGTTTTTTTGTTGGTTTTTTTTTGAGACAGAGTCTCACTCTATCGCATAGGCTGGAGTGCAGTGGAGCGATCTTGGCTTACTGCAACGTCTGCCTCCGTGTTCAAGTGATTCTTGTGCCTCAGCCCCTCAAGTAGTTGGGACTACAGGTGTGCAGCACCACGCCTGGCTAACTTTTGTATTTTTAGTAGAGACAAGATTTTGTCATGTTGGCCAGGCGGGTCTTGAACTCCTGACCTCAAGTAATCCACCTGCCTCAGCCTCCCAAAGTGGTGGGATTACAGGCATGAGCCACCACGCCCAGCCCCAATTTACAAAAAGTTTTATATTCTACCTTTTTACTTTCTGTCATAATATCTGTGTGTATATACATATAATATAAATTAAATATATTATGTATAACATATTATAGAATATAAATTACATGTTGTATATGTAATCTATAAATATAAATTACATGTTATATACGTAATCTATAAATATAAATTACAGGTTATATATGTAATCTATAAATATAAATTATATATTTATTTTTATATATACAGTTTTTTCCAGTTTGATATATAGTCTTCATCATAACCTTTTTTTACATCTGTTTTAAGGGCCACATGACAGTCCTTCAAGCTCATGCACTTAAATAATTTCTACAGTTGGACATTTGAGATGTTTGTAGTTTTTCTCTAAATCCTATGACAAAAATTTTGTACCTATGATTTCCCTCCCTTCCCCCATATTTTAGCATACCTTTTTAGATAGATTCCAAGGAAGTGAAATTACTGGGTCAAAAGCAACATACATTTTATAACTTAAAAGATAAAAGATAGAAAGCCGCATTGCTTTCTAAAAGAATGGTATTTCCCTAGCTACTAACAGTGTATGTGAATTTCCATTCCACAGTACTCACAGTTTTTTTTTTTATTCTATGATTAAAGGGAGGAAGTTGAGTGCTCATTCATTTTTAATGGACAACAATTTGATTATTAATAGTGATGGGCATTTGTGAGGAGACCCCAGACTTGGCCAGCCTGTGAATACTAGCATGGTTACAGTAAACTGAAAAAATATATCTATTTGATCTAATATGTATTATCCCTATAATATATGAGTATGTATTAGAAACATGCCCAAATAGTACGTAATCCATAAATGATAGCTACTGTTATTGTTGCTGTTATTCTTATTATTGCCCAACATGTGATGATTCTTAGTCTATACCTGCTTTCCCAGGCCCTCAATTTCCCAAAATCATGATTTCCCAATTTTTGGGGGGCATCCCCAGTTAGGTGCTGTCTCGGAACATTCCTGTGAGGCTGCTCTACCCAAGCCCTCTCCCTCTAGCGCCCTCTATTGGACACAGGTACACTATGCCGGAGGCTGTCAACCCTCAGAGTTCTAACACTGTACTTAGGGTGGAGGGCATGGTGGCAGAATTGTCACCTGGACTCCAAAAAGGATACTGCCTTATGCCCAGAGTCTTGCAAATATCTTTATTAATACAGTTCCTCCATCTTTTGGCCCTAACCCCCTCATTCCCTAGAGGCTCAGGCCACAGGCCCTGCATGTAAGTGGGGGGCAGTGTGCCATGCTCCCTGTAGGGAGTGGACAGTGGCACCCCAGAGATGTCCACCTCCTAATCCTGGAACCTGTGAGTATGTTGCCTTGGTAGTCCCCTATGGTAAAAGGGACTTTGCAGATATGATTAAGGATCTTGAGATGGGGAGGTGATCTTGGAATATCTGGGTGGGCCCAGGGTCATCCCGTGAGTCCTTACAAGTGAAAGAGGGAGGCAGAAGGCTCAGAGTCAGAGGGAGAGTTGAATATGCATTGCTGCTAGCTTTGAGGGTAAAAGTGGCTAGGAGCCAAGAAATGCAGGAGATCTCTGGAAGCTGGAAAAGGCAAGGAAACAACCATCCCCCAGAATCTCCAGAAGGAATGCAGCCCTGCCGACACATTCATTTTAACCCGGTGTGATGTATTTTGGACTTCTGACCTCCAGAACTGCAAGATACTAAATACGTGTTGTTTTAAGCCACCAGATTGTAGTAATTTGTTACAGCAGCAAACTATAGCGATGAATACATTCTGCTGATGTCTTTGTTTCCTATCCCTATTTCTCGCTCTAGGTTTACATTTTAAAACTGTTTCCATCTAGGCCGCGCGCTGTGGCTCGCGTCTGTAATTCCAGCACTTTGAGAGGCCAAGGCAGGAGGATCACTTGAGGTCAGGACTTCGAGACCAGCCTGGCCAACATGGTGAAACCCTGTCTCTACTGAAAATACAAAAATTAGCTGAGCATGGTGGCATGCACCTGTAATCCCAGCTACTCAGGAGGTTGAGATTAGAGGATTGCTTGAACCCAGGTGGTGGAGGTTGCAGTGAGCCAAGATCATGCCACTGCACTCTAGCCTGGGTGACATAGCGAGACTCTGTCTCAAAAATAAAAAAAATAAAATTAAAAAACTATTTTCTTTTTTTTTAGCGTTAAATCGAAAGTTCCCTAGTTAATTCCCACAATTAGGAGGGGCCCACCAGTTCCACAAATAGGAAATCTCTGCACTGCTCTTGCTCGTAAAGTGTATTTGCTTTTTCATAAATTGCTTATGTTCTTTGAGCCACCAATGGTTTAATGTCAGAATAATATAGATCATTAGAGCCTCTCAAGATCCCACAAGGAACTGCACTTTCTCCTGTAGTTAACCATCCAGTCATCCATGCAAGAAATATTTATTGGATGCTACCATGTATCAGGCACTGAGCCAGTATTGAGATGTGAAGACACAGTGCATAATCTAAGCCTTTACAGAGGCCACAGATGTTGGGTTTTTATGGCTTGAGAACAACATACATTGTTTCTTTCCAGGAAGCTAATTGGGGTACATGGAGCCACTTTGACTAAGTAGCAAGGAACAGGAACTGCACACTGGTTCCATCTTGGCTTCCAATTTGTATTCAGACCCAGGCAAGAGTTAAAGAGTTCGATGATAGATAAGCACAGATGCAAAACAGTACAGTCCAGTGCCTCTTTGCTTAGGCTAATATCTGCCCTCTCTTTATCCTCTCCAGCCCTGCCTTCCTGCCTTTGACGCAGGGAGCTAAGGGTCTGAATGAACCCTGTTGGAGGTTGCAATTAAATCTTTGTGGACAAAGGCACACACACACACACATACACAGAATCCTCAGATAACAGGAGGCAATAAATCCAACAGCACATCCACGTTCAGAGAACAGTGTCCCTGCTGTCTTGCTAACAGCTGCCAATACCTCACTGAGTGCCTCACACCAACATGGGCTCCAAGGTAAGATTTTTCTCTCTCCGGACAAATTTAATCTTTCCTTGTGATTTGTGTCTCTGTCAGAGGATTTTGACTGTTAAGTAAAGTTTACTATTGATTTGTTGGCAAATTCCTGGTTTTGTTTGTTTTTGTTTTGGGATTTGGGTGTGTGTGTTTCTCTCTCTTTGTAGTACTTACTTCACTCACTATGTTTTTTAATTTTCCATGGCTTGTCTTTTATTCTTATCCATACATATCCTAAGTCAATTTGTATTCAGAAATACCTCCTTTATATAGAGAAATGAAGGATCTTAAGTAATTGCATGCATTTACTGGTTAAAACTTAACTGAGAATTTGGTTCACTTAGGACCTTGGTCACGTTAATATGTAGTAGTGAGAGGGTTCTTCCAGCCCTGGGCTTAGAACAGAGTACCTCAGTGTTTGGGGTACTCCCAACACCTGAGGCTGACTATTGAATTTCAGTGATAATCATTTAAAATTATTTACTTCTTTAATTACAAAAGTAGCTCATTATTGAATATTTAGAAATACACAGAAGATAACTGAAGTCATTGATTATAAATAACTGGCATTTGAGTATCTCTCTACTCTCTCAAAAATGTGCCCATATATTTATATTTAGACAATTGAGATAAAGTTGAAAACACAGTTTAATTTCCCTTTTTTACTTAACGTTATAGTAATAGTATTTTCTGTATCATTAAAATTATTTGAAAATATAATTTTTAAGAGCCGCTTAATAATCCACCATTAACATGTTTGACTTTTTTCACTAAGAAAAATAATTCTGCAATTGATCATTTTGAGTATAAGTCTTTGGCTGCATCTCTGACCTTTTTTCTTTTGTAGGATGGGTTCCTTGTAGTAGAGTTACTAAGTCAAAGAGTATACAATTTTTAGGGCCTGATAGATTTCATGATGGTAATCTATTTTAAAATTTAAATGAGTGATATTGTTGATACCACAACAGAAGCCACGTCAAAGAAAATGAAATTCTCCCCAGAAACTCTTATTACTTGAAGTTTGACAAGGTACTGTGACTTAATGCTGACTAATGATATGAAATCCTGAATAGAGAACTAATCATGAAAGTCAATATTTTATTTTCACAGATGAAGGCATCTTTCTGATCAGGGGTTTGTAGCTCAAACAAAAGAATGAGCGTGCTTCTAGAACCACAGAGCAAGGGAACATGGTAGAGGATAAGCTGGCAAGTTGAAAAGCGTGGGATTTCATCCCAGTTTGACACTAACTGTGCAACCCCAAACAAATCTCCTAACCTTCAGAGGCTCGGATTTCTTGTCTATGAGATGAAGGTTGGTCTACATCAGTGTTTCTCAGTGGGCAGCCCAAGTGACACTGTGCCACATGAAATATTTTGGGGTAGCACCTAGAACAAAGGTCATACTTTTTTTGCATGCCACATAAAATAACTTTTTGAAACATGATATCAATATCTATGTTGGTTTTAAAAATTTTTTGAGAGTTAGGGGTCTTGCTATGTAGTCCAGGCTGGACTCAAACTCCTGGGCTCAAGATATCCTCCCACCTCAGCCTCCCAAGTAACTGAGACTCCAGGCACATCCCACCATACCTGGCAGTATCTCAATATTTTAAAAGAGTGGATCTAGAGGAAAAAGATGAAGTAAATGATAGTACAGGTAGTCCTTAGATATGACATAAACCATCAAGGTGATAGGCAAATAAATGTCGGATGTTTGAAAAACACAGGGTTAAGTGATCTGTAGAGCATCTATTTTTATCTGGATTTATACCTAGCCATTAAATTCAAGGGAAATTAATGGCTAGATATAAATCCAGACATAAATAGCTAGTAAGCGATGCTTACCAGGAAGGCATTCTGGGAACCAGGTAGAGTTATTGAGATTTATAAGAAGTGAACAGTGATACAGACATGGAGATGTTTCCAAATATCATCCTACTACTTGCAACCCTTTGCACTTTTCGTTTTAATAGTGAGTTTCCTTCGTCTGGGCAGACTCCCTCCCCTCTTCCATAAAGGCTGCAGGAGACCTGTAGCTGTCACAGGACCTTCCCTAAGAGCCCGCAGGGGAAGACTGCCCCAGTCCGGCCATCACCATGCTCCGGACCATTCTGGATGCTCCCCAGCGGTTGCTGAAGGAGGGGAGAGCGTCCCGGCAGCTGGTGCTGGTGGTGGTATTCGTCGCTTTGCTCCTGGACAACATGCTGTTTACTGTGGTGGGTACGTTTGTGGGTCTTTGTGCTGAGGGTTAATTTGCTGTGGGCCCCAGCAGGCAGTGTACACCCTGCTTGAGTTCAACAGTGAATCCATCTGAGAATTTTCCTTTTTATGCTCAAAAACACACAGAGGTTGTTGGGGACTGGAAAAAAGCCCTGCAGAAAATGGAGTCTGACACTTGTCAAACACAGCTAAAAGACTCAGGAGGTTCAAAGAGCAGGAGGTCCAGAGAGGGTCTGACTGGAGAAGAGGATGGCCCGGAGCCAGAACTGGCTGTGCTTTTCTTTCTCCCCACACTGTCTTCTCAAGGTGCTAATGACTCCAAGTGCCTCTGAGGCAGCGAGATCTTCTCACAGGGGTGCCTTTCTGGACTCTGCTCTATAAAAACAGCATATTTTATTTGGATATCTGATTTAGTATCAAGACCTTGCCTTCCTTGTGGTTCTTTCCCTCAGAATCCTGCTTTTTTTAGTTGATACTCTCCTAATCATTACATTAAGTTACACCCTTGTATAAATGGGCACTAAAAGGTTTCTCCTCTTGGGTAAAACATATGTTTTTAAAAAAGGATCTTTCTGAGACAAGTTGTTAATCCAATACAATCACTTCTCATTATTCATAGTTCTGTAGTTATAGTTATGCTCTATAAAGTCGCTGCAAACACTGAATTAGTGAATACTGAATCATTGCTCCCAGGGAAACACACACACACACACACACACACACACACACACAATTATAATCTTAAATCTTAAACATCGTGGTACATCGTGTTTTCTTTATAAAAGAGAAAAAGAAGTTCAGAAGTGTTAAGTGACTTGCCCAAGGCCTCTCCACTAGCAGGTGCCAGAGTTGGGATTCAAACCCTGTCCAGGGGTCCCAGAGCTGAGGCTCCTCTGACCACCCTGCCCTTCCTCCTCCCATCCCCTCCTGTGGCCAGGTCTGTGTGAGAGCTGGACATGTCTGTGAAATGTCGTGGTAGCTCAGTGTGTGTTGGTTTGGGGGGTTACATGTCAATCTAAGTGAGTAGGAGAGTTAGCCAATGTGGAAACCATGAACAATGAGGACTAACTGTATAAGGTCAGAATTTAGCTACTTTAGCTAATAGGATAACTTGGGCAGGCACAGTCTTTTAGTAGGTTTTAACCATGCCACTCCAGATACCAGCCTTGGGCATAAGGCTGAACCTCATCATAGTCCCCTGATCCTAGTAGTGGTAAGATGACATCTGTCCTTAGCCCCCATCACCTGTCCTCCTTGACTTTCAGTAGAATTGACATCTGTCCTTAGCCCCTTGAGTTTCAGTGGTAAGATGACATCGGTCCTTAGCCCCCATCACCTGTCCTCTTTGACTTTCAGTGCCAATTGTGCCCACCTTCCTATATGACATGGAGTTCAAAGAAGTCAACTCTTCTCTGCACCTCGGCCATGCCGGAAGTTCCCCACATGCCCTCGCCTCTCCTGCCTTTTCCACCATCTTCTCCTTCTTCAACAACAACACCGTGGCTGTTGAAGAAAGCGTACCTAGTGGAATAGCATGGATGAATGACACTGCCAGCACCATCCCACCTCCAGCCACTGAAGCCATCTCAGCTCATAAAAACAACTGCTTGCAAGGCACAGGTTTCTTGGAGGAAGAGATTACCCGGGTCGGGGTTCTGTTTGCTTCAAAGGCTGTGATGCAACTTCTGGTCAACCCATTCGTGGGCCCTCTCACCAACAGGTATCTCACTGGGTGCAGTGCCCCGCAGGGTACACAGGAGTAGGAGGACTAGAAAAGTATAGAAAGGGGGTTGGAAGGGAAAAAGAAGAAATACTCACTTGTATGATTCCTCAGGGGAGTCAGCTATTCGGAAAGCTCGTTACTCAAAGAATAACATGTTACTGATGAAATGTTATGGGATCAGATTTTCTTAGTGATATATTGAGTATTGAGTACCAAGAAGAGAACCATGAACAGCAGTGTGCTGTGATGTTCTATCAGTGACCTGGAGCATGGCTTGAATGGGAAAAGGGTATGAATGGGACAGTCCTGTTGTAATCTAGAGCACTGGCTTCCCAGGAGTTGTATTGACGATTATTCTGATATTTTCAAGAGATATACACTCCACCTAGGCTATCATTTCTGGAAATGAGAATTTTGGCCCTGATCTATGGTCATATCTGCATGTTTGTTTGTTTGCTCATACTCATCCACATGCCCTATTTCATCTCCACACTACATTCAGAGGCATGTTTTACCATACACCCAAATAGCTGCATTTCTGCTCCCACTTACATTTAAAAATGTAGTCCATGTATGTGAGTGCCTGTTGGAATTGTATCTTTTTTTTTTTCAATTCCCTTTTAGGATTGGATATCATATCCCCATGTTTGCTGGCTTTGTTATCATGTTTCTCTCCACAGTTAGTAAGTAATTTGCTTCCTCTTTTCTTCCCTTCACTGATTACCTTTGATTTTATCAAGTGAATGCGGTGTAGATAGCAGGGTAACCTAGAATGTAATTAGGCATCTGACTAAGCAGACTGGAATATTGGTTTAAATGCTCTGCTGTTTTTGGTATGTGGACTAGAACAGTAGTGACAATTCAGTCTAGTTGGAATTGGTCTATTCTGCTATAGAAGAACAGATATTTTATTCACTTCACTTCAGCTGGACATAATGAGAGCTGTTTGAATATGTATGCTACGGGGTGTGTGTGTGTGTGTGTGTGTGTGTGTGTTATATGCATCAGTAATCCCTTGAGCAAGTTTAATACAAACTTTCCATCTATGAGAAGCAATGATATTATTTTGTTATGCCATGGAAAAGGGCAACTCACAAAAAAATGGAAATTGGACAATAACATCTGGAAAATTCCAAAAAGCCTACTGCTTTTCAGTTAAGGGCTTTAAAGGTTAAGCTTAGAAAAGTAAATTTGCTAAAGAAACAAGAAAGAGAAAGACAAATACTCTATCCAGGATCAGCTAAATGTTTCTAATAAAATGGAGATGGGATAAACACAGTACATGAGAAAAGTAAGTCTGGAAATTGATGCTGAGAAGTAAAGGAAGAAGGAATGAAAAGGGTTAGCGTTAGCAGGTTAAGGCAGGGGAAGGCAGCCTGTGGATCCAGCCTTGGTTCCCGATGGCCCTGCTGAACCTCTGCTCTCCAACAACACACCTCCTTCTCCCTCGCGTTTTTCTTTTCTTTTCTTTTCTTTTTAATTATACTTTAAGTTCTAGGGTACACGTGCACAACGTGCAGGTTTGTTACGTATGTATACATGTGCCATGTTGGAGTACTGCACCCATTAACTCATCATTTACATTAGGTATATCTCCTAATGCTATCCCTCCCCTCTCCCCCGACTCCATGACAGGCCCCGGTGTGTGAAGTTCCCCTTCCGGTGTCCATGTGTTCTCTGTTCAATTCCCACCTATGAGTGAGAACATGCCTCTCATTTTTCTTATTACCTTTCTGTTCCTTGTCTACTTTCTGTCTTCCTCTTCCTCAACTTTTCTTCTTTCCCAGCACAGAACTTGATTCCTAGCAACCCAATATTTAACAAGAATTTGTTGCATTCTGGGCTGGAAGGCTGCAAACTGCAAGAACTTGAGATGTGAGGTTGTCTCTGAGAACTACGTCTTGTTTGTGAAATTTTAGTGGACTTGAAGAAAATGAAGAAATTCAAATTAGCACTGTTCATGGAACTTCTAGCAGTTCAGCCTAAGTTAGACAGCAAATTTAAAAATAATAAGATGCCAGGTGCCCTATTTCATCAAATGAGGCTTAAGATTTATTCCAAACAACTTTATGCAGTGCATGTATAATGCCCAGATGGCCATAGTCACATAAAGAATGAAAAGACATGATTCCAGCTATCAGAAGTGTATATGATGGTTGCCTGGGGAGACATGAGACACACACTGAGAAGTAAGACAATGCGGTGTGCTAGTGGATCTGAGACGTTTTAGCATGATATCCTTGCCTGATTCTCTGCCAAGAATTCATGTGTTAAAAGCTTTACTTTTAAAGTAAACTGTATATGTTAAGTAATTATTGTTTAACTTATACCAAACTATATATGTTAAATAATTATTATTTCCATAGGATAGCTGTGTTGCTATATGGAGTTGGCCTAATTCTAACCAAAAGAAAATACATTTGATGTTTAGGGTATCCTTGTCCAATGTTCTAAAAAATACTTAAAAGAGATTGTTGATGCCCGTTACTACCCTTAAACCCTCCACCCCCCAACTAGGAGCCATGCCTAATGTAATCAAGAGTGAAATGGTGGCCCATGTAAAGGGTCCAAAGTGAAAAAAATAATTGCTTTGGTATTCCTAAATAGAATGACCAACTCTCCTGGTTTGCCTAGAATTGAGGGGTGTCTTAGTCCATTTAGCATTGCTATAAAGGAGTACCTGAGGCTGGGTCATTTATATTAGAAAGAGGTTTGTTGGCTCATGGTTCTGCAGGCTCTACAAGAAGCATGACACCAGCATCTGCTTCTGGTGCGGGCCTCAGGGAGCTTCCACTCATGGTGGAAGGTGAAGGGGAGCTGGCTGTGCAGAGATGAGAGAGGAAGAAAGAGAGAGGAGAGGGAGGTGCCAGCCTTTTTTTAACCAGCAGCTCTTGAGAGAACTGTAGAGTGAGAACTCACTCACCACCAAAGGAAGACATTAAAGTATTCATGAGGGATCCTTCCCCATAACCCAAACACCTTCCACTGGGCCCCATCTCCAACACCGGGGATCAAATTTCAACATGAGATTTGGTGGGGACAAACAACCCATGTCCACACTGTAGTGAGGGGCTTCCCAGGATGTAAGACTTCCTGTTTTTGTGGGGTATTTTGAGTTTCAGTTTTAAAAACAAGGAAGTTCTGGGCAGACCAAGATGAGTGGGTCACTCTATTCTCAAAGGACATTGGGAGAGTAGACAGAAAAGACTGGAAATAACAAAGTCTGAGAAAAGATGCTGGTGGCCAGGAAAGAAGAGACCAAGAATGTGCATCTTTGGGAGACAAGGAGAAGTTCGGTGTGATCATGTCTGCCGGGAAGTAATGGGAGAAGATTAAAAACACAACCAAAGACATCTGTAATGAATGGGCAAAGGGATTACAATTCTTCTGATTCAGACACTTCGAGGAGATTATTCTTACCCTAGGAGACATTTTTCTGGAATTGGAGGTGAGACATGTCTGGACTTAACTACCCTGACCACCAGCACCCTCTGATTTAGTTTTGTGTTGCGGGAAGTCAGGGACCCTGAATGGAAGGACCTGCTGAAGCCATGACAGAAGAACATAAATCATGAAGATTTCATGGACATTTATTAGTTCCCCAAATTAATACTTTTATAATTTCTCACACTTGTCTTTACTGCAATCTCTGAACATAAAATTGTGAAGATTTCATGGACATTTATCACTTCCCCAATTATCAATACTCTTATAATTTCCTATGCCTGTCTTTACTTTAATCTCTTAATCCCATGGTCTTCGTAAACTGAGGATGTATGTCGACTCAGGACCCTGTGAGGATTGCGTTAACTGCACAAATTGTTCATAAAGCGTGTGTGTTTGAACAATATGAGATCTCAGAACCTTGAAAAAAGAATAGGATAATGGAGATGTTCAGGGAGCAAGGGGAGATAACCATTAGGTCTGACTGTCTGGGAGCCTGGCAGGACAGAGCCATATTTCTCTTATTGTTTTGGATGACATATTCCTGTTGGATCTCAGTTTCCTGGGTGTCCATCTTCAACACACTGCCTCTCTTCACGGACAATAACTAGATGTTATTTTTATTTTGCATTTGCTACAGAGTCTAGCAGAGCTGCGCATTCAGTATAATTTAATACCTGCTGATTTTGTCTGGTTAAAAGATCGTTCAATATAAGATATAAAAAAGGATCTGATTGTATCACAAGATATTATTTTCTACCCAATTCCTATAATCCTCGAAGCACCTACTTACTGTCACTGTACTCCAGATGATCCTGTGGGACCCAGCAATGGTAAAGACCAGATCTGGATTTTGCACATGGACGATCCAGGAGTATGATCTAAGAACCAGTTTCCAGCCTAGGACACTGAGCTTCATGGACATCCCTCATTTCAGTGGACAGAATGTTGGGTTCTTGGCAAGAGATGTACAGACTCAGCCTTCCATCTGCTGTGTGGTGACTCGGTTTATACTTCTGTGGTTTCTCAGTTTTCTTGCCATTTAAATAGCAAAACTGAGGAGTGGGAGATTGAAAAGACAACTCAAAAAACAGGGAACAGTCATCATGCTTTATTAAAAACATATGCATCAAGACTCATATCTGCAGTATCACGGGCATGTTCTCTGGCGGCTGGGGAAGCAAAGGCAATTTGCTAACTGCAGTTATCTTGCTATTCTCTCTGCCCAGTGTTTGCTTTTTCTGGGACCTATACTCTACTCTTTGTGGCCCGAACCCTTCAAGGCATTGGATCTTCATTTTCATCTGTTGCAGGTAACACTGGCAACTCATCATGCACACACACATGCAGGCATGCACACACACACATCTCTTACTACCTCAGATCCTATATTTACATGGAGAAATTAAGGAAAATGTCACCTGGATAGGTAGAAATTGTGATTCAGAAATAAGGGAATTGGGCTGGGCACAGTGGCTCACACCTGTAACCCCTGCACTTTGGGAAGCCAAGGCAGGAGGATAGCTTGATTCTAGGAGTCTGAGACCAACCCGGGCAGCCTGGGCAACATAGTGAGAGCCCTATTTCTATTAAAAAAAAGAGAGAATAAGTTAGCCAGGCATGGTGGTGTGCACCTGTGGTCCCAGCTACTTGGGAGGCTAAAGTGGGAGGATGGCTTGAGCTTGGGTGGTCAAGGCTGCAGTGAGCCATGATTGTGCCTCTGCACTTCAGCCTGGGTGACAGAGCTAGACCCTAACTCAAAAAAAAAAAAAAAAAAAGAAAGGAATTACAGAGTTTCTAACAGGGTCCATAGATCTCTGAGCCTGACATAACTTCCTCTGCTAATATTCAGATGCAGCTAGCTCAGGTCAGAGCAAGCCTCCAGTGAAGCTATGAAGAAGGGCAGGCTTTCATTTAGTGCCACTCTATGGTCCTTTTTCTGTCCCCCTCTTAGTACTTTATAGGAATAATCATGTTAGTACTACTGGTAACACCAGCACAGTTTTCAAAGTACTGGTGAATATAATATCTAATGCAATCTTATGAAGTTGGCATTTTATGCCATTTTACCCATAGCTATGAAGGCCAGAGGGTCCAGCTGCCGTACAGCACTAGCCCACACTTTCTTCCAGGTCTGCAGTGCTTTCCTGCTCTTCCCTGGGCACCCCTGTTAAATAGAATGGTCTCTGTGTGCCTAGATTTTCCTTTCCCTGATCTGCTCTGTAACCCCTCATTTTGGGAAATGTGCTAGGAAATGATAAAATGTTATGAAACATGGTATAATCAGACAATGGATTTTCTGTGTTATCCTTCCAGAGGGCTTGCACTATCAACAATATTCTGAACAGGAGTGGACAATGTGGGGGCTTGGGGGACTAGGGAGGGTAGTACTTGAAAAATACTACGGGTTAAGTTTTGTAAAACCCCTCAAACTGAAACTCTAGCTAAGATTGTCACTGAAGAGATAACAGGGTGGGACCAAGGGCTCTGAGAGGCGGATAGAAGCCCCCCAGGGGGCCAGCTGCATCTGTAACTCTCTGCGCAGGTCTTGGAATGCTGGCCAGTGTCTACACTGATGACCATGAGAGAGGACGAGCCATGGGAACTGCTCTGGGGGGCCTGGCCTTGGGGTTGCTGGGTAAGTGGCACCAGCTGGAGCTCTGGGTTCGGGAGGGTGGGACTCTAGGAAGCAGGTGTTCCCGAGGTGTAGAAGACGAGTATTTTCCTTCCCTTGTTGGCCTCATCCTATTTCAACTCCTTTAGAAATATCACTGAGAAAAGGTTAAATTTCCTTCTCCTTAAGAAGCTGGGAAACACATAAACGTCGGAGAAAGGTCCGGAAGCCCAGCCTGTTGGAGGAAGTGAGCCTCCCCGATTTAGAGGCCACTGCTTCGCCTCGGTTCCCATGCACACAGCACCAGAGCATGGCTGCTGCCAGATGCTCTGCTAAATCTGTTACACGCATAATCTCTTTTATTCCTCACCACCAGGAATGAAAGGAGGAATGATTTTCCCCATTATAGAGATGAAAATAAGAATGGCGAAAACACCATCCAACATCACACAGCTAGGAAACGCCACAGCCAGGATACAGACTCCGATTTTCTGGGCTTGGAAACCCAAGCCCCAAACGATAAAACTACCCTTTCTTTGAGGCTCCTCCCTCATACAACTTAATTGACAAGCTACATGCTTTCACTTATTACATGCCAAGCACAGTGCCAGTACTGTAGGGTGGGAAGCCCCAGGCATAGTTCCTGCCCTCTAGGAGCTTACAAGCTCATCGAAAACAAAACACCTGAAATTTCTTCCCCGGCCTATGCCCCACCCTCTAGCCCCATGGGAAGCAGAGGAAACAGAATCCCTGTTATTTGCTAGTATCCATCAACCCAAATGCCCAAGCTAAACCCTGTGCATCTTGAAATCCTTTATCATGTCCCAAATGAATAAGCTCCCAAATGAACAAGCTTGTTAGATCCTCAACAGCCACTCCTGGCTCCTTGTCACTTCTGGGTTAGAATCTGGCAGCATCCTCCCTCTTGTGTACTCCCTCCTTCCACCACGATGCTGCCTGAACAATCTTCCTGAGCCCAGAGCAGGTGATGTTTCTCACCTGATGTTTCTCCATAGGCCGCAAGGCCAAGTACATGACTCATCTGCATATACAAGGTTCCTGCATATGCAAGGCTCTACTTTTCTCCTCGCAAATATTCATACTCTGCTAACACCCGCTTTCTTCTTTTTCTTCTCCAACTACACACTCTTTTCTGACACCTCTGTGTTCTTCACACAAGCTTCTTCCCCTCCAGATACTCTACACTTGGCAAAGCCCTCGTGGCTGCCTGAAATTCCTGAGACATTGACTGTGCTTTCATTGCATGCAACATTTTACTGTCAAACTTTCACCATGCTTTAATTATCTGTGTCCCTCCCTACACACACACACACATACATACACACACGCGCGCGCACACACACACACACACACACACTTCCTCCACTAGAAAGTGGGCTTGATGGGGACAGGGATCATGTCTCCATCTCTGAATTCCCAGAGCCTCAGGTGGAGCTTAGCCCCTAGCAGGCCTTCTGCAAATGCTCACGGGGTAAATATGGATAATTCTCACTGCAAAGGACTCACCCTCACCTCTGGAATCTGTGTCTCCTATGCCTCTCCAGTGGGAGCTCCCTTTGGAAGTGTAATGTACGAGTTTGTTGGGAAGTCTGCACCCTTCCTCATCCTGGCCTTCCTGGCACTACTGGATGGAGGTAAGTCACCATCAGAGCCTCCAGCAGGTGACAGCCCAGGTCAGGTTGGGAATGCATTATGTTGTAGTGTCAGTCTTCACTAAGAATGGGCGGTTTGGACATGTTTTGATGGATCAAGGACTGCCCCGTTGTAGAAAAGAAAGAAGAAACTCAGGGAGTTAAATTTATGCATAATAGGGTGGTAGCACTACAGCTGTTATTGGAGCCCCCAGCTAATCAGTAGACACGCTGAACTGTCTCACCTTCTTTGTTTCTTAGCACTCCAGCTTTGCATCCTACAGCCTTCCAAAGTCTCTCCTGAGGTAAGCAGACACAAAGCTCCATTTCTAACAGTTATACAGGATGGCTGAATGCAGGAACCCAGGCATGCCTGCCAAACCATAAGAAGAAAAGTGAAGAGGAATAGGGTCAGCGAAAGTGAGAACTGTGTTTGGATTCCAGGATAGGGTTACGTTTCAGGTAGTGTGGGGGATAGTGACGTATTTGGCTTGATGTTGGACAAAGATGGTGGAAGAACCTTGTGCATAATCAAAGAAGCCATAGAGAATCTATCTATCTATCTATCTATATATTCGACACATATATGGGGTATGTATATATATATTCATGTATATCTGGAGATCTCCATATATATATATATATGTGCACACACACATGTAATTATAGCTAGGAGATAATGACATTGGGGACTGAGTATTTGGAGCTGTAACATCATCTCAGAGATGAAGGCTGTGGGGGCCACCTAGACAACATCTTCTGCAATAAAAGACATCCTGTGTGAATATCCCTAACTGTCATTCTGTCACAGTTAATAAATATCAGAGTTGGTACTTGTTTGACTCTAAGCCAAAAACAGCTCTGGAAAATCCATATCCCACCACGAAGGAAAAAAAGTAAGAAAGTGCATCAAGTGTAAAAATGTTTGATCTAAAGGCCTTGACTTTGCATTCCACAGCTTGTCAAGGTATTCCGGAAGTCATGACACTAACACCTCATCATTCTTCAGGGCTTTTCACGCACCAGGAGCTCAGCTTAGTGCGCCATCTATGCTGCATCTTACACATTCCATGAAATAAGTACAATTTTTAGCCTCACTCTACAGATAATGAAATCGAGGGTGAACAGAGAAGCATCTGAAAGAATTTGAAACTATGACATAATCAATACTTTTAGAGTGCCAATTCCCCCAGAGCAACTAGGAGCCTCCCGCAGTCTCCTGAGATGCTCTGCTCTTTACAGACTGGCTTTAGGAGTAGGATGTCTGGGTCCTGGAGAGGGAAGTCATAACCACCACCCATCCAGGACTCCTCAGGGCAAGGAGCACCAAATACCCTCTGCACAGGCTCCCAGGCCTGGCATATGCTTGGGCCCAGCACCCCTCCAGCCCTGGCCCAGGCGTAGGGACACTCATCCAGGTGGTTCAGCCACTGTTTATTATTAACTGTGCAGCAGTGGTGAATTACTCAGCAAGTAAATCCAGCTTGAGATTCCAGGAAAGTGAGGCACCCATAAATATCTACTTTTTTGAGACGGAGTCTTGCTCTGTCACCCAGGCTGGAGTACAGTGGGGCGATCTCGGCTCACTGCAACCTCTGCCTCCTAGGTTCAAATGATTCTCCTGTGTCAGCCTCCCAAGTAGCTGGGATTACAAGCACGCACCACCATGCCCAGCTAATTTTTATGTTTTTAGTAGAGACAGGATTTCACCATGTTGGCCAGGCTGGTCTCGAACTCCTGAGCTCAAGTGATCCATCCGCCTCAGCCTCCCAAAGTGCTGGGATTGTAGGCATGAGCCACCGCACCCAGCCCATTCTCTCTCTTTCTAACAAATATACATTATTATTATTATTACTAATGTTTTGAGCCAGTTGACAGTAGATTGATTGTATCGTTCCCTTACCCCTTGATACTTTAGAGCATTTTCCCTAAGAACAGGATTTTTTTTTATGTAATGTCAATGGAGCTATCAAATTCAGGAAATTTAACATGGATATAATACTTTAGTCTAATTTGCCGTGCCTACTCTGATTGTGTCAATTATTCCGATAATGTCTTCCATGGAAGTCTTTTTTTCTCTAATGCAAAGCCCAGTCCATGACTGTGTAAGACATTTATGCATCACACCTCTCTAGCCTCTTTTAATCTGGAAAAGTTCTCAGCCTTTATCTTTCATGACATTGACATTTGTGACAATTATCTATAGGGTATTCCTAAATTTGGTTTGTCTGATGTTTCTTCATGATACCGTAGCCTTCTGAGTTTCATGTCTGGAGGTATTTAATGCCCGTCGCCTCTCAGTGGTGATGTCCATTTTGATCACTGGGTCAAGGTGTTGTCTGGGTCTCTTGTGTAGTAATTACTTCTTCACCTTGTAACTAATATATAACATGTGGGAGATGTTGTAAAGTCATATAAATCTCCTACTCCTCCTTAAATTTCCTTTCTGCCTAGATTTGTTATCCATTGATGATTCTTGACTGACCCAATCTTTACTATAATGTTTACAAAATACTGGTTTTTCTAGTTCACCAATTCATCCAAATCATCAGTTGGCACTTTGCTGTAAGGAATAGCCATTCCTCCAAGGCAGGCGGATCACTTGAGACCAGGAGTTTGAGACCAGCCTGGCCAACATGGCAAAACCCTGTCTCTGCTAAAAGTACAAAAAAATTAGCTGGGCATGGTGGTGCACACCGTAATCCCAGCTACTCAGGAGGCTGAGGCAATAGAATCCCTTGAACCTAGGAGGCGGAGGTTGCAGTAAGCCACTGCACTCCAGCCTGGGTGACAAAGTAAGACTCTGTCTCAAAAAAAATACTCTAAAAAACAAAAAAGCAATAGCCATTCCTTTCTTACTCTCTTTATATGTATATATTTATAAATATTTATACCAAATAGGTATATAATAATTTTATGTACATGTGATTATGTTCACAAAAAACTTAAAAAACATTTATTTATCTGATATTATCAGTGTAGAATCATGGAGTCCTATTTTTGTAGTTCATCACTCTATTTACTTGTTTAATTTTTTTTTGGAGACAGGGCCTCTTTCTGTGACTGAGGCTGGAGTGTAGAGGTGTGATCATGGCTCACTGTAGCCTCCAACTCTTGGGTTCAAGTGACCCTCTTGCCTCAGCTTCTTGAGTAGCTGAGACTACACAGGCATGCCACCACACCCAGCTTAACTTTTTATAGAGACCGGGTCTGCCTGTGTTGCCCAGGCTGGCCTTGAACTCCTGGCCTCCCGTCCTTAATTATTTTGATGCTCAAATTGTCCTAGATTTGACAAGTCAAAGCCCATTAACTTGTTGCTGTGTCATTTTAACATACCTTCATTGTTTTTTGAGTAATGTTTTACTTTTCGATACAAAAATATGTCCTACGTTCATCTTGTACTTTCCCTGCCTCAGCCCTGAATTCATTTCCCCAAGGAGCCCAGGTTCTTGTTAGTAGGGAATGGTGTTTAGAAACCAAACTATGGGGCCGGGCACGGTGGTTCACGCCTGTAATCCCAGCAGTTTGGGAGGCCGAGGCAGGCGGATCATGAGGTCAGGAGATTGAGACCATCCTGGCTAACACAGTGAAATCCCGTCTCTACTAAAAATACAAAAAAATGAGCCAGGCGTGGCGGTGGGTGCCTGTAGTCCCAGCTACTCAGGAGGCTGAGGCAGGAGAATGGCATGAACCCAGGAGGAGGAGCTTGCAGTGAGCCAAGATCATGCCACTGCACTCCAGTCTGGGCTACAGAGCAAGACTCTGTCTCAAAAAAACAAAAAAAACAAAAAAAACAAAAAACTATGGGGACTCAATGTGCTCTTTGCCATTGGGGTCACCTTGTTTCCCTGCCATCTTGATGACAGAGCTAATACACACACACAAGTTTGTACTGAGACCTCCACTTCCAGCCCAACTCCACGGGATTTTTCCCTGCTTGCCCCATTCCATACATGTATTCTTCTTTCAAAGTAAGAAATTTGTCTCCCCCTATTATACAAATAGGTGAAACACCTATTTTACAAATAGATTAAAAAATTTACTTACTTGTATAATTCTATAATACTTACCCATGCCATTATAAAAAACAAAGCTACCAAGAAATATTCAAGACTTTTCAGTTCTTTTTCCCTTAGACTTAATGAATATAGCCAAATACTGTATCTAGAAATTACCGTACTTCCATTAGTTCTTTTTTCCACCTTTAGTGTGATTATGTAATGCATGATACATTTGAAATTCATTTGCATCCATTTGTGGGGTTTTTTTTTTTTGGCATTTAGTTTTAGTTTTTTTTCTCCATTCTGGCTAATTATCTTAGTCTGTTCAAGATGCCAGAACAAAATACTACAGATTGGGTAGCTTAAACAACACATATTTATTTTCTCACGACTCTGGAGGCTGAACGTCCATGGTCAAGGTACTGTTGAGGGTTGGTTTCTGGTGAGGCCTCTCTTCCTGGCTTGCAGACAGCCACCTTCTCAGTGCGTCCTCACATGGCCTTTACTCAGTGTGCATGCACAGAGGAAGAGAGCCCTGATGTCCCTTCCTCTTTTTATAAGGAAAACAGTTTTTCAGATTAGAGCCCCCACTCTTATGACCTCATTTAACCTTAATTACCTCCCTGAAGATACTGTCTCCAAACACAGTCATATTAGGTTAGGACTTCAACATACTAATTTGACTAAGGTGGGGGGACTCCATTCAGCCCATAACACTAATATAATTTATTTTTTTAATATATAGGACATTACCACCTAAAAGTCAAAATTATTCCAAAAGGTGTACTCAGAAAGTGTCAATCCCTCCAGTCTTTCTAACCCTCCCCCTCTCCCACCCCTACCACTCATAGGTAACCAATTTTAATGCCTTCTGGTTTGTCTTTCCTGTGTCTTAGTGTTTTTTCCTCAAAATAAATCGCTTATGTGTTTTCTTATTTTTCCCTTTTCTATTATATGAAAGGCAGCACACTATGTATTCTTTTTTTTGCGTTCTCCTTTTTTTCTCAATAATATGTCCTGAAAATTACTCTACTAGTTCACAGAATCTTTCCTTATTATTTTCCACCTGGTGGTGTATATATATATATATATATATATATATATATATATATATATAGACACACACACACCCACACACAATTTTGTATGTGTACACAATAGTGTGTGCGCCATATTTTATTCCATCTCCTATGTTTAGGTAGTTTTCAGTATTTTATAGTTATAAATAGTGCTGTAATTTGCATGACTGCATGTTTATAATGTTGTCATTAATCTTTAGAGTCAATTCCTAGAAGTGGGACTGTTGGGTCAAAGGGTTTATTGTACTTTTAAATGTATATTTTAATGATTTACATCAGTTTCTTTACTTCGAATAATAATTGGGTAAGCGAATGATCTCTTTAGTTTTAGGATCTCTAAATTTATCAATCCACTATTGTGTGTGTGCAGAGAGGGTTATCATACCAAAATGATCCAATCTATTACAAGATAGAAAGTAGTAAACACCATGAAGGATTAGGACATAGTGTTCAGGATGTCTGGAAGAGAGAGAAGCCCCAGCTACTGAGTCAGGGAGCTCTCTAGAAAAGAAGGAGCCATTTAAGCTTGACTTTAAAGAGTGGGTAGAACATGGAACTATGGAGAAGCTCAGAACGTGTAGTTTAGGCAAAGGCAATAATGATGGCTGAGGCACTGCTGGGATGCTTGGAAAGAGGGTGGGGCGACCAAGTTTAGATGAGAG
This sequence comes from Homo sapiens, assembly GCF_000001405.40. NCBI lineage: Eukaryota > Metazoa > Chordata > Mammalia > Primates > Hominidae > Homo > Homo sapiens. The sequence continues at coordinate 20,165,665 of NC_000008.11, read as the reverse complement.
TGTGTCCTGACGAGAGTGGGTCCTGGATGTTTAGGCTGTATTTTAACCCTGCTTCTTCTACCTTAGTTCAGTGTGGCTCAAAATGATCAGAATGAAGAATTCAGAAAGCTTGAGAGGCTTTCTGAGTTATGGCTTCTGTGCTTGCTTTTGGGATTCGGTGCTCTGCCTGTGGTTCTCCCAGGACAAATATTAGTACCAGGGAGATCTAGTGGAAACCAGGAGTCCAGACATCTATTGTCCAACCCTGACCTTGCTACCAATCCACTCTGACCTTGTTGATGGTCACGTGAACGCAGGAACCATGGCTGGAATATGTTGCTTCTCTATCTGTGACTATTACAGTGCCTACCTTTCACACAGGAGGGGTCCTGCCTCCAGCTTCCTCTGTGGCATCAGACAAGTCACTTTCTCTCCCTGTACTGGGGTTCCTGGTCTCTGCAGTAAAGGAGATACTGTAGATGGTCTCTAAGCCCATAATTGTACTTTCTCAGATTCTGTGAAAATAGGAGAGATGTATGCACTGTACAAATGGACATTTTTTGTTATCCATGTTCTCAGAGTGCCAAGGGGACTCCCCTCTTTATGCTTCTCAAAGACCCTTACATCCTGGTGGCTGCAGGTAAGCTGGCGATGACCTCCCATTGGGCGGGGAGTGTCTGGGCTTCAAGCAGCCACGGCTGCTCACAGAACAGTCTCCCCAGGGTCCATCTGCTTTGCCAACATGGGGGTGGCCATCCTGGAGCCCACACTGCCCATCTGGATGATGCAGACCATGTGCTCCCCCAAGTGGCAGCTGGGTAAGTGACCTCAGCACCCCCGCTCAGGGCCTGGCAGGAGGAGGTGGGTGCCATGAGTCCTTTCGTTCAATGTCACACAGGGACAACATGCTTCCTTTGTAGAATGACCTCCCACGTCCACACCCATGAATCAAGCCCAAGAGGGTGTGTGGTCCCTCAGAGAAGCAGTCTGAGAAAGGGGAGGGTGAGAGAGGATGAAAGGGGCTATGGAGAGGTCACATACCTAGCTGTGTAGTAGGATGATTAATGATTTCCAGTCCAAAGATTCAGGTTTTGGTTTCAGCTCCTTTGATTTTCTGTGAAAACTTGTGCAGATGCCTTAAACCCTCTGAGCATCACTTTTCTCATTGCTAAAATGAGCATCAAAATACTATCTAGTTCAAGAGAAATTGGATGAATAAATGACATATGAGGTGAAAATGCTTTGTACCCTGTACAATATTAATGTGCACCATTACCATCCACATTCTCCTCCCTTCAGCTCCTCATCCTCAAGACTACCCTTTGGTTATCTTTTTTACCTCTAAAAAGGGGTGTATGTAGCACTCACTTAGGAAAAGCTATGGGCCCAGGAGAGAGGGTTCCAGCTTCCTTTGTTCATGCAGCGACTTAGAGAGGAGCTTGGAGAGGAGGATCTAGCCCTTCCCAGGAACCCTGAGGAAAGAGGACAGGGAAGGCTACGTGCAAATTGCTCCATCACTGCAGGGAGGAGAGGCTTACGGGGCCAGAGGGGAAGCTGATAAGAACATGATATAGTTCAGCATGCAATAAAAAGCACTAAATCTAATTTTGGGGGGGCAATTCTAAGCAAGACTCCCAGCTGCACTCCTAGTGCCAAATTGAATTTTTATGGGTTGCAAGTGCTTTTGACCATGACGATTAATTGAGTTAGTCGGTATTCAGTGCAGATAATTCATCGCCTGCCCTAAGGCTCTGACCACTCAGGGTCTCGATACTAGTGAGCAGCTACAACACAGAGCAGCTCCTCCCCAGCAGCCTAGGGACCATTCTCAGTTGCCAGTTACCAATTACTCAGTTACCAGTCACTCAGTTGCCACCATCTTTTACAGCTTTCTCAATGCTATCTGGTCTGTAAAGTCTGACATCAAAGGTTGTCCAACAACTACATCAGAATCACCTAGAGAGCTTGTTAAAACTCTGATTGCTGGGAGACAGTAGGCAATTTAGTCAAAACAAGTTTTCATCCCTAGTAAGTCTGCAGGTGATGCTAATATAGCTGGTCAGTGATCACACCTAGAAAATCGCTGCTGTACATGAAGAGCATCCCTCAAAGGTGTTGGGAGCCAAAGGAGTCCATGCTTTTGAAAGTAATGTGTAGTCTGCCTCTGAGTGCTTGCTATGTGGCCCACCATATACTAGGTAGCATCACCAAGGGGAGGAAATAGCCCAGGTCCACCTGGGTTTGAATGCTGACCACGTCACTTACTGATTGTGACCTCGGATAAGTTATTTAACCTCTTTGACCTCTGATATGGTGTGAATGTGTCCCCCAAAATTTATATGTTGCAAATTGAATCCCCAGTGCAACAGTCTTGAGAAGTGGGACCTTTGAGAGATGATGAGATCATGGGAGCACCCTCATGAATGGATTAAGGCCATTATCATGGGAGTGAGTTTGTCATAATAAAAGGGGAGTTCAGCTCCCTTTACATCTCTCTCATGTGTGCTCTCTCTCCATGTGACCCCCTTTGGCCATGTTATGATCCAGCAACCAG